>NC_000008.11:141755779-142057857 GCF_000001405.40 Homo sapiens | reverse complement strand
TCCAAATACAAGCTGTTAAATTCAGATGTTTTAACTACTATTTTATTTCCCAAGCATAGATATTTTTTAACTAGTGGTTATATTTAAAATTTGGTTCCTACCTTTCTCAGTGATTATTATAAGAAAATATTGATGTTCATACCATTTTCATAAGCATCACTCTAAAGAGTTAGAAATACTCCAGGATATGTGAGTTATAATTTATTTAACCACTTCCTCTGTTGAATAAACATATCCTTTCTGTCTTCTCTAGTGTAAATATTGTTTCTTTGAGCATATTTGTACATCAGCCTAATCTAAAAAATGATTTTTTTTTTCAGGATAGATTTCTATAGGCAGAATTAATGAGCACAATGATATACACCTTTTAAAGCCTTTTCTTTTTCTTTTTATGCTTTTATTTCATTATAATTAAAAAATGTGTTGTGGTAAAATACACACAGTAATGTGCAATTTACCATCTAACCATATTCAAGTGCACAGTTGCGTGACATTAAGATCACTCACCTGGTTGTGCAGCCATCATGACCATCCATTCCACAAGACCATGGCATCTTCCCAGACGGAAGCTGTGCTCATTAGACATGAACGCTGCATCTCCTCCCCGCACTCCCACTCCCATCTCTTGTTCACTGACTCTCTTTCTCTCTCTCTCCCTCTCTCTCTCTGTCACACACACACACATGCACACACAGCCACTTCCTGAGCCTCTCCCGCTAGAAGCTCCAGACTTCTAGCTGGGGAGAAGACAGACAGGTACACAGGAAATCAGGAAGTTACAGGGCCAGGTGACAGGCGCTGTACAGAAGAGGGCCCCTCCCTAGGCTGGGGAGGGGTGGCAGGAAAGCCTGAGACTGAAGCCTGATCAGGGTGGGAGAGCAAGTGCAGGCAGGAGGTGAGCTCAGCTGAAGGTTGGTCTGGAGGGGAAGGGAGCGCTTTGGGCTCAGAGAACACCCCGTGGTCCAGAGAGGAGGAACATGGTGGGCAGAAGACCTCGGAGGGTGGGAAGCTATCTGGGACCAGGACTCAAAGAGCCTGTGGTTAACCAAGAGCACAGACTTCACCCTGAAGGACAGGGGAGTCATGGAAGGTTTTAGGCAGGAGACAGGGATGTGATTAGTCTGCCTTTTGAGGCACCTCTGGCTGAGTGGAGAATTGGATGCAAACAGAGGTGGGGCTGTTGCAAGGGCTGAGAGGAGATGAGGGTGGGGGCAGTGGGAGCAACAGAAGGTGCCTATCTGAGAGATACAGAGGAGGTGAGTCAGCTGGGGTTGTTGGAGGCTCCAGTGTGGCTTGGGACGAGCCGTGGAGTAGAACAAGTGGGCTGCCACCTGAACATCATGCTGGGAGGGAGGCAGGGAGGGTGGCTCGTGGTGCCACCCAGGGAGAACAGTGCCTTGCAGGAGCCCAGCGGGGGTGGAAAATGGGCCTCTCTGTGAGCCTGCCTCTCCCAACATAGCCTCCCTGGCCATGCCTCTCTGCCTCTGCTCATGCCGGGCCCCTTCCTGCCATCCCTCAGTGTGATGTCCATTGGTCAACATTCAGATCTGGCCCCTGTCTTCCCATCCCTGTTCTTCAGCATTGGCCAGGGTGGCATCAGAGGTGGGTGTGTACAGTCGTTTGCACTAGCTGGTGCCACAGTCTCCTCCGCATGCACAGGCTGGCTCCCAACTATGAACACAGTGGACTGAATTCACTTTTTCCCCTGGCAGGGGCCTGAACACCCAATACCCACATGTCCAGGGTCTACGGGCCCCACAGGGGTTCTGCCCAGGATGCTGGGGTGGTGGAACTCCAATCCCTGCCCTGGGCAAACTTCAGGTTCACCCAGGGAGGCGACGTCAGTGAGAGCGTGGCTGGAGCTGGTGAGAGGGGCCAGGTGACAGCAAGTGCACAGTGGAGCCAGGAAGGGAATCCCTAACATGGCAGGGGCTGTGGAAGCAGGGCCATGTAGGGACTTTGGGAATGGGGAGAATATTGACTGTCCATTGCTGCACAACACATCTTCATGAACCTGGCGTGTTAAAACCACACTCATTATTAAGTCACAGTTACTGTGTCTTGTCACCTCGGGCTGCTATCACAAAATACCTCAGTCTGGGTGGCTCATTAACAACAGAAGTTCCTACCCCATACTTCTGGAGGCTGGGAGTCCAAGATCAGGGAGGCAGCCAGGTTGGACTCTGGTGAGGGCCTCTTCCAGTTGCTGCTGGCTCACTTCTCCTTGAATTTCACATGGCAGACAGAGAGTGAGCTAGCTCTCTGGGGCCTCTCCTTAGATGGGTCCTAGTCCCATTTGCATGAGTTCCACCCTCATGACCTAATGACCTTCCAAAGGTGCCACCCCCAAATACTATTACAACGGAGGTTAGGATTTCAACATATACATTTTATGGGGACACCGTCCATTGCACTGTGGATCAGAAGTCCAGGCACAGGGGGGCTGGGTCTTCTGCTCAAGGTCTCACAAGGCCACACTCAAGGTGTCTTCTGGGACTGTGTTCTCATCTGAAGGCTCAACTGGGAAGAATCCACTTTCAAATGTACTCAGGTTGTTGGTAAAATTTATTTCTTCGCGGTTACAGGACCAATGACTGCAGCTTCTTACTGACCATTAACTAGAAGCCACCCACAGCTTCTTAACATGTGAAGTCCGCAGCATGGCTGCTCACTTTATCAAGCCATCAAAGAGAGTCTCCAGAGACAGCCTGCTAGCATGACGGAGTCTAATCTAACATAATATATTCGTGGGAGTGACAGCATCACCTTTGTTCTACTCTATTGTCAAAAGCAAGTGGACTTCTGCTTCAGAGAAGATGGAGTTGACGTACATTTCCCTATTTCTCCCATTAAGTACAGCTAACAATCTGAACATGATATATAAAACAAGCATCAGAATGCCCTGAAAGGTTGAGGGAAGAAGGTGGAACACCCAGGGACCTCAGGACCTGAGGAAGGATTCAGCGATGTGTTTGTAGGGTTTCCATTTGGCCTTATATGTCCCAGACTTGGAGTTGCATAAGCTGGCAAACTGCAGGGACCAGCAAGCACAGATGAGGCTCAACAAAAGCTTTTTCTCTTTAGCCAAATGACCAGGAAAAAGGCGGTTCACAAGACAGAAAATGTGTAGATAATAGTAGTTCTACTTCAGCCAAATGCCAAAGAAAAACTGTAGCCCCACGCTTAATCTCATCAGCAAAGACTGAGTGGGGGACCTAGATTTCTGCCCATGGGAGGCTGTAATGAGGCATCCAACACCCTCATCAGGGTGGTGTTAAAGAAGTGGGACTTTGACTCCCACTAGCAGTAATGAGGCCTCCAGCAGTATCAGTGGAGACCACAGGGAAAGCCTGGGCTTCCATTCCCACATGGCAATAATGAGGTGCCCCTTGCTTTCCCTGCTGGAGTGGGATCTGAGGAGGCCTCGTGGAGAGTCATGTGCTCACCATCACCCACTGTGGTGGAAGGGAGACCATGGGAGAAGCTAGAGTTCTCATCCTTTTCCAGCAGCAACAGAAGGCCTGCCCTTTGGGTGTCAACAAAAAAAACTCACTTTAAATATAATGGTATACAGTGGTTGAACATTTTTAAAAATGAAAAATAATATCCAATGAAACACCGAAAAAAAGAAATTGATTGGCTGTATTAATAATAGATAAAGCAAACTTCACAGCAAATAAATTTGCCAAGGAAAGAGAGGAACATCACATTATGATAAAGTGGTCAATCCACCAAGAAGATATAGCAATCCTAAATGTGTATGTACCAAACAATAAAGTTGCAAAATGTGAAGCAAAAACTGATAGAGTTGAAAGAGAAATGGATAAATCCATAATTATAGTTGGCAACTTCAACTCCTCTCCCTCAACAGTTAGGTAGAACAACTAGACATAAAATCAGCAGGAATGTAGAACTCACCAACATCATCAACCAGCAGGATCTAATCAAGCTTTACAAAAGACTTCACTAACAAGTAGCAAAAAGCATCTTCTTTTCAAGTGGTCATAAACATATATTTAGGTAGACCGTATCTTGAGCCATATAACAAGCCTCAACAAATTTAAAAGAATCAAAATCAAGCAGAGTGTGTTCTCTAACTACAATGGAATTGAACTAGAAATCAGTAACAGGAAGATAATGAGAAAATCTTTGTGATGTTCCTCTCTTTCCTTGGCAAATTTATTTGCTGTGAAGTTTGCTTTATCTATTATTAATACAGCCAATCAATTTCTTTTTTTCGGTGTTTACATGGGATATTATTTTTCATTTTTAAAAATGTTCAACCACTGTATACCATTATATTTAAAGTGAGTATTTTGTTGACACCCAAAGGGCAAACTCCAGAAAACTAAAAAGTACACTTCTAAATAATCTATTTGGGCAAAGAGGAAGACAGAGAAAGACAGAGTCTCAACGAAAATAAAAAACATACATTGAACTAAATCAAAATAAAAATATAACACTTCCAAATTCATGGATACAGATAAAGCAGTACTGAGAGGAATTATATATATATATACACACACACACATACATATATGCCATATATATATATATATATGGCACTAAATACATACATTAGAAGAGGTTAAAAGTTTCAAATAAATAATCTAAGCTTCTAGTTCAGAAACCTAAAAAAATTAAGAGCAAAATAAACCCAAAACAAGAAAGAAGGAAATACTAAAGACAAGAGCCAAAGTCCATTACATTGAAAACAGAAAAACATAGATAAAATAAATAAATAAAAGAATGATCTATTTCTTTGAAAAGGTCAATAAAAATGACAAAAACCTAACAAGATTGATAAAGAAAAAAGAGAAGGTATAAGTCACCAATATCAGAAATAAAATAGGATACACAACAGATCTTGCAGTCATCAAAACACTACAAACAACTCTACATACATAAATTTAACAGCTTATATGAAATGGATCAATTCCTTCAAAACCACAAACTATCAGAAGTCACTGTATATGAAATAAATAATTTAAATAGCCCTATAAGTATTAAGGGAATTAAATTCATAATTGAAAATCTGCCCCCAAAAGACATATATAGTCTGAAATAGTTTCACTAGAGAATTTCACCAAATGTTTAAAGTAGAATTAATGCCAATACTACACAATCTATTCCACAAAATAATAGAGAAGGGAACACTTACTAATTCATTTTTTAATGCTGTTTTTACCACATCCACAAATGTAGTACAAAAAAGAGAAAAATACAGGCCAATATTTCTTATAAATATAGATCCAAAATTCCTTAATGACATATTAGCTAACGGAATTGAGCAATATCTGAAAAAAATATTATAAACCATGACAAAGAGAGTTTTATTGCAGGGATGCAAGGCTGGTTCACTGTAATCCATTGTATTAACAAGGTAAGGATGCTACAGAAAAAGATCATATCAACAAATGCAAAAAGTCACTTGACAAAATTCAATATCCATTCAAGACAAAAACTCAGAAAAATAGGAATAGAGGAGGACTTCCTCAACTTGAAAAGAAATACCAATTAAAAGCTACAACTAACATTAACTTAATGGTAAATATGGAATGATTTCCCCCTAAGATTGGTAACAAGGTAAGGATGTCTGTTCCTATTACTTTCACTCAACACAGTGCTGGAAGTTCCAGCTAGTGCACTGAAGAAAGGAAAGGTGATAAAAGTCACACAAACTAGAAAGAAAGAAATAAAACTGACCCTATTTGCAGAAGACATGAAAAGCCAAAGAAATTTACAAAAAATTCCTAGAACTAATGAATTCAGAAAGCTTCAAGATATAAGGTTATACAAAAATCAATTGAATTTCTGTATATTATCCATGAATGCTTAGAACCCTACATTAAAAATATAATGTCATGTACAATAACCTAAAAATAAAATACTTAGTTGTAAAATATATTACACCTGTATATTATCCATAAATGCTTAGAACCCTACATTAAAAATATAATGTCATACAATAACTTAAAAATAAAATACTTAGGTGTAAATATAACAAAGTATAACCAAATTTGTAGATGAAAACAACACAATCTGATGAAAGAAATAAAAGAAAATATAAATAACCAGAGAGGCATACCATGTTCATGGATTGGAAGACTCTACATAGTAAAAATGTCAACTCTCCCTCAATTGGTATACAGGTTTAATACAATTTGTATTAGAATCTCAGCAAATATTTTTTAAAAATAGACAAGATTATTCTAAAATTTATGTGGAAAGGCAAAGGAATTAGCATAGCTAAAACAATTTTGATAAAGAACAAAGTGGGAAGACTCAGTCTACCCAATTTCAAGACTTATTGTATAGCTACAGTAATCAAGACTGTGTTTTATTGGTAGAGGGACAGACCACAATGCTCAGTGGAACAGAACAGAGAACTTAGAAATATACCTACGAAAATAAGCCCAACTAATTTTTGAC
Source organism: Homo sapiens (assembly GCF_000001405.40). Taxonomy (NCBI): domain Eukaryota; kingdom Metazoa; phylum Chordata; class Mammalia; order Primates; family Hominidae; genus Homo; species Homo sapiens. Next base: position 142,051,425 of record NC_000008.11, on the reverse strand, counting down.
AAAAGTACAAAAACAATTCAATGGAGGAAGGATAGATTTTTTAGAAAATTGTTCTGAAGCAAGTGAATATCATAAGGCAAAAAAGTAAACCTCAACCTAAGATGAGTCTCACAAAAAAAGTAAACCTCAACCCAAAACAAAAATTAACTCAACATGTATCACAGGCTTAAATGTGAAACATAAAGCTACAAAACTTTTAAGTAAAAACAGGAGAAAATTCTTCTGATCCTGAACTAGACAAAGAGTTATTTAGACTTGACATTGGTTTGACTGATTAAAGAAAAGTACTAGTAAACTCAACTTCATCAAAATTTAAAACTTTGCCTTGCAAAAGATCCTATTGAGAGAATGAAAAGTCAAACTACTCAATGGGATAACTTTTTGCAAACTACATTGTCTAAGAAAGAACTTTTGTCTAGAATACAGAAAGAACTGCCAAAACTCAACAGTAAAAACGAATAAGCAATCCATAGATAAAGCATAAAGAAACATTTAACTGAAGAAGATGCAGATGGCAATTACGCACATAAAAATATATTCAACATAACTAGCTGTTATGGAAATGCATATTAAAAGCACAATGTGGTATCACTACACACCTATCAGAACAGTTAAAATAAAAAATAGTGACCACACCAAATGCTGGGGAGACTACACAGTCACTGGATTCCTCATACAATCCTGGTGGGAATTTAAATGGTGCAGCCTCTTGGCAAAGAGTTTGTCAGTTTCTTTAAAGAGTAAACATTCAACTACCACATAACCCATCAATCATACTCCTAGATTTTTATCTCAGAGAAATGAGGACTTATGTTGACACAAAAATCTGTACATAAATGTTTATAGCAGCTTTATTTGTAAGAGCCAAAAACTGGAAACAAATCCAGATGTCCTTTAGTGGGTGACTGATCAAAGAAACTGCCACACCATGGAAGACTACTCAGTAGTGAAAAGAAACAAGCTACTGCTGTATGCCACAATCTGGGTGAGTCTCCAGAGGATAATGCTGGGTGGAAAAAGCCAGTCCCAGAGGATTCCATACTGCATGATTCCATTATATCATATTACTGAAATGACAAAACTGTAGAGATAGAGAGAACAGATTAGTGGTTTCCATGGGTTAAAGAGGTGGTGGGGCAGAAGACAAGTGAATGTGGCTACAAAGGGTGACACATGGATTCTTTACAGTAATGAAGAGTTTCTGTGGGATCTTTGTGGTGATGGGAATGTTCTTTAGGGTCTTTGTGGTGATGGAGATGTTCTGTGGGGTCTTCATGGTGATGGAGATGTTCTGTGGGGTCTTCGTGGTGATGGAGATGTTCTGTGGGGTCTTCATGGTGATGGAGATGCTCTGTGGGGTCTTCATGGTGATGGAGATGTTCTGTGGGGTCTTCATGGTGATGGAGATGTTCTGTGGGGTCTTCGTGGTGATGGAGATGCTCTGTGGGGTCTTCATGGTGATGGAGATGCTCTGTGGGGTCTTCATGGTGATGTGGATGTTCTGTGGGGTCTTCATGGTGATGTGGATGCTCTGTGGGGTCTTCATGGTGATGGGGATGTCCTGTGGGGTCTTCATGGTGATGGAGATGCTCTGTGGGGTCTTCATGGTGATGGAGATGCTCTGTGGGGTCTTCACGGTGATGGAGATGTTTTGTGGGGTCTTCATGGTGATATGGATGTTTTGTGGGGTCTTCATGGTGATGGGGATGTTCTGTGGGGTCTTCATGGTGATGGGGATGCTCTGTGGGGTCTTCATAGTGATGGGGATGTTCTGTGGGGTCTTCATGGTGATGGAGATGCTCTGTGGGGTCTTCGGTGTGGTGGAGTCATTCTGTATCTTGACCGTTTCCATGTGAATGTCCTCCTTGTGATATTGCACTACAATTGTGTAAGATGCTACCATTGTGGGGAGCTAGGAAAAGGATACGTGAGATTTCTCTGTATTATCTCTTAACAGTTGCATGCGAATCTACAATTATCCCCAAATAAAAAATTTATTTAAATTTCCTTTTTTAAAAAAAGCAAATCACAGGCCTGGCTCACACTAAAGGCAAGCGATTTGGAAGAGTGAGAGCCCTGGCAAGGCGGGGTCATGGGGCCACAGGGAGGATGGGGCACATGAAGACCGATATTGGGGATATTGTGGGGCGGGGTGACCCATGGAGGAGCCCCTGATGTGGAGATCAGCAACAGCCATGACTGAGGGAAAAGCTGGTCCTGTTCAGGCAGCAGGAAATTGTCTGGTGTGGCGGAAGGTAACCTATTACCACAGCTGAGAGGAGATGCTACTGGAAGGGTCTGGGGCAGACTACTGAGAGCTGGATGTGCCCAGTGAGGGGGTGTGTGGATGAGCACTCCACACCTGGCCATCTTGCATGTTGCCCGAGCAAGCTAGGCCTTCTTTGTCCTTTCCACAAATGCTGGATCCTCCAAACAGCCCCCGAGGAAGTGGAAGGGAGCCTGATGGATGGGCAGGAGGGGAGAAGGAGGCTGTGCATGCTCCGAGCTGAGAAAGGGGCTACGGCGGGGAGGGGCTCTAGGGGAGGCTCCAGGCCATGCTGGTTTCCTGGGTTGTGGCTACTTCACCGGTGTCCTCCTGTGTTAGTCACTTAGGGCTGCTGTCATGGGGTACCATGAACCAGATGGCCTAAAACAACAGAAACTGATGGTCTCACAGCACTGGAGGCCAGATGTCCAAAATCAAGGTGCCAACAGGCCTGTTCTCCCTCTGAAGGCCCTAGGGGAGGGCTTGTCCTTACTCCTCCAGTTTACAGTGGTCCCAGGCCTTCCTTGCTCATGATCACCTCACTCCAATCTCTGCTTCCATTGCACGAGGTCACCTTCCTGTGTGTCTGCAGTCTCCCTAATTTCTTATAAGTTTACAGTGACTGGAATTAGGGCCTCCCCCATCCAGGATGATTTGCCATGGGATGCCTTCCTTCATCACATCTGCAAAAACCCTATTTCCAAATACGGTCCCATCTGAGGCTCCGGTGGTCAGGAGTTTGGGGAGACACCATTCAACTCCCTGTCTCCCTTCCCGGCCTTTGAGGGTCCTGGCCTGGCCCCAGCCCTCAGGTGGACACCCTCCATTCCCCGGCCCGGGCACCATCCTCAGACTCCCACTGTGGCCATGGGTCTTTTGTGCCGTGTGCTTGGTGGGAGTGGCTCAGGGCCACGCAGGGAGCTTCTCTCGAGGACTCCTTAGGCCCGGTGACCATGGGCAGTCATAGGTCACAGATGGAATTACCCCATTACCTGCAAATGTGAAGGCTGGCAAAAGTGCGGCTTAATCCCATACAAGTGATTTTTTAATACAAAGGAAAAGCCCCATAAAACCTCACAGTTATTCTCCCTAGATCTCTCCCTGTGTGCCCATGGCTGGTGAAAGTAGTCCGGCAATGGGGAGGAGCACACTGCCGGCTGGGAGCCCCTGCGAGCACGCCTGTCCCAGGGTGAGTGTGCACGCGCAGCTGTGTGCGTGTCTGAGGTGCTGTGTGCCTGCAAAGCTGTGTGCATCGTAGTTCCGCCTTTCACTCCTGCACCCGGGTGTTTGCTCCTGCTGTGGGGCGTCTGGTCTTCCGGCTACACAAAGCAGATAGAACTCCTGCCTGCTGGAGCTCACCTCCATGGGGCATTTCTGCTGCGTTAAGTGTACTCCTGAGATGACACCTTGGTCGTGTGCGTGCAGTGGTGTGGGAACATTTGTGCCACGCTTCCTGTGTGCCGGGCCTCAATCCATTGAAAGGTGTGACCCTTGTCTTCCTGATCGGCCTTGTCATCTGGGTCTGAATCCCAGCCATCGTCTAGAGTGGTTCACTGCAGGCATGGAGCTGTCCACTGCCTGGGCGCATTGCATGGGGTGGCCTTCGGCATTGGGGGCAGGGAGGGGGAGAGTCTGCAGGGATCTCTGTCCCAGAGGCTTCTCCAGGCCACAGAAAAAGCACGGTGGAGCAGGGGCAGGACACACGCATGTGGAGTCCCTTTCTGGCCGGACTCGAGTTTGCCATCACGCAGCTCTGGAGCGAGGTGTATTGTGCCCATTGCCTAGAGGAACCGAGGGTGTCAGCCTGGGTCCTAGGGTGAGTGGGGCCAGGCCGCGGATGCCGACTGCAGCCCTGAGCTTGGACACCCACCAGCCCAGCTCTCTCTGACAGCAAACTCTCCTGACCAACTGGCTCCTTCCCTGTCTCGCTCCTCCTCTGGCCCAGCTGTCTCTCCGGCCGCCCTCAGGGACAGGGTGAAAACATTCACCAAGTCACCCTTTCTCTGCCTCACTCCTCCTCTGACCTCAGCATCTGGATTCTGGAATCAGTTGTTAATGCTGCTGGGTACCTGGTGAGAGCTTAGCACACACTTACCGGGGCACCTTAGCTACGCTTTTGCTGAGCAGGTGAGGAAACCAAGGCAGAGAGGGGCAGCCACCACAGGCTCAGCTGTGTCCAGAGCTGGGCTCCCACCTTAGCCTCCAGCCCGCGGATGCCGGGGCCTGTGACCTGCTGGTCCAGCCTCCCTGCAAGATCTGAGGTTCGGGACAGAGCCTGAGAGTGCTGCGGTGATGCTGGCAGGCCTCACCTACCTACCTCTTCTGCAGGGCAGCCACGGTCGGCAGCAGCGTTGGGAAGCTGGCCCCTGTCCAGGAGGACATCCCTTTGCAGACGCTGGCTTTTCTGAGAACATGGAGCAGCCCTGAGCCTCAAGTCCTTCCAGTGACGTCTCTGGGTCACCTGCAATGGCAGGCGACAGACGCAGAGTCGGCTGGGACAGGGAGCAGGGTCCTTGTGTGAAGGTTTTTACTCCACCAACTCTCCCTCCTGCCACCTGGGGGATGAGAAAATCTTCATGCTTGGGTCTCTGTGGACCTCAAGACTGGGCGCTGCATGTGGGGTTAAGGGAGACATCTTGGCTCCAAGCCAGCCTGGCTGGCTTCGTGAAGGGAAAATCTCATTTTCCAGGACAAGAAGGGACGTTTCGTTTGTTTGGCAAAGTGACTGGAGACATGTTGACAGGACGCGTCTGGGCTGAGTGCCGCGGAATTAGCTGGGATTGCTGCTTCCACGTGGGGCAGCTGCTCTCCCCGCGCCTTGTGATGCCCCTCATCATTGCAAGCGGTCTCCTCTCCCACCCTCCCTGCAGCCCCCGCCTTGCCCAGACCCCAGTGTGGCTGCTGACAAAGCACGTGCCACCATTTGTCAAGCCGACCCCTGGCCCCGCAGGCAATTTAATAGCTATGCAGGGCCCTTGGGCCTCAAGTGCAGTGTTCAGACACATCAGGTCCCAGCAATTAGTGCCACGGAGGGATCTTTCAGGGGACTGCAGCAGGCACAGTCAGATTGATAGCTGTTAATTGGAGGGCCAGCTTTCAGCTTCCTGAGCTTCCAGGGAAGGAGAGCACTGAGGCCTGCTTGTCCCGTAGGTGGGCTACGTGAGCTGGCGCCCCTTCAAGCCCATCTGGGACCTCCTTAGCCAAGTCCACCTGTGCTGAAGCTGCAGTTCCTCCAGCCCCCACCCAAGCCCGCAGGCGCGTCTGCCTCCAGCCTGGGCTGTCCTGCCACTTCGGGCCTCCCTCTGCCCCATGCATTCCCCTCTCGCCGAGCCCTTGCATTGATGCAGACTTTGGGCTGTGGATGCAATGCCTGGGCTCTGCCCAGCGGCTTTCTCACCTGCCTTCTGCTGCTCATGGGCCTCGTGCTTCTACCCTGGAGGGTGGGCACATGCCACGGCCTGGACTTTCCCAGGCCCCAGTGGGACCCCAGGGACACCATGGGCCCAGAGCGGCAGGTGCTCCTGTTAGAGCCAATCAGAGCCCTTTCTTGAGAGTGAGATTTGGACACGGGGAGAGAAACCTCTGCTCTGTGTGGGAATTTCCGAGCCAGGGCTAGTCCAGTGCTGCCGTGCTTCCTGCTGGTGGAAAGGGCCTGTGCAGAGGGTGAGGTCACTCCATGACCAAAGCCAGGGACAGGGAAGGGGAAGCAAAGAGACAGGGCCCGGTGTGCATGTGCCGAAGTTCCTCCCACTCCTGCTGGGGAGGGTCTCTGTGGAGGCCCCTCCAGCCAGCCCGGGAGGGAGTGGTGAGCCCAAGCAGTGGACCAGTGGGGAGGGTGCTATTCTAGCCCCATCACTTTCTGTGGGAATGAGGGCACCATGCTTGACTTCTCTGAGCTTCAGTTTTCCCAGGTGTAAAAGGAGGATAAGAAAGTGCCTGTCTCATAGCAGGCTGCGGGATCAGTGGTGGCATCACACGGTGATCACAGCATCTCACGGTGACCGCAGCATCACAGGGATCATAGCATCTCATAGTGACCACAGCATCTCACAGTGACCACAGCATCTCACGGTGACCACAGCATCTCATGATGACCAGAGCATCACACGGTGATCACACCATCGCACAGTGACCACAGCAAAAGAAAAGTCCCTCTCTGGATGACCCCCAGCGTGTGTGAGCGTCGAAGCTGTGGGAGTGAAGGCACGTGAGGAGAGGGGGAGGGTGAGGACCACCCTCGAGCACCGTGCCCTGCATGCCAGTAGTGCACCTGTGCCTGGATCCTGGCTTTGTCCTTTGCTTGTGGAGTGGGCCCATGGTATAGACAGGAGATCTGAGATTCAGGGCCTTACTGCTGGCAGGGGTGACGCTGACCCTGGAACCCTTGAGGTCCTGCCTGCAGTTCCTCCTCCTTTCCCCTGTGTGGGATGGCAGAGATTACATTCTGCAGCACCACAATTTCTGGGAGAGGGAGGGGAGGTTCCCTAGGCCAGGGGTTCTGGGAGGCTTCAGCAAAGGGGAGGCCTGGGCTGGTCTGGAGGGGAGGTGAGGCTACCTCTGGCTCTTGGCTCTGTGGGTGGTACAGCTGTGAACATGGGTGTGCAGATAGTCACTCAGGTTTGTGTCCCACCCCAGTGGCTCACCCTGAATGATCTTTGACTCTGGGCAGAGTTGGCAGGGGCCGTGCCATGCACGCTTCTCCACGGAGCCTCTGGTGAGGCTCTCACTCCTGCACGCTGGCTGTCGAAAGTCACTCCGTCGGCATATTTGCTCAAAAGCTTTGTTTGCATTTGAGAGCGTCTCCATCCACAGAGCCTTAGAGGGAGTTGCCGGGCCAGCCCTTCTGGCACAGATGCTGTGCATGTGAGGTGCTTCTCAGAAGCGGAGCTGACGCCACTCCCTCCAGCGCCAAGCCCCCGCACGGGTGGGAGCATGTGGATAGGCGGGAGGGTATCTCCATGGCGCTACGATTTTAATTTCCGTCCTTACTTGGGAGGGTAAATGATTTATCTCTGCGTGTTTGTTTGGCGTTCGTGATTCCTATTTTGTGGAGTGCCTTTTCATGTATTTTGCTCACTTTTCAGCATTTGGCTTACGATTTCTCTTATCAATTTGAGCTGCTTATATAAGAAGAAGTTAGTGTTGTTGTAATTGCTGCAAACATTTCCTGCCTTTCCTTTGCTGTGTGATTTTGGCTATGAGGCTCTGACATATAGAAATGTAATTTTAGGTTATCAGATGCGGTCCTTGTGTTTGTCTTGGATGCGCAGGAAGTCCTTTTCCGCGCAGGGGCCCGATCAACCTCCGTGCCTGTTTCCTTCTGGTTATTTCAACAGGCTTTCTCAAAAGTTCAAAGGTGAGCCTGATTTTGGAGTAAACACCCCAGTCTAAACACCCCGGCTCCCGGGGCTTGGCCTGGGTTCTTTCCTGTGACATTCCAGGGCTTATCTGCAGGTCTCCCATCTCCAGCTCAGTGACATCGCCCGTGACCTTCCCGGGCCCCTCTCAGATCCTGCCCTCCTGCCACCTGTTCCAAGCAGCCACCCTTCTCATGGGCCAGCCCTGAACTTGTCGTGGCCTCTAGCCTTGTGCTTGACTTGTGGTACCCCCTGCTAATCTCCCTGCCCCTTCCCGGAGCCCATTCCTGGGCATAGCGCATGGCAAGTGCCCGTAAGCAACCACAGTTCAACATGTGCCTTAGAGGGCTGGAAGCTCTCCTCATTGCCTGACGAGGCCAGTATAGAAAGAAATCATTATTTAGTATTGTCCTGGAATCACGGGTCAGAGTCCATGCCAGCCACACACCAGGTGATGCTGGAGGCCCCTCGGGCACCTGCCTTGCTCTGGGGTGGAGGAGAGGATGCTTCCTTTCACAGTGCCCTATGCTCCTTCTGGGGCTGGCCCCTCCCTCTGTGTCCAGCTCCTAGGGAATGGGGGAGCCATCCTCTGTCAAATCTCCACCCACCACCCACCTCTAGCCTGCAGGGATGGCTCCAGCCTGTTATTCCGCAGAGAGGGTGACTCTAAACACCCCGCCCCACCTTGGCTGCTGCCACTCCCGCTCCGCCTTCCAGGGTTTCTGATTGACCATGGCCCAAAATCCAACCTTGACCCAAACCACCTGCACCGGGCCTCATCCTACTGAGGTGCTCAGCACCTGCTCAGCTGAGTGGAGCCCTCTCCCCGGGTCCAGCAGGGTCCCTGTGAGGTTCCCCACAGGACTGGTCCAGGCGAGGGGGTAGAGGAGGCCTTCTGGCTGCTCCCATCCACTGTGCCCTGGGCACAGGCTCCCTCGTGGCTCTTCATGATAGCTTGGTGCCCCCTCCAAGGAGAAACCATACTCTGCGGCAGCCCCGCTTCCTCCCGTTTTCTCTGGGCATGATGTGGTTTGGCACCACCTTCCAGAAGGTGCACTCCTGTGCCGGAGCCTGGCACTTGCCGACAGTGACCCAGCTCTCAGTGCAGCTCCCGTGGGTGGCAGCTCCACCGCTGGCCCTCAGCAGCATCACTGGACCTCATGCCCATGAGTCCCTTCAGGTCAGGGCCACTCCTCCTCATTCAAGGGACACAGACAGCAGCTCTGAGAGGTGGAGCAGCTTGCCCAAGACCAGCAGCCAGGAAGGCAGACACAAGGTCCTGCCCGAGCCGTCTGTGGCCAGTCCTGGGTCCCGGACATCGTGCCCCAGCCATTCCCAGCATGACTGGATGTGTGGATGTGGTTCAGATAACCTGGCCAGGAGTGTGGGCCGGGGCCCATCCTCAGCTGGGCCACAGCTCCCGGGCAGCCTGACTCCTTGTCCCTGCCTCATCTTGCTCAGGACAGATCCCAGCTGGATGAGTGTGGACAGCTACGGACTGAGCTGCACTTGTGGTCTCCAGGGCTCTCGCCGCCCGTGGACCCCGGCCCACCCCGTGGCCATGGCAAAGATGTGGATTCATGGTCAATGAATGGGTCATTGTCCTTGGGCACTCCTGAGGTCCCAGCTTTTCTAAGATAAAAACAACAGACATCCAAAAATGTGTGAGGCAGAGCTAATCTCCAAGGCAGTAGTTTCATGCAACAAGTTGAGGAAGTTGGCTTTCTAGGAAAAGACACCTCCCCTCCACCCCCAGGCACATGGGGGTTTGTGCATAGGTGCAAATTACCACCAAAGCCCAGTAGTTTCTTGAAGAGGAAGTGAGCCCTTCTGTCCTGCCCCTGGAGGAGCACCTGCAGCTGTAGGAGCCTATGAATGCAGCCAGTGCTGTAGGTCAAGGGCACTCAACCCCTGTCAGCAACCAGGCTGTGCAGCAGGAGGTAAGTAGTGGGCAGATGAGCAAAGCTTTATCTGTACTGACAACTGCTCCCCATGGCTTGTGTTACTGCCTGAGTTCTGCCCCGTCAGATCAGCAGTGGCATCAGATTCTCATGGGAGCAGAAGCCTTATTGTGCACTGCGCATGCGAGGGATGTAGGTTGCATGCCCCTTACGAGAATCTAATGCCTGATGATCTGTCACTGTCTCCCATCACCTCCAGATGGGACTGTCTAGTTGCAGGAAAACAAGCTCAGGGCTTCCACTGACTCTACATGATGGTGAGTTGTCGAATTATTTCATGACATATTACAATGTAATCATAATAGAAACAGTGCACAGTCAATGTCACACACTGGAATCATCCAAAAACCATCACTGCTCCTGCCTTCTAGGTCCTTGGAAACATTGTCTTTCATGAAACTGGTCCCTGGTGCCAAAAAGGTTGGGGACAGCTGCTCTAGGGGAAGGCAGAGTCCACAGAGCTGGGAGGGTGGGGTGGGGATGCCTCCCGTGCCCACTGGCTTCCTGTCCCCAAAACCACTTCCCCAATTAAACCACACAATTCTAATCTTATTCTGTGTGGACCTCTCAGACACGCAGCCCATGTGACCATGGCTTTGTGCCTTCAAGGCAAGTTCACCCTCCCCACGACCCAGTGACGGTTGGGAGCTCAGGCTCAACCCAGGGTGGGCAAGGGACCAGTGCTGGCCGGCCACCAAGGTGACAGGAAAGGCTTCAGTCCATGATTAATCTTCAGATGTGAACACAGGTGCCTCTAGTAGGCGCCTTCAACAAGATGGAAGCGGCCTTCAGGTGGAGCCAATGGGTGTGGACAGAGATGATAAATCGAACAATCCCAGCGCCTTGGTGACACTTCTGAGCTCCTGAATCAACAGACCCTGCAGGGGCTCTGCCGACAGACTTTCAGGGACGGAATAACAAATCTCATTGCTCAGGTTTGCAGAGCCTGCTGGTCTGTTAGCTGCAACTCAAGGCGTAAGGCTCTGTCTCTGCCCCTGGAGGAGGCTGGCTTCTCTGTCACCATCATAACCTGCTTATGTGGGGCGATAAAGAGAGCTCCCAGAACCCTCGCTAGGCATTCATTCAACTGCCGTGACTTGTGAGCACCTACTAGCTGCATAGCACGGGTATGAGCATGAGGCCCCTGCCTTGGGCAGTGCCAGGGAATCCCTGGAATGGGCAGGACAGTGAACAAGAGGCAGTACCACAGGCCAGGCACAGATGCTCCCCGACTGACCATAGGGCTCCTGATAAACCCCTCATACATTGAAAATATCATAAGCCAAAAACACATTTAATAGACCTCACCTGCCAAATGTCATAGCTTAGCCTAGCCTCCTGAAATGTGCCCAGAACGCTCACATTAGCCTATAGTCAGGTAGAGTTATCTTATACAAAGCCGATTTTATCATAAAGTACTGTGTATCTCATATAATGTATTGAATACTGTACATTATGTCACAATTGCACAGTTTCACACCATAGTAAAGGCAGTTTCACACCTTAGTAAAGCCGAGAAATGGCAAGCTGGAGGGACCTGTCTCTATAAGGATAGAAGCCCATGACAAGCCCAGAGCTAGGGAAAGGGTGACTGTTGTCAGGAGTGGGTGACACAGGTGATGTCATTCTGGCATTAGAGATCCTCTGGAAAAAAAACCAAAAGTGTCGGGGCGCGGTGGCTCACGCCTGTGATCCCAGAACTTTGGGAGGCCGAGGCAGGCGGATCTCGTGTCAAGAGATTGAGACCATCCTGTCCAACATGATGAAACCCCATCTCTCCTAAAAATACAAAAATTAGCTGGGCATGGTGGCGCATGCCTGTAGTCCCACCTACTCGGGAGGCTGAGGCAGGAGAATCGCTTGAACCCAGGAGGCGGAGGTTGCAGTGAGCTGAGATTGCGCCACTGCACTCCATCCAAAAAAAAAAAAAAAAAAAAGCCAAAAGTAGAAACCCCAGCATCGGGGACTGAGGTAGGAATGCAGATGGGCCCAGAGACAGTGGGAACCTTATGCGATTCCAGAGGAATCAGCATGCGACGTCGCGATAGAGTCCAGCAACGTGCCCTGAGGACCAGCACCCAACCAGCCTGGCCTTGGGAGCTGAGAAGAGGCCAGTAGGGAAGCCCTGGGTCCCCGGATGGCTGGGGTTGGGGGATAGTAGCATCAAGACTGCAGAAGGACAGGTGGGTCCCCACATCTCAGGAAGAGAGTGGAGGCAGGAAGGGTGGCCAGCCTGGTGCGGGACTTTCAGGTTAATAGAAAGGTGCTGCCACAACGGACTGGCAGAGCCTGGTCAGATGGAATGCCCCGGGCCAGGGGCAGAGCCTCACACTGGCTCAGGAATCCAGCTGGTCAAGTGCAGCTGGGTGAGCCTTGCCTGTCAGAGGCTCCTATCTGGAGCAGCCACCTAACTGGTCTCTACAAAGCAGGTGAGTCCTTAAGTGACACAACACAGCGCCATCCTGGTGGCAGGCAGGAGGAGGAGAACAGCTCATCTCTCCTGCACAGCCAGGCGGTCCCTGGCCCAAGTGTCTGCGCCACCCTGGCATGTGAGGGGGACTGGAGGACAGGAGAAGCTGCCTGCAAGGCCAGAGCAACTTTGGGGCTCTGGGCCTCCCTCCTGGCTGGAAGGTGGGGTCCTGTCGGGCTGCACATGTGCAGGGTGTGAAAAGGTAGCACGGGGGGTGCATGGCCGCCTCCTTGTCCCTGCAGTGTTGATGGGCAGAGCAGGGGCCCAGCCTGGCCTCCCATCCTCTTTCTAGCCTCTCCCTTGCTGAGCACCGCCCAAGAGATGTGGCAGCAGGCAGACACTTCCTGCCCCCAAAGGGACAGCTCTACGCTGGGCACTGGGCCAGCACCGAAGGTCGGCCTCCCTGTCCATGCCCCACCTTCCCCATGAGATATTGCCCAGGACTGAACTGTGTACCCGGGACTCAGGGGATCTGGCTTTGTCCCACTCCTCCACTTACCTGAGTGGATTCAGACTCAGTTCCTCCATCTGGAAGTGGAGTGGTGTTTGGGCATCTTAGGGCCACTGAGAGCTGCAGGGAACACAGCATATTTCCACCCTTCTCATGGCCCCAGCTCAGACACATCTCCCCCCACCAAACACAGACCCCCCACCCAGGTCTGCTGTCTGTCCCTGTGCCTGTGGGTTTGGGGGGCTTGGGAGAGCCCAGGCAGAGTGGGGGGCGCCCATGGCCAACCCTGGAGTGCCACTTCTCAGGTGGGAGAACAGAGGAGGGAAAGGCATTTGAGGATGGAAACAGGGCAAGCATGGACTGGAGGAAGGAGTCAGGACAGAAGCCCCAGGGGCTGGCAACACTCGAGCTGATGGGAGCACAAGGCGCAGCCTATGCTGGCTGCCCTTGGTGTTCAGGAGGCCACGCAGCTCTGGACTCCCACTGCCCAGACTGTTAAGGCCAAAGGGCCTTTGGGACCACTGAGTCCCGTCACCCTTGGGCATAGGAAGCTGAGGTCCTGGGGTGAGCAGGGCACAGTGAAGACGGGTTGAGACCTGGCTAGAGCGCACACACCGGGCATGCGCCTGGTCACAGAGCTGGTCCTCTCCCATGCTTGGAGTCTCCACGTGCACACCCGCCCCTCCCAAGCCCATGTGCACCTGCCTGGCTGCCTGCCCCTCTGGCCCACCCAGGCTGGTGCAGATGGTCTGAGATTTTTCTTAGAGGACTGCAGAAACTGGAGCCAGCTCAGGGGTGGCAGGGAGAGGCTGGGTGCATGCTCTGCTCCCTCACACGCTGCCTGCTGGCACATCCACTCACAACTATCCTGCCTCTGCCACAGCGGCCTCTAACACCATGACCTATGGGCTCCTTGGAGTGATTCATTACCAGCCACATAATGTCTGGCATCCTCCTGAGGGGTCTCCCCAGCATTTCACAGGGGGGAGACTGAGTCCCCAGAGGTGGTGAAGTGTCTGCCTCAGATGCTACAGTAAGGACAGAGGGAGGTGGGGTCTAAGCCCAGGGGCCAGCTCCAAAGCCAGGGCCACCCACCCCTCCCACCAATAGGGAGCCCCCAGGTCTTGGGAAGGGGCTGGGAGGGAGAAGAGAACCTCTAACAAACATCTCTCAGGGTAACCTGGGCCTGTCCTCCTCAGGAGGTTCAGTCGACAGCTTCCCAGTCCACTATAGACACTGTGCAGGGTCAGCACCTCCCCCAGAGCCCATCCTGAGCACCTGCCATGTGCTGGCCTCATGTCAGGAGGGGGTTCTGGGCACACTAACCAGGCTGGTGGGCCAGATTGGGGCCAGTCACCCTGGACCCCCGGCAAATGAGGTGTATTTTGTCCTTGTGTTAATAGTTTTCCCTAAGCTTGATTTTTTTTTAATATTATGTCTGCTGCTCATGTTTCTCTTGACTCATGTTAGGGTCCCTTCCTCTGTCTCCTGTGTCCCCCCCCCCGAGGCCTCCTGCTTCACCTGGGCCTTTTGCAGACAGCAGGTTGCCTTCCTCCTCCTCCCCCTCCTCCTCTTCTTCCTCTTCCTTTCTTCTTTTTCTGTTGAGAGACACTTTCAATTAATACATTTGATTGACAAATCAAATCGTGTATATATTTACACGATTATAATTACTACTATCTTACGACTTGTTCCTGCTCTTTTATTTCATATTCTCCACATGTCAACTTTTCTTGTTTTCCTTTTTCTTTCCCTACTTTTCCCTGGATAGATCACACTTTTCCCTGTGGAGAGTGCCGTTAACTTAAAACTCATATTCACCATGTCAATTTCCTAAGCTTTTCAGCATTCCTGTCTCTGCCCCTGGACACGGAGCCCACTCTCTGCTCTCAGGACTGTTGCTAGCCCACCTAACCCTGACTGGTCACGTGGATATTGTCTAGAAATTTCATTCTGGCTTATTGTAGACTTTTTTTTGGGTCTTCTTTTCTCTAGCTATGGATTTTTGTTGTTGTTGTTTATTTTATTTCAAAAGCTAATGATCGATTTTACCAAAATATTTGATCATCTGTACTTACCGCTTACAGCACCTCCTAGATGTTTTCTTCTCTCTGTTGATGAGTTCTTGCAAAAAAAAGTATTTTCATTTTGTGTCTTTTCATGGAAATCATCACTCTTGCCTGCCGGTGAATATTTTCTTTATATCATCATATTTAATTGATAATTTTGCTGAATGCAAAGTCCTAGATCCAATGATTCCTTTTTTGTTTGTTTGTTTGTTTTGAGACAGAGTGTTGCTCTATTGCCCAGGCTGGAGTGTGGTGATGTGATCTCGGCTCACTGGAACCTCCGCCTCCCAGGTTCAAGCAGTTCTCCTGCCTCAGTCCCCGAAGTAGCTGGGACTACAGGCATGCACCACCATGCCCAGCTAATTTTTGTATTTTTAGTAGAGACGGGATTTCACCATGTTGGCCAGGCTGGTCTCGAACTCGTAACCTCAGGTGATCCATCTGCCTCAGCCTCCCAAAGTGCTGGGATTACAGGCATGAGCCACCATGCACAGCCCCAATGTTCTTTTAACAATTAAAAATGCCATTGCCTTGTTTTTAGTGTGTCAGGCCCCTGGTCTGAATCTCATTCCTCCATGGATGATCTGCTTTTGCTCTTCGGAAGTTTTTAGGAGTAGCTCCATCTTGGCCTTTTCTTAAATTTTACTTTCATCTGTCCAGGAAGGATTGTTCATCTCTTACATTTGGCATTTGATGAGCTCTTCAGCCAGACGTCTTTTATATCCCAGAGAATCTGTTTCTAGTATCCCTCAAATGCCTCTATCCTTTCTTCTGTCTTGTAGCCAGGGGCCTTCTGTATGCCTTCCACAGCGCTCAGCTTTTCTTTTACCTTTTCTACCTCTTCATTCTTTCCTGCTCACCTCTGGGGCAGTTACCACCTGATCATTCAGCTCACTGAGCAGCATCTCCACTGTATCAGCCCCAGCCTTCATCCCATTCCTCGTGTTGTTTGTTTCGATTATAATACCTTTCAAATCTAATGGTTGTTCTTAGAGCTTCTGTTATGTGTTCTTTATTTTATAATACCTTTCCTTGATCATCTTATAAATATTTGGCATGTCTACTTAAAATTTCAATCTGTCCATTGCAATGGGCCCAGCTGTGTGTTGTGTATTCTATTGCTTGTTTGTTTGTTTTAGGTAGTTGCTATGGGGTAATGTTTTTACTTGTAAATTCATCTTTCTTTAAGGCAGGGCACCCTTTGACCTTTGACATCTGGGGAAGCCTGTGGGTTAGTTCTCAGAATAAGATGTTTGGTACTGTTCATTGAATAGTGGGTGAAGCCAATTATTCAGAAGCACAGCTATGAAATTCTTCAAAAAACGGATTGTTGATGTAATAACATTGGTGCTTCTTTGTCACATGCAGACCTATTGATGGCTACAGTCATCCTGAGTTTTGTTATATTTTGAGACATCTGTGCTGTCTACTGATGGAAAGTCATAGGATTTCGGGTGGCCTGTTGTTTATATTCATAATGAAAGGAAATAGCACATTTCAGTTGCATTCAGTAAAAGTTAAGGTGTACATTTTCTCCTCACCAAAACCTGGCCTCCAGAGTTGGAGCACAGGGGCTGGGGTACTTGCTGTTGGTTGACAAGGACTCTGTCCCGGTCCAGACACTGGACAGCAGAGGCACCTGCTCCCTGAGGACTGATGGAGCCCTGTCCCTGGACACATCCTCAGGAGCCCAGTTTTGTCAAGAACACTGCAAAGTCATTTTAGAGAGAACCCCCCGACCCTCCCTCTACATCTAACCAGGTTCTCCATCCTCCACCCTCCAAGGGAGGCCTGGTCCGCTGGCCTGCCTTCAGCAGGCATTCTGTTAGGGGGTTCCACCAGAATCCCCTCACTCTGGCTGCTTCCTCCTGGTCATTTTCCATCCTCCAACCCCACCCTGTTGCCAGCAGTAATCCCCACTGGACTGCACTGTGCTGGGGGTCGGGCCCTGTCCTCCTGAGGCCTCTACCCCACTGCATCATCCTGAATGGGAGCTGCTCTCATGGCTCTGACTGCTGCCAGGCTCTGGGTTTCCGCACAGGTAACCAAGCTGGAAAGGGCCAGGCCTGGGTCTGCTGCTGGGGAGGATGCAGAGGAGACACCACACGGGTGGCCTTTGCTGCCTGCTCACAGCTCCTCTGGTCCAGGTGTCCTGTTGACCCTTAGTATCCCCTCAGGGTTTGAGGGTGTCACCCCCAGCCCTGGGTCATGGCGGAGAGGCTAGGAGTGTCCAGCCACCATCTGAACCTTGAGGACAATTTCACTTCTTTGGTGCAGAGAGGTGGACAAGGCTTGTCTGAGGCCACACAGGGCCAGGGACAGCCAGAGAAACGTGGAGGGAGGAAGGTTCCCCAGCCTCTCCAGACCACCATGCAGAAGTGCACCTGAAGGCAGCCTCTTCTCCCGACACCCAGACCACCGTGCAGGTGTGCACCTGAAGGCGGCCTCCCCTCGTGACACCCAGGTGACTCTGGAGATGGTTTTTAGCAGCCAGGCTGGGCCCCTTCCTAGTAGAAGCCTTGCTCTCCTCCTGGCTGTGGGGTCCCTGCTGATGGCCAGTCTCTCTCCACGAGAGAGGTCTCTGCAAGGTAGACCTTGGGGTGCTATCCACCACGGCTGCAGGTTCCCTGATCCTGAAGGGGGTCCGACAAGCAGTGGGACCCCGGGTGGATTTGCTGAGTGGACCAGAGTCTTGACCCTGATGACCAAATCTGTCCCTTAGTGGGGATCATCCCACTTGCTGACCGCCCTGCAGGAGGTGGATGGCACATTCTAGCCGGCTCTGTGCCAAGGCGTCATTCAACAGTGGTGGAGTCTAGGCCTGGCTGCAGGACGGGCTTTTGGCCCACCTGAGAGAACAGGAGTTTGCGGTGCTTTAGGAACGCCTTCCCATGCAACTGACGTTATAATGACAAGCAACTCTTATGTATTTGTGGAAGCAGTTTCTACAGAACCTCACTTAGTGAATTTGTTCACCCGGTTTGTATAACTTTCATGTTCTCACAGAATCGCAAGGCTTTAAAACTCTATAATTTGGACAGGCATCAACTCAGTTGGTTTTAGAAAATGAGTCTCAATTTGTAAGTTCCTGATAAATGCTCCTAAGCAAAAGAGAGGCCTTGAGAGGAAAAGAAGGTTTTGTTTCCTGGGTGCGTTTCCTCTCCCGTTTACTCAGGGATGGCAGAGGGGCGTCCAGGCTACATAAGCCCCTAACCAGCTTTCAGAAATAGAAAAATACAAGTAAGAGGCGGCCTTTGCTCTTGAGACACTTGTCCAGAGATAGAAACAGACATCTGCAGAGCACGGAGTGTGGACTACGCTGTGATTAGCGTGATTTCCAGGGAAGGCCCCCCACCAGAAGGAGCACAGGGATTTCAGGGTAAGGAAGAGATGGGAGAAATGGGGCTGGGCAGTTGCAGCCACCATGGAAGCCAGGCTGACTTTTTGAAATTTCACTCCAGGCCGAGTAGGTCTTGCTCTTGGGGCGCAACGGAGGCACCTGCCAATCATCCCTGCTGCCTGAGTCCCTGCCCACAGGGCCACCTGGTGAATCCGCTGCGTGTGCCCACGTCATGTTTGGAAGGTGCCACAGACAACGTTATGTCCCTTCCAATTCACATATTTAGCCCTAAGTGAGATGGAGCAGGGGCCCCTCTTAGGGGCCTGCGGGCCGCCCCCTCACCCCAAACATGGAAATAAAGAAAAATCCTGAGTTTCTTCAGGGGAATTCCAGGCTCTCGGCTGACCCAGGGAAGTGAATGGGCAACTTGGTAGACAAGAGATTAATGGTATCATAAAACAACAGCCGAGGGAGCCAGGATCACGGAATGTTCGGTTCCCCTATGGAAACTAAGAAACTAAAGGTAATACTTTTTTTTTTTTTTTCAGAGGGTGTCTCGCTTTGTCACCCAGGCTGGAGGGCAGTGGTGTGATCTCGGCTTATTCCAACCTCTGCCTCCTGGATTCAAGCGATTCTCCCGCCTCAGCCTCCTGAGTAGTTGGGATTACAGGCAGCTACTTAGCCACCAAGCCCGGCTAAGTTTTGTATTTTTAGTAGAGACGGGGTTCACCACGTTGGCAAGGATGGTCTTGAACTCCTGACCTCAGGTGATCCGCCTGGCTCGGCTTCCCAAAGTGCTGGGATGACAGGTGAAGATAGCATTCTTCAAGTAAGTCCCTGAGTTGTTTTTCAGAAACCTGGATCTCCACGCTGGATCCGATCCGAGGGCACGCAGGCCTCGGATGCCGCCGTTCTTTGTTCTATATTTATTCCTGAGGGGCCTGGAGGGAGTCGCATCCATGAGACAAAACTCATATTCTTTTCTGCTGATCCCAAATTTTTAAGCAAAACTTCTCTTCCTTTGCCAATTGCAAATCAGAAAATCTTTGAATCCACCTGGGACCTGTAAGCCTCCACTTCAAGACATCTGCCTTTTGAGGCCAAAACCAATGTGTAACCTCCGAGGATTGATTTCCAATTTTGCTTCAACTTCTGCTTTCCTGAAACGTGCCCCTGCCTTTAAAAACCCTTATCTGCCAGCCACTGGGGAGGTCAGGACTTAAGTGTGCCCTGCTGGGGCCCCCCTCCTTGGTGCCTGCAAATAAACACCCTTCTCCCACTCGAACCTCTGTGTGGACGTCTGATGTTACCTTGTGGGGAGAGTGGACCCCCCTTGGGTTCCAGAACATCACCACCAGTGAGACCGTATTTGGAGATAGGGTCTTTAGGGGCCAATGAAAGTTACATGAAGTCTTAAGGGTGGGCCCTGATCCAGTAGACTGTGGCCTTATGAGATGAGGAAGAGAGAGAGACCCCCACTCCCCGCTCCACGTGAGCACACAGTCAGAAGGCACCATCTACATGTCAAGCCACAGGCCCTCACCACACCGGAGCTGGCTCACACCCTGATTTTGGACTCAGCCTCTAGATCCGAGAGGAGTAAATGCCTGTTGAAGCCACTGGCTCTGTGGTATTTTGCATTCTTAGGTCATGAACTTGCCATCCAGCAAATTTCAGTCCAGTCCAGGCCTCTCTAATGGTGTCAACCAGAATTTATTTCATGTTTCCTACAAGCTCCATACTGTGCTTCTTAGGGTAGGGAAACTCATGTAAAAATGGCTCTGATCAGTGCTACACCACGATCAAAGTATGATAAACTTCTTATGAGTGTTGTATTTTCAAATTATTCTACTATGATTCATAGTATCAACAAGTCCTCCCCACTAACCAAACACCTTCATAACCATTATTATGTCGACCCTGCAGCCTCCAGGGAGGCAAGCAGGTGTTGTTATAAAGACACTGAGGTACAGGGAGGGTGAGTGGTTTTCCCAGGGTCAGGGAGCTGGATGAACCTGACCTGGACTTATCCCAGGAAGCCACAAAGAATATTTACTCTCAGGAAAAGAACATGACCTCAAAGAAGCTCCTAATGCTTCCAGCTCTGGGTCCTGCCCCAGGAAAGTTGTGAGGAGGCCAAGGCTGGGTTCTTTGCCAGGAGTCAGGCAGGACAGTGTGGGCCCAACCGGGTCTGCCATGGACTGGTGCACAAGCTGTGCACTGCTCAACTCAAGTAGCACTGCTCTTGAGCACATAGAATATGGCGTGACTTGGCACCCTGGAGTTAAGCAGTGTGTGACCTGCAGGACTGAGCTGAGACACTGGGGCCTGTCAGAAGGCACTGATTACACTCTGCCTCTTCTAGGGAACAAGCTGGGGAGACGCATATGATCTAAACCTCAACCCAAGAGTCTGGCAGGGAGAGCTAGAAGACACCACTAGACAGTTTATTGTGTAATCCTGGGCAGTCCTTCAGGGGGTTCAGACGGAGGGAACTATGTCTGTTGACTGGGGCTGGGAGGAGGGAGCTGAACAAGCTTGCCTCAGAACGTGAAAACCACAGGGTGGCCCAGCTGCGGGCTTGTCTCATGCGGCCCAACAGGTAGATGTTAAGGCCGAGGATGCCTTGGACCTGTTTTTCATTCTTTCAGGCCCTGCTGATAAGTATCGCTCTGGAGAAAGCCCAGGCAGGGAAGCCAGGATGAGAAATGTCACTTGCCAGTAGGTCTTTCGCGGGCTTATTTGAAATCTACAGGCATGGTAATGGGTCTGATGGATTTTTAAGGACTCCGGCTGTGTTCATTTCCCACCAAAATGAGGTTCACATTCAGGGTTAAGTGATGCAAATAGTGCTCTCACTTTCTCATTCTCTCTCTCTCTCTTTTTGCTTCGGATTAAGCAGAGTTTATAGCTGTGGGTCTGTTTTCACATTGATGAGTCTAAATGCAAAATGCAGGCTGTGCACCTGCTCCCTGGAGCACACACATGCCTGTGCACGTGAGCATGGACACACACATGCACACCTGGATAGCCTCCAGCCACATACACACAGCTGTGTTCATATGTGATCAGGGCCCGTGAGCACACACCTGGCAGATCCTTTTGAGCAGGCATACCTGCCAACATGATAAACACACGTGCAAACATGTGAACACACCCAACCTCACACGGGCATTCAGGCCATGTATGCTTCGAAAAAGGAACACATTTGGCCTGCGCATGCACAAGCGTGCACTCACACCTGCAGACAGAAGCAGGCCCTCCAGAGGAAGTCCCAGTGCTTAAAAGTCAGACATTAAAAGCAGTCATAAAAGATTCGGCCAGAAGTTCACGGCAGCATTGATTTCTGTGGTTGTCAGAGCTGAGTAAATAAACCCCAAGTGGTGTTTAATCCTGGGACTTCCCACAAAGGGCCAGGAACTGGCGGCAAGCAGAGGTCAGGAAAGGTTCACAGCCTTCCTCGGAGTGGGCGGCTGCAGCGAGGGCTGGAGACGTGCAGGGCTTTCTCGGGCAGCCGCGGGGGCTCTTGGCCCCGTCTGTTGACTCATTTACCTGAACAGATGGGGCTCTTGGTTCCCAGGATGCTGGGCCAAGGTTTCAGGGCAACTTGACTGCCTTCCCCAGAGCCAGAGGAGGACCCCGGAGCCCACCTGGGTACAGGCAGTCACTGTCTTCCACAGAGCCAGCCCAGAGCCATGGTGCCTCCCATGCGCGGACGGAGAGTGTTCCCCTCCTGCGGCCTCTCAAACCTCAGGTCCTCCTGAGTTCTCATGAGCCTGCCTCAGGTCCTGATCACCAACTGTATGGGCTAAGTTGTGTCCCCTCTAACATTTATTTGCTGAAGCCTGACCCCCAGTGCCTCAGAATATGACTGTATTTGGAGATAGTGCCTTCAAAGAGGTGATTAAGTCAAAATGAGGTCCTTCGGGTGGGCCCTCAACCAATCTGCCTGGTGTCCTTAAAGGAGAGAAGGTTAGGAGACAGACACACACAGAGGGAAGACCACACAAGGACACAGGGAGAAGGCGGCCGTCTACAGGCCAAGGAGCGAGGCGTCTGAAGAAACCAACACTACCAACATCTCCATCTCAGACTTCCAGCTTCCCAGAGCTGTGAGAAAAATACCTCGGCTGTTGAAGTCCCCCAGCCTATGTGTGCTGTGATGGCAGCCTGGGCTGACTGACACATCAAACAATCCTCTACTATATCAACCACCAGCCCTAACTCAACCTGTGCTTACCACGGAACGCTGGCCCTGGGCTACGCCCTGATGCTGCCACAGGCTGGCTCCCACCCAGCCACACATGGCCGCACCATAGGGTCTTTAAAGAGGTTTAAATTCTAAGAAAGAAATCCTGTATGTTACACATGTAGGCAGTGTTTTCAGCACTCCTCATTCCTCTGTGTGGATTCATCTTACTATCTGTCATCATTTTCCTTCTGACTGCAAGACTTCCTGTAGCATTTGTTGTAGTGTGAGTCAGCAGGTGGTAGCATTTTTTTTGAGACAGAGTCTTGCTCTGTCGCCCAGGCTGGAGTGCAGTGGTGTGATCTCGGCTCACTGCAAGCTCCACCTCCCAGGTTCATGCCATTCTCCTGCCTCAGCCTCCCGAGTAGCTGGGACTACAGGCACCCACCACCACGCCTGGCTACTTTTTTGTATTTTTTTTAGTAGAGACGGGTTTCACTGTGTTGGCCAGGGGGGTCTGGATCTCCTGACCTCATGATCTGCCCTCCTCAGCCTCCCAAAGTGCTGGGATTACAGGCGTGAGCCACGGCGCCCGGCCAGCAGGTGGTAGCTTTTTTAGCTTTGTATGGCTAAAAAGTCTTTGTTTTGCCTTTGGCTTCTGAAAGACGTTTTTTCCGGGTATAGAATTTGAGGTTGACAGGGATTTTCCCCCTTCATTCCTTTAAAGAAGATGTAGCTGCACAATCTTCTTGTGATACATTGTTTCCAGCAAGAAATCTATTGCCATCCTTACCTATGTTCCTCTACGTGAAATACGTCTTTTTATTTTTTTAAGGTTTTCTGTTCATCACCGGGTTTGAGAATTTTGGTTATGATGTGGCTCGGTGTAGTTTTCTCAGTGTTTCTTGTGCTTGGGTTTTTTGTTTGTTTTTTGAAATTTTTGCATCTGTGGTCTTATAGTTTCCATCAAATTTGGAAATTTTTCAGCCATTATTTATTCAATTCTTTCTCTTCCTCCTGCTCCCACCTTTAGGCACCTCAGATACATGTATTAGGCTGCTTGTCATTGTCAAATAAGCACCTCACTAAAGCTCTGCTAATTTTTAAGATTTTTTTTCTGTGTATTTCATTTTGAATAGTTTCTATTGCCAAGTCATCGAGTTCACTGATCTTTTCTTCTGCGATCTGTAATCTATCATTAACCACATTCAGTGACTTTTTCTTACCAGACTTTGTAGCTCTTAGCTCTGGAAGTTTGGTTTGGGGTCTTCTTTTTATTTTCCATGTCTCTATTGAGCATGCTCAATCATTCCTGTAATGTTTTGGACATTGCAGATAGAATACGGCTATAATTACAGGTCCTTGTCCACTAATTCTAATATCCCTGCAGTTCTGAGTCTGCTTTGATCCTTTGATCCTCGTTATAAACTGCATTTTCCTGCTTCTTTCCTTGTCTCATGATTTTGCATTGGATGCTAGACATTGTGAATTTTTATCTTGTTAGGTGTTGGAGAGTTTTGTATTCCTATAAATCTTGGTCTTTGTTTTGGGAACTACTTTGATCATTTTGTGTCTTGCCTTTAAGATTTGCTGGATGGAACTAGAGTGGTGTCCAGCTTAGGGTGAATTATTCCCCGTAACCAAGGCAAGATCAGACTGTGGATGATACCCTGTGGATGAAGAGGTTTTCTAGTCAGGCTGATGGAGCTGGGGCAAGACCAGACTGTGGATGATACCCTGCGGATGAAGAGGTTTTCTAGTCAGGCTGATGGAGCTGGCTCTATCCCTGGCCCTGTGTGAGCTCCAGTTGCTGTTCCTTCTAATCCATTCAGGTGGTATTTTGCCTTGACCTTGAGTTGCCTCCTCACATGCCTGTGTTGATCTGTGCTATGCTGAATACTCAAGAGACCCCCTGCAGATCCCAGAGTTCCCTCTCTGTGCAGCTGCCCCTGTCCAGTGCTCTGCCCTGCAAACTATAACCCTCTTGATCTCCCAGATTCTCAGATCCATCTCTTCAATTCAGGGAGTCCACAGGACTCTGCCTTGGTTTCCCCTCCCCCATCAGGACCTGGAAACTCTGTCAAGGCAGAAACCATCACAACTGGAGGGCTCAGCTTGCTTTTTGCCATCTCTCTGAGAGCACTGTCCTTTACTGCCTGATGTCCAATGTCTTGAAAATCATTGTTTTATGGATTTTGTTTATTTGTTTGTTATTCCAAGTAAGAGAGATAATCCTGTACGTTTTGTTCCATCTTGTCAAGAGCAGGAGCCTCCTCACAGAATCTGAGCAGATCCCTGAGTGCACAGATGGCTTTGTACTAGTCTGGTCCAGCTTTCCACGTTCTTGGACCAACTCACCTATCCTTCCCCACAGAACATCCACTGCCCACTCCCTGAATCATCTGTCCTATTGCCCAGTAGCTCTATGTTTCTTCCTGTTCTTACTTGAACAGAACCGAGTCTGTAGTCCTGCTCAGCAGGCATTGAAGGGAGAAGAGACAGGAAGAAGAGGATCAGATGGTGATTAAGAGAGGGTGTATTAGCAGACTGTTTCCTTATAACTTGGCCCAAATCCTTCCCTGAAGAACTCTGGGAACCTGGACTGCATTATCTGTCAAAGTAGACAATTGACTCTGAGCAGCCCATTTCTCATGTGTGTGACTTGTGCTGCATGTGAATGTGTGTGTGTATGAGGATGCATGACTGTACGAGTGTGTGTTTGCATGTGTGTGACTGTGGGTGTGCATCCAGGTGAGCATGCTTGTGAGTGTGTGCTTATGTGTGTACCATTGAGACAATGAGCCATTGGAAGGAGATGAGAGTGTTCCCCAGCAGCCTGGGTGGGATAGGGCTGGTGGGAGGAGATGAGTGTCCCCCAGCGGCCTGGGTGGGATAGGGCTGGTGGGTTCTGAGACCTCAGATTGTGTCTTCCAGGGTGTGCTCCTTCTCCACACCCCAGTTTGCACCCTGAAGCCTTTCAGTCTTCAAATCCTGGCTATCTGTAGTCCTGCCCTGGCCCCCAAAGAAGAGAAAGTGCTTCAGCAGTTGGGAGGCTGGTGGGAAGGACTGGGGTGGTGCTTCTGTTCCGGCACCAGCCATTGACCCGCCATATCACCTTGAACTTCTCCCTCTCTGGGCTTCATTGTCCACATGTCTCCAGGATGTGTTAGTCCTGCCTGTCCACTCTGGGTTACTGGAGGGAGGTAAGGTCCGCATAGGGTGGCCACTGTGGGTGCCTGTCAGGGAGAAGCTGCTCCAGCCATTGTTGAATCAGTGCCAAGAGATGGCACCTGGGCGTGCCTCTACCACCTGTGCGGTGGAGTGGGGCCTCCCAGGGAGAGATTGCAGAGCCCGAAAGACTTGCTTTCTTCTTGAGGCTGTAGGACCACAGGGTCTCCCCTCTGGGGTGTGTGAGGCCCAAATTAGGCTGTGCGTAAGAAGTTGAGGCACTTTTTTTTTTACAAATCAGCATTCTTTTATTAATGATCAGATCACAATGCAGTATGAGAGTCCTAGTTTCAACCGGATGCATGGCTGACGGCCGTGAGCAAGGTGTGGACAGTGTTCCCATCTATCTGGCCTGGGGCCCAGGAGCTCCCAGTCGTCCTCCTGGCTCTCAGGCAAGGCAGCAGATAGGATGCGCCATTAGGGCTGGGCTACAGGCAGAGTTGTCCCAGCCCCTGCCCAGCCCTCCCATCCCCCTGGGGCTGTCTGGGACCCTGCCGCTGAGTCTCCTTCTTGTTCCCTCAAATCTGCCTTTGGCCTCCTCGTTGGGCCTCCTCTCGCTCTGCTTCCCCAGCTGGTTGAAGTCTGTCTCCCTGGGGTCTGCAGCTGGCAGGCCTGCCCAGCCCTCTCTACTTCCAATCCTTGCTTTTTGAAAGCCTCACCTCCTGCTTGTCTTCAAGACCCTGAAAGGTCAAGAATATTTGATCTTCCGGGTTCCACGTCTCATTATTAACAATGATGATAGGAAGTGGTGAGGTCACATTTCTCAAAGCCCGTGGCATGCCACGAGCTGCCTCCGCACCCTCCCCTGCTCACATAACCCTCAGGGCAACAGCTGTTATCAACCCTCTACTGGAGATGAGGGGCCCAAGCACCGGGGAGTCATACAGTGAGACGGAGAAGCAGGAAGTGGAGTAGGGTCAGCCCAGCTCTCTGGCCCCAGGGCTGCTGCCATTGTGGGCACACCATTGTGCCACTGCTGGG
The DNA here is from genome assembly GCF_000001405.40 of Homo sapiens. Classification (NCBI taxonomy): domain Eukaryota; kingdom Metazoa; phylum Chordata; class Mammalia; order Primates; family Hominidae; genus Homo; species Homo sapiens. Next base: position 142,025,113 of record NC_000008.11, on the reverse strand, counting down.
AATGTGTCCAGCTGGCCACACGTCCACATTTGCATGCTCTTGCACGACTGCCTGGCTGTGCCCATGGGCCGATTCCAGCCCTTCATTCAGACTAGGGGCTTGTGAAAGGTAGGGAATGGGGAGGGCCCTGATCTCTCTTCCCCATCCCTGGCCTGGGCTGGCCTCCCTAGGTCTGGATGAAGAAAGACTCCCAGGTTTATTGCTGGAGCATGGAGCTGAGGATGGACACACAGAGGCGCGTAGGCTGGGGGACCTGATGTCTCACAAGGGCTCAATTCTCTTCCTCAAGTTTTCAATGACACAATGACACAGGGTGTTTTGCTGGACTCCGAGATGGGTGCTCAGGAACTACCAGGCTCACTCCCCAGCATCTCCCATCACACAGGGGAGAAAGCTTAGCTTCCTCCCTCCAGCAGCCTCGGTTTCCCCAGACTCAGTCCCATCCTATCTGTGGGCAGGAGGGCCCTCCTTACCTGGGTCAGCAGGGAGGGCCCACTGTGGTCCCATGTATGACTTCCATCCTGCTCTCTGGGCCTGAGTCCCTGCCTGGCCAACTTCAATTCATTCAACAAACATGAATTGAGCACCAACTATTCTAGGGATTCAGCAGTGATCAACATAGGCAGAAAGCTAGCCCTTGGGTGCCGAATGTCTCAGAGTAGCTGGGCAATAGACAGGCAACACACAGATGTGATTTCAAGGAGCGATCAGCGCTGGAAGGCAAAGAAACAGGGTGGTTCCCAGGTGACGAGCTGGCCATGTCCAGGACAGGTGCAGCCTCGCCTGGAAGGTCCGACGTCAGGACTGAAGCCTGGCTGATGAGGAGCCCATGCTGGAGTCCCTGCTAGTGCCTGGCTGTCTGCTGTTGTCTGGGCTTAGGACATCTCAGCCCCTGGCCCTGAGCCAGACACACTCATCATCCAGTCCCTCGGTTGGTGGCAAATCCCATCACCAGGCCTGATAACCAGATGCTGGGGCCCCAGGTGTGTTTTCTGAATGAGTGAGCCTGAGTTGGTCCTCCCGGTTGTAATGTGGAGACAGTTATTATCCCCACTTTTCAGGTGAGAACTCTGAGGTGGAGGGGGTCTGAGCACCTTGCATGGGCAGGTCCGTGTCACACGGACACCCCAGGACGAGCTCCCAGAGGGCAGCAGCCATGCCTCCTGCACCTTAGCGGCATCTAGAGCAGAGCCGGCCCAGACACACCACCCGCCGGCCACAGCAGACGGTGCCTGCCTGAGACAGACGGCTGAGCTGGCGCAGCTGGCACTGGCTTTCCAGCGCCTGTCCTCGAAGCTGTGGGCTTCGAGGTGTTTGAGCGGCAGCAGCGCGGCCACGCAGCCTCTCCTTCCATCACTCCTGTCAGCGGCAGCTCTGCCCCCAGGGGTGGCGAGGGCACCTCCAAGGGTGGCGAGGGAATAATTGTCATGTCAAGCCCCAGGCCTGTGACAGCTGCCGGGAGCTGCACGCAGAAGGCCTTGCTGGAAGCTGGTGCAGCAACGTGGAGCATGGGAACCCTGAGCCATAGCTGGGCCACCACAGACCTGCAGGCAGCATGGAGCTGCCTCTCGAGCCATCTACGTCATAGTCTTGCTTTCTTGGGGTGTTACCTCCAGGCAGCAAACCCTGCTGCCACCCAGCCAGGGATGGGGGTCCTGAGGCCGTCTCATTTCAGAGTCCCCGGGGGAAGTCTCCAACCTGCCTGGGGGTGCCAAGGTGGACAGGGGAGAGCTGTGAACCCCAGCTTTCTGATGCTGGGGCATGACCTTTGCCACAGTTGGGCTGGGCTCCAGGGAGAGGCGTGCAGGGGCTTCCTGGCCTTCACATGGGGTTGGGGGCTGGAGGACAGACAAAGAAGGAGGCTGCTGGGGCCAGTGAGGCTGGAGCCTGGGGACCTCTAGGACTGAGCTGTGGGCGTCGGGGGAAGTGTACCCAGCTTGCAGGTGAAGATCTGGGCTTGATGGAGGCCTCAGTCAGTATCTGAGGGGCGGTCAGCTGTGGGGGAAGATTGGGGCAGGGGTGCTGTCTCATTCCTGGCCTGCATATGCCAGTCAGTCTTCCTTGCTGGGAAGCTCTCCTACCCACCCAGACCTACACACGGGCTGACACCCACCCCCACCATGGCAAAGACTTTTCCCTTCTTAAGGACTTCCTTCCTGCCTGGGTCTCCGGAAGTCTCTGCTCTGGTCCTTCTCCCACCAGCTGCTCTGTCTTCAGGGCACAGGTGCTCCTGAGGAACTCTGCGTCCCCAACTTACTGAACCTTCCTCTGGAGTCAGCACCAGGAATGCAGGGCGTGCCTGGCACCTCTGCACCGGGGCGACCCTGGATCGGTGGCTGTCCTGTCATCTGCCAAGCACTCCCAGCCACTGGTTCCTTCTGAGCTCTGTCTCAGCTCCATCCTGCTGGCTTCCACACTGTGGGGCCTGCCCGCGGCCTGAGCTCCGCACCTGAGCTCTGCACCTGAGCTCTGCACCTGAGCTTCCCCACCTGAGCTCCACACCTGAGCTTCCCCACCTGAGCTTCCCCACCTGAGCTTCCCCACCTGAGCTCCACACCTGAGCTCAGCACCTGAGCTCTGCAGCTCCACATCTCAGCCACTCCCTACCCCTCCAGACAGGGGTACCAGCCTCCCATTTTTGTCCACACAGTGAGGACACTTCCTCTTCTAGGCTCCCCCAGGCCCCAGCCCAGCACCCACACCCCGGTGGCCCACCTATCCCTGCCTCCCTGATGGGTGCAGGATTCACACTGTGGGCCTGGTGGGGGGTCGGGGTGTCTGGAACCCAGGTGAGATATGAACTGCATTTGTGTGACAGAGGGGGCTGAGGCTTAGCAGGTCACAGGGGTCATGAGCCCACCTGGGCCTAGAGCTGCAAGATGAGGCCTGAGCCATCCCCAGCATCGCTGAGCCCCCCTGGGCTTCTAGCCTAGGCCAGGCTGGCCTTGCAGGTGGAGGGGTCAGGGCCACAGCAAAAGATGCAGTGGGCTCAGGGACGGGGAGCACCCAGGAGGGAGGCGGGTGCCTGGCAGGGAGGAAGAGCTCAGCGTCAGACACCCGGGCTGAGATGCCACCAATGGCCAGATGCAGGAGGAAGGGGCTCCGTTAGATAAATGGGCAGATGCATGAATGGATAGGGGTGTGTGTGTGTGTGTGTGTGTGTGTGTGCGCATTCATATTTGATGCTCAAAGATAAATGACAGTTGGCTGTAGCACTTTGGGACCACCAAGATGCAGAAGGTAGCTGAAGCCAGGCTAGTGTGGAGCCTTAAGAGAGCGGCTGAGGTGGACCCCTGTTCTACAGGGCCAGTTCCACTCCGCACACTTCACACTCATGCACACACATGCATACTCCCATTCACACACATGCACCCACAGACATGTGTGCACCTGCATGCCCACATGTACATACACACAATGTCCTGTGCCACTGTGGACACCTGGAATGGTTCAGCCACTACAGACTGCACCCTGGAGTCATCTGTTGAGGATCCAGCCCAGCAGCCCATGGAAGCCATTTTGGCTGGTGCTTCAGCCTCAGCCCCTCCTTTCTTCCGGGTCGCACCAGCAGAGTCCCAGTGCAGCTCATAGTGGCTGTGGGCAACCTCAGCTTCCCCTTTTGTCTTATGTCTGGGCAGGAACTGGTGGCCCAGTGGCTAAAGTCTGGTGGCCACTGCCCCCTCAAGTGCTGGGTTCTAGGGACTGTGGCGATGTGTTCGTGGATGGTAGAAGGACGTCGGTAGGCGATGCTGGGGTGGTCCCAGCACATGCCCCACTGCCCAGAAAGCACGGCGCTGCCATTGCCCCCTGGCTGCTCCTGAGGACAGATGCAAGGCCCAGACCCTTCCCTGGGGACCCCCAGGACTGAACAACCCTCTTGGGCCTCACTCCAGCCCAGCAAATGACACCTCACAGCTGAGCCATTCACCTCTGATCAAAGCCTCCTCATTTGAGTGACTGGTGGTTGATGGTCACCTTGGCGTTCAGCACAGCTGGGGGACATCAGCCCACATGGCTGTCAGGGAGGGAAGAGGGTGTGAACCCTGAGGCCGGGGCTGATTCCCCTCGCCACCTGGCCTGAGCCGGACAGGATGGCTTCTGAACAGAAAGATGAGAGGAGCTGCAGGACCTGCCATCTGTGCCCAGTCCCCAAAAGGGCTGACAGGTTTCGGGAAGGGTGCAGAGGAGCCGCAGCCCCAGGCATCCTCCTTGACAAAGATGAGCAAGAAAGGAAGTGCAGGTGCAGCAGCGGCAGCAGTGCCCGCCTGTGAGCAGCCAGCACGGGCCACGCAGGAACCCACATCAGCTGGCAAGGGCCCGGCCTCTCCTGTCCCTGGGGGAGCCAGCAGCTGGGAAAGAACCCACCAGGTGCATGGTGAGGCAGGTAATGAAGGAGCCACCAGCCCCAGTGGCTGCCAGGCAGTGATTGTTTGGCCTGGCAGGGGAGAGAGCAGCCCACAGAGGGGGTGCCCCTGGGTCAGGGAATTTGCATCTCAAAGAGGCAATGGAAAGAGCCATCAGCAGTCCCTCCTCCAGGAGAACTGCTATTCCCAGAGGAAGGCAGAGAGGAGCAGAAGCACATTCCAAGCACAGAGAATGCGGTCAGCCTGGAGCTGTGTGAGGTCAGCCTGGAGCTGTATGAGGGGTGTTTCCTGCAGCTAGCTGACCTTCCTGCGGCTGCCCTGCCTCATAGGCCAGCCCATGGTACCCCTCACCTCCCCACAGCTCCCAGGTGCTGAGCCCAGCCTTGCCCCTGGACGCCCCCTCTTCCTGTCCCAACAGTGGCTGAGGAGGCTGAGGGGTGGCGGGCTGTGCCCATGGTGAGTGTAGCTGACTGGAACCACTTTCCTCTCCTGGGCTCCCTGCCCTCCGTGGCCTCCAGGCCTCTGTCCTCTGTCCCTGCTCCCAGGAGCTCACCAAGTCTCTCTTGGGGCCCAGGTGCCAGTTGGTGCTCCCCAGAGCAGGGCTCTCCTGGCCTCTAGGGTCTTAGTGCCTCTACGTGGTGACAGTCACCGAGTCCATGTGTGAGCAGGCTGCTCACTTGGTAGCCAGCAGCTTCGATGAGACACCAAACCCCATGCCCCGGCCCCGAGGGGAGGCTCATTTAGAAACCCTCACTGAGCACTGCCCTGTGCCAGCGACTGCGCCAGGTCCTCAGAACACAAGGGTGTGGACTCCAGGCAGCAGGGCGCACTAGGGTCATCTCTGAATGCAGACGTTCCCCCGAACACGGAACTTGAGACAAGGGTTTGTACGGGAGCCCTTTGCTTCGGCAAGTGATTTCAGACGCTCAGGAATCAGGGTGCAGGCAGGGTGAGGCAGAACGAGACAGGGTGCTTGGTCCTACAAGGCTGTGGCCTCAAACAGGCCACTGTAGTGGCCACCTGGGGCTCAAGCCCACGGGATGCCCTAGGAGCCGCATGGCGTGTGCCATAGAATTGTGCACCCAGACATGGAAGACCCACCAGGCTCCACCCTCATGGGCCAACGGCTGCCCCACTCCCTTGCACATCCAGGCTATGTGCCTGAGTGCTGAGCGGGCACCCTCAGGTATCCTGGGCTGCACCCTCAGCCTCTGGGACACCAAGGGCAAGGGGGTAGTTGAGGAGTGGGCCTGCCTGCAGGGAATACTGCATGATGCTGGAGCCCAGCAGGAGGATCAGGAGCACGGCAGGGACTTTCTCGGCTCCCACGGATGCATCTCTGCCCAGCCAGCCTCAGACCAGCGCCCCTCACTCGGTTCAGTGGGTCAAAGTTCCCACCTGCTCCTCAGGCCTGAGGGAGGTGCCCAAGTCAGAGGAGGCACCAATTAGCCCAGAGAGCAGACTCCATGTTTTCCTTCCACCAGGGCCGGATGTCTGGGCTCGGAGCAGCCCCCCGATAGTGCTTTCTCCCTGAGTCTCCGAGTGCACGAGGCAACTGTGAGAGGGCTGTGGGAAAGTGCATGCTCAGGACCTCTGTGAGCATAATTGATGCGATTGCCTCTCAGACTTGCACGGTAAGTGCTTTGGAAATGCTGGCTGGAGCAGGAACTCTGGGGTGGGGAAGCCGCTCAGCTGGGAGTAGAGAACTCAGGGTGCACCCAAACTCACTTTGCCACATTTAGCAGTTTGCTCCAGCTCTCTGGCAGAAAGTTCCTGAACTGTCACCTGAATGGGGGCGTAGGGGGGTGGGGTCTTGTGATGTGAATGTCCGTGTCCCCCTGCAAATGTATGTGTTAAAACCCTAAGTCCCAGTGTGGCTGTATTTGGAGATAGGGACTCTAAGGAAGCAACTAATCCTAAATGGGGTTATCAGGGAGGGACACTGACCTTATAAGAAGAGACACCTGAGGTGCCCTCTCTCCTCCCTGCATGCGTGCACTGAGGAAGGCCACGTGAAGATGCACCCAGAAGGCGGCCGCCCATCACCCGAGGAGAGAGCCCTGCGGGTGGATGCCCTGACCTTAAACTTGCACTCACCAGAGCTGTGAGAGTTAAGTATCCACCGTTTAAGCCACCTCGTCTGTGGTATTTTGCTGTGGCAGCCCACGCTGACTATTACAGAGAGGATGGGATGTTTCTGAGCCACCGATTCTACAACTCTCTAGGGACTTTGCTTAATCGGCTGTAGCAGGGAAGGTTAATGGGAGAGGTTACTGAGTGCTGGGATGGGAATGGACATGTGAGCTCCTTCCGCTTGAGCGCCTGTGTGGGCAAGGAGCAGCCAGGGCGCTGTCCCAAGGGCCTGAGCATGGGGCTCCTGCATGAGGCAGGGTGGGGCAGAGACCCAGAGGCCACCCGAGTCAGAATCTCTAGGGAAATTCACACCCCGTGGAGAGTGAGCCCCAACAGTAGGATGGGGAGGACAAGCAGCGGGAGGGGGGACGGGGCCACAGAGTTTGGAGGACATGGGTTCAGAGCAAGCCCCAGAAGCATGAGTGACAGGGGGCTCTGGTGGTTACTATGACCCTCAGGAGATGGGGATGGGCCATGCCTGATGCTCAGGGTCACCTGGTGGGCCTGTGAGACAGTGTCAGGAAGGAGGTTGACAGCCCTCGCGAGGGCAAGAAGAGGCAGGCAGGGCCTGGGGTGGGGGCCCAGCCCATCCTTGGCACAGCAGTAGCCATGGAGGGCAGCTGGGGTGGGGACGGCCGGTGCTGGGGCAAAACAAGAGGCCCCAGATCTGAGTGGAGTGTGGGCACCTGAGGTCCCCCAGGAGCGGTGCTCAGTAGGTGTGGTTAGGGCCACTGGGAGGAAGTACCCCGGCCCCTGTCCTGGAGCGGCCTGAGGAGCAATTCTCCAGGGCACACTGAGGCACTGCCATTACCTAGACAGACGATAGTGGACCTCCTGCTGGCAGTTAAGGTCAGTGCTGGCCCCTTTCCACGTCCTGGTTCAGTGCTGCTAAGGCATTTGGGGGCAGAGGTGTGTCCAGAATCCACCCCAGGTCACCCCTGGCCTCTGAGCATGGGGCCCCTGAGCAGGGAGGCCTTCATGGAAAGTCGTGGGATGTGGGGAGAGGGACTGACCCCTTGTGCTCCACCCCCAGCTCATCCAACCCCAGTGCAGCCTGGAGACTGCCACCGTGCCCCCCGGAGGGCGATGGAGCCTCCGCTCTGCTCAGGAGCAGCCTGGCTTCCGGGAGGGCAGCCTGACTCCCACGGCACTGCCGGTGACCCCTCAGCTCAGGCCCCGGGGCTGCGAGAATCTCAAGTGTGCATTCTGTGAAGTGTGCATTCTGTGACGTGTGCATTCTGTGAGGGCTTCGTGGCTTCTTCCTGGGTGTGTGCTGTCCTGGCTCTGGTGGGGCCACTGGTTGGGCAGGTTCAGGTCTGCAGAGCCTGCCCTGGAGAGAACCCCTTCTCCGGCTCTGGGGGAGCACTCACGCTGCCACCTGTGTCCCTGTGGCGGCCCCTTGCCTGCCTGCATTTGGCTGGCCTGGCCCGACACCTTCCTGCCCCTGGCCCATGTGCCTGCTCCGAGTCCCTCCTGCCACATGGGACCCGGGCAGGCCTGGGCAGCCCCGAGGGCCAGCTGTGCCAAGCGAGGATGCCACCCTGGTTCCAGGGAGCAGCAGTGCCATCAGAGAAGGCCCTGCAGGCTGTCGGCCCCCCGGGTCACAGCAGCTTGTTCTGGCAGCCCCTCCTCCCCCGGGGCCCTTGTTCTCCTCCCTGGCTCTTGGCCTATCCTCAGGCCATGCCAGTTGCGTCTGTCCCCACGGCCAGTGCCCTTCCTGAGCCCTACACACCTCGCCCAAGAGCCTCAAGTCTTTCCATGGAAGTCTGAACCCGAAGGCAAAAGCACTTGGAGGTGGTTCCCAGAAGGCGCCTTCATGAGTGAACGGAGGGTAGGGATGGTCCCAGGTGCTCTGTCTCCCAACATCACCAACGTCCCCTCATCCCTGGGGCCCATGAGCCAGGACGCAGCCCCACCCTGGTCTGTGCCCCTCGGTCCTGGAGTAGGCTCTTGTGTCTCTGATGATTTAGGGCAGGCAAGCTTGGCTGTCAGAGCTGGGAGAGACTGTGGGGCCATTGGCCCCTGCTTTGTGAAGATGAGGAAGTGAGACCCAGGGAGAAGGGACTAATGTGTCTGATGGTCACAGAGCAAATTTTTGGCAGTGTCAACCACAGGGCCTGGTTATCCTTCTTTCTGGTGTAGTCAGAGAGGCCTGGAGGAGGACGGAGCTGCCTGCCTGGAGGCTGGACTCTGGCCATGTGCAGCCTGGGATGTGGCAGGATGGGGCAGGGGCCTCAGGGCTTGTTTTGCGCCCTGGCTAGTGGGACATGGGGCTGGGCGAGCATATGCCTGCCGCAGTGTGTGACAGCTGTCAGCTGTCCAGAGAGCCGGCGGAGACGGGCCTGGGGCTGGGAGCCTGCGCCAGTTGCCATTTAAACCTTGGCAGTCGGAGAGCCCCTCGATGCCAAAGGCCCGCGGTGAAGGAGGCGGTAGTGGTGGCGAGTGCCCACTGCCTCCCACACAGCCAGGCCCAGCACGCAGGGAGAGGCGCCCTCCCTGGACCAGCTCTCCTTGTCTGTGTGGGAACATAGGGCGGCGCTCTGAGGGCTGGGCCTGACAGAGGCAGGAGGTGGCGACTGGAGGGGTGCTTGCCGGGGAGGTGAGGCATGGATGTCCCTGAGGACGGTGCGTCCGGGCAGGCAGTGGGCAAGGCTGGCCATGCCATGTTCCCCAGCAGGCTAGAGCAGCTGGGATGCACTGGGTGCCTGAGGATGGCGCTGGATCACTCCCTGTCTCCTGATGTGTGCAGGGCAGCCGAATGGGCTTCCAGGAAGCCAACTCCAGCCCCTGCAGCAGGCCTCAGGCGGCTTCTCCCAGGCATCTTGAGCCTGGCTTCACACCCCTCCTCTAAGGCACATTCTCCTTTAATCCCAAGGTCCTGTGAAGTAGGAATGAATTCTTTCTCTTGCTTTTCCAATAACCCAACTGAGGCCCAAGAGGTGGAATGGCCTGTCCAGGGTTACACAGCAGGCGGCCTGGCCCTGGGACCAGATGCCCAGCCTCCTGACCCTCAGGCCTCCTGACTGGGGGCTCCCCGGCCTGGGAGGGAGGGCTGTGCACACTCAAGACCCTGAGTCGCCTGTGACCCCAAAACACAGACAGCAAGGGCTCCCAGTGCCTGCACTGTGGTAAAACGAGCCCAGAATGGAGGCAGAAGCACCTGGATTCCACAAGAGCTTCGCCTGGCGCTCTGCGCCGTCAGAAGCCCCTGCACCGGGGCCAGTTCTTGCCCTCGCCTGTAGACAGGAACACTGCTTCTGGCCTTCCAGCAAGAGACTCCAAAGACTTTCCCGGTGTCTCCATGTGTCCTGCTCCTCCTCAGAGGATGCCTGAGAATTCTTGAGGTGGGGAAAGAAAACACAAAGAGGACCGGGGCTGGGGGGTGTCCCTGGCCACGCCCCCCACTGCCATTTGCTGATGGGTGAGGTGCCTTTGTCAGACATCAGGATGAGGCTCCTTTGTCAGGGATCAGTACCATTTGTGATGAGCCCAGGACTGTCAGTCTCCCGTCCCAGGACAGTCTTGCAGGGGGAGCGTCCCTGATAGGAGGGTGGCGGGAGGCGGAGCATCTAGCCCTGCGGTGGTCCTAGCTTCTATCTCAACAGCCCGCCCAGCCCTGGACCCCAGCCCTGCCTATTTGCCATCCATCCACGGAAGGCTTGGGATGCCACTGTTTCAGCATGTCCTGGGGAGAGGCTGGGCAGCCCCGGGACTCTGGCAGCAGCAGGGTGTGAGCAGAGCATCGGGGAGCCGGGCACACTCGGGCTCCAAGGCCAGGCTCTCCCCTTTGCAGTTGGCCACTCGGGAAACCCACTGTGCCTGAAGCCTAAGAATTCCTACATGGCAGGGGCCTTGGAGTCAGTCGCTCACTCCCTCACCCGTTCCTTCATTGCGTGAATGAGTACGGTGCCTGGCACGGTCCTAGTTGCTGGGTTCTGATGGTGAAGCATCTGGACGTCCCTGCGGCTGACCGTTCACGGAGACACAGACAGGAGCAGGCAGCAGACGGGGCCGTGGCACCCGGGGGAGGGTGGCTCATAGCACTTGGGGGACCGAGGCTTCTCGGATCCCTGGGATGATAGCTGGGCATTAGCCAATGAGGGAGGCCAAAAGATGGGGAAGGGCCCTGGAAGAGGGGGTGGCCTGGGAGGAGGCCAGGGTCTGAGCAGCAACAGGGCCACAGGAAGCAGAAGCAGTTGAGTGAAGGCAAAGAGTAGGTCAGTGCTGGGGGGACTGTGCCTCAGGGGTCACCCTAAAACCCCACGGCCAAGGCGGGGTGAGGCCCCAGCATAGTCTCCAGAGTCCTCTATTGCTCCAGCTCTCGAGATTCCTTCTGCTTCCCCCCAGAGCTCCTTCAGTCCAGGCCTCTGTAGCTAGTTGGAGGACAGCCCCGTGTTCACGTCCTAATCCCTGGAACCCATGACTTGTATCTTATTTAGCAAAAGATGTGATGAAGTTAAGGGTGTTTCGAGGAGAAGGCTGTCCTGATTATCTGGCGGGCTCTAGATGCCCCCACATGTGTTCCTATGAGAGAGGGGAGATGTAGGTTCAAGAGAGACACACAGGAGAGGTGCTGTGAAGAAGGGGCGAGAGGCACAGCCATACCCCGAGGAATGCCAGCGGACCAGCACCTGGAGGGTGGGGCACCTGCTCTCCCCCAGCACTTCCAAAGGGTTGTGGCCCTGACCAATCTTGACTGCAGACTTCCAGCCTCCAAAACTGTGACAGAAAAAAATTGCTACTGTTTTAAGCCACCAAATTTGTGCTAATGTGTTACTGCAGCAACAGGACAGCCGTACAGTCTCAGGGAGAGCCCGTGGTGGAGGCAGAAGCCAGGAACCCTGAAAGGCTGCTGGAGAACCTTCCTCGCCTCTCTGGAGGCAGAAGAGGGAAGGGGTGCAGCCAGCCAGGAAGGAGACATCGTGGCTCAGTACCAGGGACCAGCTGGCCTCGGGTGGAGCCGGGAGGGCTGGGATTTCACAGCAATCACTGAGCGTCAGCCTCACACGGCCCAGAGCACAAAGCTACTCAGCCTCCCACAGTCTCCTGATCCAGTGCTGCAACCTCGTGATCCTGGACACTAAGCAGCGTATTTACCTGCTTATTAAGACCCCCATGGAGCAGCGAGCAAGGGCTACTGCTGGCAAAATCTAAGAGGGGTTTGCAGCTTGCTGGCCAAAGACTTGGACTGACTCAATCACCATGGAGACCAGAGCATCTGGCACCACGTGGCACAGCCCAGGACCTCAGCCTTGTTCCTCAGCAGCCCTGGGGGGAGGCTTCTTAGCTCCCGTTTTTGTAGAAACATAGGTCACTTGGGACAGCCATTGATGATGATGATAGTGATGACATTTGTGGTGGTGATGGTGGAGGGGTGACGACAGTAATGGTGGTGGTGATAATGATGTAACGATGGGGGTGCTGATGGTGACGGTGGTGATGGAGGTGATGGTGATGATGTAATGATGGGGTGCTGATGGTGATGGTGATGATGAAGGTGATGGTGATAATGATGTAATGATGGGGGTGCTGATGGTGATGGTGGTGATGGAGGTGCTGGTGATGATGTAACGATGGGGGTGCTGATGGTGACGGTGATGATGGAGGTGGTGGTGATAATGATGTAACGATGGGGGTGCTGATGGTGACGGTGGTGATGGAGGTGATGGTGATAATGACGTAATGATGGGGGTGCTGATGGTGCCGGTGGTGATGGAGGTGTTGGTGATGATGTAACGATGGGGGTGCTGATGGTGATGGTGGAGATGGTGGTGGTGATGACGTAACGATGGGGGTGCTGATGGTGATGGTGGTGACGGAGGTGGTGGTGGTGGTGATGATGTAACGATGAGTGATGGTGGTGATGGAGATGATGATGAGGTAACAATGGGGGTGCTGATGGTGACGGTGGTGATGGAGGTGGTGGTGGTGATGATGATGTAACGATGAGTGACAATGGTGATGGAGATGGTGATGATGTAACGATGGGGGTGCTGATGGTGACGGTGGTGAAGGAGATGGTGATGAGGTAATGATGGGGGTGCTGATGGTGATGAGGACCATGTAACTGTGGTGATGTTGGCGGTGGTGGCAATGGAGATGACTGTGATGATGGCAGTAGTGGTTATGGGGTCTTCCCTCTGCATGGAGAACACTTGGAGCCTCACAAATGCTCCATGTTTCATGATGGAGGTTCCAGAGGTTGTGAGCAGAGGTGGGGCAGATAACGCCAAGTCCTACAGCTGGGAGGAGGGGAGGGCAGCACTGTTGGCACTTTCTTGTGTTGAGGATTTCACTTGAGCCTCCCAGCAGCCCTTTGGAACCAAGCACATCACCTCCATGACTCCCTCCCTCCCCCAAAGCCTTAAAACGGAGATAACCCCGGTTCCCCTTCCAGCATCAGTGTGTGCCATCCCCCTCACTCCACCATCAGAGCCCGCTCCCTCCTGCTCCTAGATCTCACAGCTCACGAGGTCCCGTGGAGGTCCCTCCTGGGGCCAGGTCTCCAGCCCTTGGAGCCTTTGCCTCGATGTCTGCCACGGGGGTTTGGTTTGTGCCCATCACTTTGCCAGACTGGGCATCACAGGGGACAACAGGCTTGTCCCATTGACACAGGACTCCATCGAGGTCCACAGCTTCTGCCCTGGGGCGTGGCTGCCACGAGAACACAGAGAGTCGAATGCTGCTCAGCCCTGGGGCAGGTCCGAAGGTCCTGGGCTGCCAGAACCCCTAGCCCCGTTGTCCTCTGCCTCAAGCAGCCTTTTCCCCATGAGCATTGCAAATGTGACCTTTTCCTTCCTGACACAGGAAAGGCCGGAGCACCTCTGTGCAGCATGAGCAAATGCAGGTGCATCCAGCCTTTGCTGCGGGCCAGGAATGTGCTGCACGGCACCATGTTAGCACAGCCACGGCACAGGGTACCATCACTCCATCTCACAGAAGAGGAAGCTGAGGCACACAGAGGCCCAGTGACTGGAGCAGATCACACATGGCAGGTGGCAGACCCAGGTCTCTGAATCCACAGCCTCTTAAGCCCAGCAGGTTTTTGTTGCATGAATGAGAGCACCTGGCTCCCCATGTCGGCAGGCATTTGGTCTGCTCACGGCAGAGCCAGCCTGGGTGGATGCCACTGTTCCCCGAAAGCTGACCAAAACTGCCTGTGAATACATCATTTCATCTGAGGCTCACAAAGCTCATCTTGCAGATTTAAAGCGTTGCCGTCAGGAGGAAGCTCACAGGCCAACAAACCCAAACTTTTCCTTCCTCCACGAGCGACTGGCTTGCCCAGGGTCACACAGACAACTGCAGCTGCCGCAGGACCCACTTCCACTCTTGCACTCACTGGAGTCTCTGCAGCCGCTAGGATGGACCCAAGGAGGGAGCCCCTTCCCTGTTCTGTTCTCAGAGGGAAGGAGCTGGGAGCCAGGGTCAATCAGACCAGGCCCCAAGGCCCCAACACCTGCAACCCCTGGGGTGAGGAGGGCTCTGCACGTGAAAGTCGCCTCCATCCAAATCTTCTCCTGGCCTGGCCTGGGGTTCTCCCCGGCAACCCCAGGATGGAAGAGCAGGTGTCAGGGCTGAGTGGGGCAGACAGAAGCTTGTTCAGGAGGGTGGGAGGCTGCCCCTGCCTGCAGGGGGCGGGGCATGAAGGGGCCGTGGCAAAAGGGCAAGCGGAGAGAGAAGGGCCATCCAGGTGCTCTGCGCTGGTCCTGAGACCTTGCCCAGCACTCCATCCACCAGCCTCCAGGGGTGCTGGCCAAAGGGGAGCAGGCTGCAGCTCCCAGGGCGGTGCAATGCCTGATCCAGAGGAGGACGCAGGGACCCAGGAAGGCCAGACGCCAGCCTGCTCTGAACCAGCAGAACGGCAAGTCCTCTAGGCAGGCTGCAGGGGTGCAATGGACAGAGCAGGGAGGCTGGTGTCAGGAACACCCAGGGGGATGTCGTGGCAGGAATTAGGCTGAAGACTCTAGCCCTGAGCAGGGTGGGTAGTGGGAGGGAGCGAGGGGTTCAGCCCGGCCCAGGCCTGGACAGGGGGACTGAATGCAGGGCCATAGGAGAGAAGGCATCTGGGGTTCTGAGTTTGATGCCACTGACTGGAGCAGGGAAGGAGCAGGGGAGGTGCCGGTTCACAGGGAGAGATAATGAACTGGGCTTTGGAGCTAGCTGGGCTGGGAACAATTAATCTGCCCAGAGAGGGAGGGCGCCTGCTTTGCTGGCTGGGCACCTGCGAGGCTTCCTCTGAATGTCCCTCTAATCGGCTTAGAGATTTATGCAAATCCAGGTGTGCAGGCGCCCTGATTGGGCTGTGCAGGAATTGTCCAGGCCACCTGTCCTCCTCTTCCCACAGCACCCTGGCCTTGAGCTCCTGCTCCCTGATGAAATCCCCCGGCCAAGGTGGGGTTTTAAACATAATTAGGACTCGAGCCAAAGGGGATTTCCACAGGAAAAAGTGGGTAGGGCACAGGGACCAGGCCACCCAGCCGCTTGGAGCAGGACGCGAAGGTTGCTTTCAGAGTGAGGAGCAGAGGCCCTCGCGGGGAGGCCAGAGCCCGGACCTGCTGAGACTGAGCCCTGATCCCAGGCACATACTGGACTCTGACTCTGGTTCCACGCTGACCCCTAATCCATAACCCCTGTCACAGACTGAGCCCTGATCCTGGACAAATTCTGAGTCTTCACCATGGCCACAGAGACCCCTGTCCCTGGTCACAGGAGGAGCTGTGATCTCTCTCACAGGCTGAGCCCTGGTCCTGCTCACAGACTGAGAGCTCATAGGTTAAAGACAGAGCCTTCATCCCGGCCATATTGAGCCTTGATATGGAGGCCGGTGGGTGGAGTATTGGCCAAGGTCTGAGGACCAGCGCAGAGTGGCTGGATGGCCCTTCTCTCCAGACTGAGCTCAGACCGGGGCCATACTCTGAGCCCTGACCCTGGCCACATGTTGAGTCATTTGGATGCCATGGGCCCTCCTGGCTTGGACATCTGGTGGTCCTCTGGTTCTGCAACCAGGGTTGAGAGAACAGCATTTCTCTACCACTGTCATCACAGTCACACACTATTATGGCACTCGTTTAGGTGTGTGTCTTCCCAGCCAGCCAGTGTGCCCCAAGGAGGCCTCACACCCATCCTGTTCATCAGCTGTCTCAGTCCGGGTGTGCTGCTATAACAGAAATACCTTAAACTGATAACGGCTCATGAACAACAGACATTTAATGCTCACAGTCCTGGAGGCCGGAAGTGCAAGATCAAGGTGCCGGCAGATTTGGCGTCCGGAGAGGGCTGCCTCCTGGTCCACAGGCGGCCGTCTGTCGGCTGTGCCCTCACATGGTGGATGGGGCAGCTCTCTGGAGTCTCATGCTATAAGGGCACCAGTCCCATCATGAGAACCCACCCTCGGGACTCCACCTCCTCCCGAAGCCCCACCCACCCTCAGGACTCCACCCACTCCTGAAGTCCCACCCACCCTCGGGACTCCACCCCTTCCCGAAGCCCCACCTGCCCATCCCATCACTCGCGTTGGCATTTCCACTTGTGAATTCTGAGAGATGCAAACATCGGGAGGCAGCACCCGGATGCCCCTCGAGGCTGGCACAGAGCGCGGCTCCCTGGACGCTCGTGGAGTGAACGGATGAGTTGATGGTCTCTAAGCCGGTATTCTTTCGGTAAAGAGGAAGTTTTGTCTGATGACCCATGAAGTCCACATCCTCGTCAAGATAAAGGTGGGATCAGTTAGGAGATGAATTCATGCTGCATGGAAGCAGGGCTCCCAGTAATGACTCAATTCCACAGTCAGTGGAGCTAGATACGGGGTATGTGTGGGTGATGGGTGTGTGTGCACACACAGTAGGTGCCTGCACGGTGGGTGTGGTGTGTCTGTGTGTAGGTGATGGGTGTGTGTGCACACAGTAGGTGCCTGCACGGTGGGTGTGGTGTGTCTGTGTGTGGGTGATGGGTGTGTGTGCACACACAGTAGGTGCCTGCATGGTGGGTGTGGTGTGTCTGTGTGTGGTGATGGGTGTGTGTGTGTGTGTCTGTATGGTGGGTGTGGTATGTCTGGGCATGTGTGCATGTCTGTATGGTGGGTGTGGTGTGTCTGGGTGTGTGGGTGTGTCTGTGTGGTGGGTGTGGTGTGTCTGTGTGTGGGTGATGGGTGTGTGTGTGTCTGTGTGGTGGGTGTGGTGTGTCTGGGTGTGGGTGATGGGTGTGTGTGTGTCTGTATGGTGGGTGTGGTGTGTCTGGGTGTGTGTGTGTGTGTGTGGTGGGTGCGGTGTGTCTGTGTGTGGGTGATGGGTGTGTGTGTGTGTCTGTATGGTGGGTGCAATGTGTCTGGGTGTGTGTGTGTGTCTCTGGTGGGTGTGGTGTGTCTGGTGTGTAATGGGTGTGTGCGCATGTGTCTGTGTGGTGGGTGTGGAAATGTCCAGGTGTGTGTGACATGTCCAGGTGTGTGTGACGGGGGTGTGTGTCTGTGTGGTGTGTCTGGGTGTATGGGATGGTGTGTGTGTCTGTGCAGTGGGTGTGATGTATGTGTGATGGCTGGGTGTGTGTGATGGGGGTGTGTGTCTGTGTGGTGTGTCCGGGTGTATGTGATGGGTGTGTGTGTCTGTGCGGTGGGTGTGATGTGTGTGATGGGTGTGTATGTGTGTGTCTGTGCAGTGGGCGCGGTGTGTCCAGGTGCGAGTGGTGGCTGCTCAGGGGCTAACAGCAGAGCCCAGCAGGTCAGGGAAGGGCCTGAGGGGATAGCTACAGGCTGGCTTCCTCAGGGGTGGGTGGACGGGGAGACAATAGCCTCTGCACACTGAGCTGGGCATCAGCGGAGATGTCATTTCAGGTCATTCTTCTCTTGGGCATCCTGTCTGAGCCCAGCTCCTTCACTGAGGATGGCATGGGTGGCGGTCCAGGGCACCCAGACGCTCTAGCTTCACACGGGCTGCGAAGGCCTGGGAAGCCGACCCTGAGGCGCTCGAGGGGACTTTAGTCCTCTGTCTGCTAGGCTGGTGATGCCCAGCTGTCTTTGCTGGCACCAGGAGCCGTGTGGGCCACAGCACGAGGGTGGCTGGTTTGCTTTCAGTGCTTTTTATTTGTCTTTGATAAGAAATCAACAAACACCCATGGTATAAACCTTAGAAGATGTTGAAAAGCATAGCAGAAACAGCAATGACTCATCATCCCAGCTCCACCCTGGAGGTAAGATTTCAGGGCTGCCCATATGGCTACGCACGTTGTTCACTGCACAAAGGGGCTGAGAGAGGAGGCAGTTGCACCCTGCGGTCCGTGCAGCCGGCCTGGTGGCTGGGGTCTGCATCCCAGGGCTGTCCGCAGGGAGGTGGTGGCAGTCCATGGTCCCCGGGAGGATGGGTGTGGGCTCTGCTCATTTCGATGTGCTTCTTCCAGGCTGCTCTGTAGCCCTCAGCCCTTCTGGACACACAGTGTGCACACACCTGAGTCTCTCCGTAAATGTAGAAAACGGCGTACACGCTGCGGTGGGCAGCGGCCTTTCTCATTCAGTAGCTTACAGTCCTCTGTGGATGGCCTGACTTCTTCCCCACTCCCCTCCTGTTAATCGGCACACTGTCTCCAAGGGCCTGTCATGACAGATTCTGTTGTGATAGCATCCCTGTTCATGAGTGGTTTCACCGTCCTCATTACTGCACGGAGACAGCTCGCCAGACACCCAGCTGCAGGACCTGGGGCCTGGCAGGCTTTTGGGGCTAATGCTACATACGTGGGGCCCCGGTGTCGCTCAGGCTGGCCAGAGAAACAGAACAAGTGTGAGATCTCCAGGAGACAGCAGCATCTACAGGAGATGGAGAGATATATACAGGCTGTATATGTACACACGGAGAGGGGAGGTTTATTTTAAGGATTTGGCTTGTGCGACTGTGGGGGCTGGCAAGCCTGAAGTCCAAGTGAGGGCTGGAAGCTCAGGCAAGGTTTCCATGTTGCAATCTTGAAGCCAAATCCCTTCTTCTCTGAGAAGCCGCAGTCTTTGCTCTTAAAGCCTTTAGCTGACTGTATGAGACCTGCCCGCCCCGGGGAGGTCATCTGCTGGATTCATCAAAGTCCGCTGGCCATACATGTGAATCCCGTCCATAAAGTACCTTCCTGGCAGCATCCAGAAGTGTGGTGACCAAACACGTGGGGCATCATAGCCCGGCCCAGCCCAGCTGCCACCTTCAGTGACCCCTGGCGGTCCCTTCGAAGGGCGTTCATACCTGTCCACACACCTGCAAGTGTTCATCTTGATACACATGCACCTGTGCTGAGTGTGGGTGGGACTTGCTGTTTTAGTCGTGATATTGAGATCAAGAGAATTTGAACTTCCTGTCACATGTTTCTAGGGCATGAGGAATGTGAAGAGCTCAGTGAGGTCAGACCTCTATGGTGGCCCTGGGCTTGAGAAGAAGGAAGGAGGCTCTAGAAGGGAGGCAGGTGACACCTGGCCACCTGGCGTGGCCTGGTCCTCAGGCTCTGGGCACCAGCCAGCCTCACTTTCCAGGCCTTTCCACATTTCTGCAGCCCCCAGGAAGGGGCTCTATGCTCACAGGGCACCAGCCTTGTTGGGGAGGGGGGTGCAGGGTGGGGTTTGGAATCAGGCAGATTTGGGTTCCTGATCTCGGCCTGAGGTTGACCAGCTGTGTGGCCCCTTGAGCAAGGTCTCACCTCGGTCTTCAGCCATAGGACAGGTGGTTCACACCTGCAGGTCCTCGGCCAGTGGCCCCAGGTGGGCAAAGCTGTTCTCTCCATCCTCATGATGTTGCCATGGTTGCTGATGGGCGTGTCCTACCCTGCATGTCGTGGGCATTTGGGACCTGCTCCACCGTGCCTGTGAGTCACCTCATGAGTTCCAGTCCTCCTAGGAGCTGGCAGACCCGTTCTTGTCTCACCAGGTCTATGGGGCACGTGAGAGGTAGCAAGGGGCCGGGTACAGATTGCAGGCTTTGCAGATGTTTTAGTGAATGGGTGGATAGTGCCAGCTCAGCAAACCCAGGCCCCCACTCCCTCCCACCTTTCACCGCAAAGCTCACCCAATTTGCTGTGAAAGTGGTTGGAAGGGCGGGGTCAGATCCTATAACATCTCCTCACTGACTCAGCTTACCCAGGCAGTTGCTCCATCATTAACCCAGGGCATCATGCTCTTCCAGCAACCACAGGGACCACTGGCACTCCAGGCCGAACCCACATTGACAGTGACTCGGCAGCTGCCAAAAGTCCACTCAAGACATTTGGCTTATGAGGGACGGACAGCACGTGGCACATGCCATATGCCACACGCCGACTCCCTAGCCCCCCAGCAGCCTCACTCTCCTTCCCACGTTTCTGTCAGCCCTGGCTTGAGATCTTGAAAGCCTCCTGATTCCTGCTCATAGTCCAATCACTGGAGGCTGTGTGTGTGTGTGCGTGTGTGGGTGAGTGTGTGTGTGTGTGTGTGTGTGTGCGCGCGCGCATGCGTGCGTGTGTGTGAGAGAGAGAGAGTCCCGCCTTTGTTGACAACAAGTCTAGTTCATTAAATAGCAATACGCATGCCGTGGAGGGGAGGGTTGAGGTCCAGGCTTCAGGCCAAGGCCCCCCAGCGTAGGCTGTCAACCACATGACATGTGACCTTGCAGTGTCCTTGGCAGCTCTGTGTTCCGCCATCCTTGCTTGAAACACTGGGCTCTAGGACTTCACTGACAGGAGTCGCCAGGATCAGACACAACACCATGAAAACACTGGGCCTGGAGCAGGTGCCCGGAGCCGCCGAGGTGGACTTCCTTCCTGCTCTTTCTCTCTAATTTCATTAATTCCTCATTGAACAAGTCATCCATGAATACATTCTCTTGTAAACAATTTAAAGCTTCCCCAGAAGGCTGGAGACCCCCTCCAGAGCTCACCCTGCGGTGGCTGCGGTGTGCCCTCTGGGGCCCTTATCTGCGCATCACACGGTTGGATGCCCCCACAGGACGTGCGGGTGGGTGCCGGCGCTTCGCGGGCGCTTACATCCGTGGCCTATGCCGTGCAGGTCCCCGCACGGCTCCTGCCTTCCTCCAGCAGTGTGTCTGGACGCTTATTCCCAGCAGGGCTGTGGAGCCATCGCTTTCGGCGGGAACCCTGCCTGCTGTCCCACAGAAGGGCTGTTGCTTTTGGCGGGAACCCTGCCTGCTGCCCCACAGAGGAGCCAGCTTGACTGGCTTCCTCCTGGTGCTGGGCATGCATGTGGCTCCTGAGCTTTGTGGTTACAAGCGGTGCCGTGGCGGCATCTCCATCCTCACCTCTCGGGCACACACGTGGATTTCTCAGGGGCAGACACGGATGCAGAGAAGTAATCGCTCAGTCCCGGGTGATCATTGTCACCGTAGGAGAGGCTCCCCGACTGCACTCTGCAGCTGCCATGAGGATTGAGTCCACGTCCATCTATTTCATGGCTGTGTCCCCAACACCCACTTAGTGTTCAGCAAATATTTATGGAATGAATGAACACAGAGATAAATGAATGATTTGTTTTCCTTTCAACAGCAGTGTGCTCCACACCCCCACATCTGGTGCTGAAGATGAAATGTGTCCTCACACATGCATACGGGCTGCGGCCGGGTTGGACAGAATGGTTCTGGGAAAAAAAAAAGTTTTCTTTTATTTCCATATAAAATAAACCAGGCACTTATCAAACAGAACGCGGAAGCCCCTTACCTCTTAGTAAATGTTCTCAAACATAGCACGGGTTGTTTTTATATCCCCAGACCCGGGACATTAAACACGGCATTAATGATGTGGTCCCAGGGTTAGGCTAAAACACCAGAAGGAGATGTGCGTGCAGAGTGTCAGCCCAGCTCCAATGCTTCCTTCCCACGGCTGTGATTTAGTGTTATGTCCCCGGCTTTTATAGAGGGATATAATATGAACATCCATTTGAAGAATGTCATGCTGTCTTTTGCAAAACTATAATCTCAAAGATGTCCACGCTGTGGGAGAAAGTTTCCTGTGAGAAGGCGCATGGCATAAATCCCTCCTAAGCATGCTGCCCTCCAAGACGCACACACAGGCTCCACATTGGCTGTGGGGTAAGACACGCCTGGTTGCAATCCCCAGGCACACCCTGCACATGCCGTGCAACTCTGCACTGGTCCATTAGCCTCTGGTGACCCCAAGTCACTTCACAGTGGGGACAACACCAAGCTCAGAGCCCATCTCCAGACACAGTGAGTTGAGGCTTAGGAACCACCTCTGCAGAGTCCTGACCTCCTCCTGGAGACTTCCCGATTCATCAGTCCCAGGGAGCCACAGCACCTAGTGAAGGAAAGAAGCGCTGGACTCAGCCTTTAGGTGTGCACAGCACCCTGGGCTCTGGGAGCCACGCCTCCTGCATTTCATTGTCCTGCCCCAGTCCCCCTTTGGGTGGTCTCTATCCTGCACAGGAAGAAAGAGAGATCCAGGGAGGCTGAGTCCCTGCCCGATGCTGCCAGTCTCTCTGGCACAGCAGGGTCGGGACCTGACTTGTGTTGCTGGCTTGCACTTGTGGACTGCAGCGCCACCAGCCACAGCAGCCCCGCTGGCCACGTTTGCTCCCTCCAGGGGCCATCTCAGGACGTCCTGCCCCAGCTCAGCCAGCCTCCAGCAGGGTTTCTTCCAAGTGGCTTCAGGCTGAAGGGTGAGCCGGGCAGGGCACAGGCAGAGAGGGCCAGAGGAGGAGGCGGCTGGGGGCTGCGGTTCTGGCTTTGGGGAGAGGTCACAGCAGTGCTCAGAGGATGGTCAAGGCAATTGTTTTAATGTCATGCATCGTTGCCTCAGGAGCGCCCTCTGGGAGGCCACTCGCTCCCGGACCACTTATGAGACTCCTATAACTTTGACGATGGATTAGGTGGAAGTGCCATTGATCGGAATCTGGAGCAGCTGGTGTCTGGTCGTTTGCCCAGTGTCTGGATGCTGTGGTCCCCAGGCCCTTTTCTGGGCCCTGCACCCTCGGCTTCTCACTCAAGGCCTCTTTCCACTCTGTTTTCTGAGCCACCAGTGCTGCCGGTCAGAGGCAGCACTGACCCAGCAGTGGCCGAGGAGAGAAGAGCGCAGAACAGAGCCTGGCTCCGATGTCAGCTGCCACTTGCTAGGGTACACACAACTCAGGCACCCTGCTCACCTCCGTGGACAATGGCCAGAGAAGGGCCCAGAGCGGGGAATGTGGAGTTCCACTGGGTTTGCTCCCACCCCCACTGGGCAAAATCCATAACCTGGTCCATGTCCTGGAGAAAGTCACGCCCACTCTCTGTAGCCCCGCCCACCCAAGAGGCCCCGCCCATTTCCTGCAGCCCATGCTCCCCACACCAGGCGATGGGCTGCTCCTCCCCTTTTCTTCTGGCTGCTGAGAGACACTCTGCATTTTGCCCTTTTTGGAAGGCTCTGAAATGAATCAAAAGAGACTCTGAGGTCACTGAATCCACAGCTAGACACCCTCTCCCGTGCTCCCATCCTGAAGGCTCCAGTTGCTGGGAGCACACAGCCCGCCCAGAGGCTGCAAGAGAGCCCAGGCACCACATGTGACCCAGGGCTGCAGCCCCCGCTGTTTTTAGGGGCTTAGGTCTGGGAAACCTGGGTCTGAGGTGGGTCTGCTCCCAGCAAGCCAGGCACCGACTGTGTAAGTCGAGAACCCTCGGGGCCTCTGCCGCCCGCGTTGCAGAAGCTGCAGGGTTTTCTGCGTTCCTCCCAGCAGGGCCTGCCTGCTGAGGCACCTGCCCAGGTGACTGTCTGTGGGCCCTTCTGGGTACACTGTGTACCCCTTCTGGGGTGCAGCCACAGCTGCCTGTGCCCGGCGCTGCTTGGGCCTGCTGAGGCCTGTGCCTGACGGCCTCTGAGGGGGTAGGAGGAGCAAGGCCCCGCACCTTCCTGAGGCTGCACAGCTTTCTTAAGCCCAGGCCAGCCCCATCAAAGCAGCCCCGGCCTGTGAACAAAGCGGCCCCCATGATAGCCTGTCCTCCACGCTGAAGCCTGACTCCCTGGAAATCAAAGCACGCTCGCCCACTTTTATTGAGATTGTAATCCCAGGAGGCAGCACAAGGGAGAAAGGAAAGTGAGGCTGCAGAAAGGTCAGGCAGGCAGGCAAGCAGGGTGTCTGAGAGCTGGAGGCCAGGCCGCTCCAGGGAGGCCACGGAGGCCTGCATCCCACCCACTCCTCCAGAGGGCAAGTCCCCTGCCTCCGAGAGCCCCTCGTCCTGTGTCGACGCTGCTGCAGGACGTCAGCTCCGGTCTGGCCGCCTGGCCTTCCCGTGTCCCCTGGTGATAGGTGGGGATGCACCCGGGGAACAGGTAGAGCGCCTGCCTTGATTGATTGCCTTGATTGACTGCCCGGGCAGTGCTGGGGAGCAACACCTCCTGTCTGCAGAATGAGGAACATGGTGGGAGCCAGGAGACCTCAGAGGAGCCTTGGAGACATCCAGAACACCATGGCCGAGCCAACCGGGGATGCAGAACCTGGGTCCCTCCTGCCTGGTCCTTACCGGAGCCCTCCCTGGGCACGTTTATCCCCGTCCCAATACCTTCTTCCCTTGTCATTTCTTAATAGTCCTGATAAATAAACCAAATGCTGGGGTCCCTAAGAGGACCCAACCAAGAGCACCCCTCTTCCTTCCCAGGTCCTGAGAAATTGAAAAGATTTTGAAATGCAGTGACAGGTTGGCCCCCAAATATCACCTTCAGTACTGGAGGATGTGGCTTTGGGTTTGTCAGCCAAGGGGACCACTACCTGGCCCCTTGGCTGACAAATGAATGAGGGACTCCCAGCAGTGACAGCACGCCCCCAGAATGAGGGCCCCCAGCATTGACAGCACCCCCCGACACATCGGAGAAGCCCCTGGAGGAGCAGTGGAGCGTGCAGGCTGCCTACGGGGCCTCGCCTCCGAGGGAAGCCCCATTTATTCCCCAGCGCACCCGCCAGATGCACACTGATCCTCTTCGGGAGGGGCTGAGGCTGGGGTTGCTGCCTCGGTGGGGTCCCCTTCACACAGAGGGAGCCTCAGGCATAAAAACAAGCCCCCCAGCAGACATCACCACTCCCTCTGTCTGCTCACCCACTTCCTCAGCCCCAGCCCTGCCTGGTGCTATATTTGGCTCCTGCCCCTCTGCAGACCTCTGCCCTCTTTGTCTGTCCTGGGCTGTAGGGACAGCTCCCAACCAGCTGAGCTGGTGACGCACAGCCGCTCACCCAGTGCCTGCTGACCATCTCCAGCATGTGAGGACCCGTGGCTGATCCCCTCAGCACTCATTTCTGCAGCTGCCAGGGTCCGCCAGGCTGGGGCCCCCACGCTGAGTTAGCCTCTCCTTTTGCTGGGCCCCCGTGAAATGGTGGCACTCTTAGTCATGGATGATGTTCACTTATTTGCCATCCCTTCCCCAGCCCTGGACCGTGCCAGGTACTGGGTCTTACTCATCTCTGCGTCTCACTGTGTGACACAGAGCGTGCTGTTGATGCTTGTCAGAGCACATTTCTCAGGCTCCCGGGAGACACGGTTGAGCAGCAAATGAAAGGACATTGTCCTGCTGCAGGTGCCCAGGTGTCAACGGCTCCCAGGATGGAGAGCTGGGGCTCCAGGGTGTCACTGTCCTGATGTTCTAGAGACACAGGCAGGCTGGCTCCTGTCTGGCTGCTCCCCAGGGGCTGTCACACAAGCCGTTTATGGCACTGTGATCATGAATGGGGGTCCACGGCTGGCTGGTGGGTGTTTAGAATAGCCTTCCCAAGAGCTCCCCTTGGGTGGAGTGTCATGGTGGTTAAATGCGTGTATATCCTGGTCTGCAGGGTCCCCTGGGTCCTGGGTGCTGTCTCGGATGGGCTGTCCTGGAAAGACCAGCAGACCGTAGCATGGCCGCATGACAGGTGCATGACCCCATGCCAGGTAACACGACTACATGCCAGGGACCTGACCCCACACCGATGGCACATGGGACCCCATCTGCGAGGGTGGGTGAGGTGTGTGCATAAACACAATACCAGCTGGGAGGGTCTGGGCACTGCAGGAGAGGGGCCCAGTTTGGGTTCCCCCAGAAGCGGGCTGCATGGCATGGGTTCAAGTTGGGGTCGTTTATTTAGGAAGTGACATCAGGAAATGCAGGTAGCGAAGTGGGTAAGGGAGGCAAGAAAGGAGCGGCGGGCAGCAAGGGTAAGCTGTGTCGCCAGTCATGTGGGGGCCGGGGGTTCCACCCCACAGGGAATGCTACCGGACAGCAGTGCTGAGCACGAGGTGGCTGGGGAATCTCCCACTGAGGAGTGAGGGAGGGAGCTGGGGTGTGTACGCACCCCACCCTGAGTTGTGGCTGAGGGGAGCTCCCTGGGGGTGTCTCTCCCAGGCATGTCTGCAAAGTGGTTCTGGCTGGAAGAAAGCCTCGTGCAGAAAGATGCAGATACAGGGGATGGGAGTTGAGGGGAGCAGAGAGGATAAGGATGGGGAGAGTGTTATGGGCTGAATGGGGCCCCCAGGAAAACATGTCCACATCCTAATCCTCAGAATCTGTGCCTGGGCCTTATCTGGAAAAAGGGTCTTTGTAGCTGTAATTGATTAAGAAGGAAAGAGAGGGCCATGTGGAGACGGAGGCAGAGATTGGAGGATGCGGCCACGAGGCAAGGAGTACCTGGAGCCACCAGAAGCTGGAAGAGGCAGGAGGAAGCCTGCCCTCAAGCCTTTGGAGAGAGTGTGGCCCTCCTGGCACCTGGATGTTAGACTTCCAGCCTCCAGAGCCGAGGGAATCAACGTCTGTAGTTTAAAGCCACCCAGTTTGTGGTCGCGTGTTTTGGCAGCCACAGGCCACTCATGCACGGGCCAGCGGGCACTGGCAGCTCTTGCCACAGAGAGCCACATGGCGTCTGGGGAGGAGACACTCACTCGACCCAGAAGGACTTGGAGCAAGCCTGGAGGTGGAGCTGGCCTGGGCCCTGGGAGCTGTAGGGGGAGCCATGTGACAGCCAGCCAGGCCCCACCCAGAGGGTCTGAGTCCCAGGCTGAGGGGCTTGGATGAAGCTCGGTGTCACTGGGAGCCATGGGGGCCAGAAGCAGGAGCAGTGCCTGGGGTCCGTCTTGAGGCATCTTCTGGGTAGAAATGGTTTCCGTTAAAGCCAGACACTCAGCCAAATGAATCTTCATTTAATCCTCATTCTGGGCCTGGTTCCTGTTATTATGCCCTATTTGTAGCTTAGGAAGTAGACTCAGAGATGTTCATTTCTTTGCTGAGATCACACAGCCTGTAGGTGCCAGGGCCGAGGCTGCTGCTGTGCTCTCTGCTGTGGCCACGCCAGTGGCTCTGCTGTGCTCTCTGCTGTGCTCTGCTGGGCTCTGCTGTGCTGTGCTCTGCTGGGCTGTGCTGTGCTCTCTGCTGTGCTGTGCTGAGCTCTGCTGTGCTCTCTGCTCTGCTCTGCTGGGCTCTGCTGTGCTGTGCTGTGCTCTCTGCTGTGCTCTCTGCTGTGCTGTGCTGTGCTATGCTCTGCTGTGCTGTGCTCTCTGCTGTGCTCTCTGCTCTGCTGTGCTCTCTGCTGTGCTCTGCTGTGCTCTCTGCTGTGCTCTGCTGTGCTCCCTGCTGTGCTGTGCTCTCTGCTGTGCTGTGCTCTCTGCTGTGCTGTGCTGTGCTCTGCTGTGCTCTCTGTTGTGCTGGGCTGTGCTGCTTCTCGACAGCTGTGGAGGATGTGGACCGAGGGCCAGGCAGCTCCTTCTCCTCCTCACTCAGAGGTCCCGGAGGAGTGAGCCAGAGGCAGAGGAGCAGACATGGGGAAGCGGGAATGTTGGCTTCAGTGCTGATGGAGCTCCTTGAAGCCGCAAGCTTGGAAGGGCAGGTGGGTGGATGGTGGGCTTCTATGAGCCCACACACCCTGCAGATGACTACCTTGTCCCCAAGGACCCTTGGAGCCGTGGAGCATGCAAACATCAGGGGGACAGGAGGCTCTAAAGAGAGCACCTTCTCCCAGATCTGACCTCAGCACTACCCCTCGTTGTCCCTTGGGAAGGGACAGGGAAAGGGGTGGAGGGAGCCTGGAGTTTTGCCACAGGAAAGACCTCAAGGACATGAGCCCAAGCAAGAAAGCCCCCCAGGAGCTCTAAGTGGAAACCCAAGACTTTCGTTTGATTGACTGATGGAAAATTCAGTTTATTAACTGAGAATAAAAGCTGAGAACTCATCTAAATAGTCACGAGTTCCTGAGGAATAGAACCAGGAAGGCTGAGCTCTATGGGATGCATCGCAGCATGACATGGATGCCGAGGGCCTGTGTATCCTGGGCTCTTCTTGCGTGCTTTCCCGATGGTGAGCTCATTACCAGCATCACTGCCCATGTCGCTGGTGGATGCTTCATGCTGGTCTCTGTAACATCCACCCTTTTGTGGCGGTTCCTTCCTCAGAACCCTCAGGATTGGCCTTCTTCTTTCCCCTCTAAGAATCCCTGTGCAGTTGAGGTCCAGGTGGTTTCCGTTAGTTCTGTTAGTGCAGTGACAGCCTGTTGTATTCTGCTGCTCAAACACAAACACGTGGCCAGCAGTACACATAACCGAAGCGGTCCTAGCCCCTTCCTCCCTCCCTCAGGCCCGACAACATCTGCCTGGAGATGCGGCTCCCTCCAACCTGTCCTTATCCACCAGGCTTGTTTCATGGACCCTTTGCCATCCTGGTCAAAGTCTTCACAACGCCCTGTTTGTCAAGGCCCCCTCTTAAACTGTGGGTCCTAGAACTGCACCTTGGGCTTCAGGAATAGTTTGGGCAGCCTTGGAGTCAAGCTGCATTCTCTAAGGCTTGGACAGGAAGGGGCTGAGCACCTCTTCTGGGAGGGGAAGCGACGCCCCTGGAGGGGAGGTCCCTGAGGATTCCTAGGGGCCCACAGAATGGTGCACTCTGTGTGGGGGAGGGGCAGCCACCCGTTGCCCTGGCCTGTGGAGAGCGCTTGGTGAGTTGAAGCTGCCATCAGAAAATCAGGTTGGAAGCCAGAGGAAGCTGTAAGTTTCGTGCAATTTCATGCTCAGCGGGGCTGACACATGCACGGGGAATTTGGCATGATGGATGGGCCCGGTGGGTGCCGTTGAGAGCCATGGAGCTCATGGGAGCCAAAGGCCTGGGCCAGCATTGCTGAGCAGACCTCGAGCTTCTCCAGTTGGGCTGCCGCCATGCCAGCCTGGCCCGTTAGCACTCACAGATGGTCTCTGCGATGGTGAGCATGGCAAGAGACAGGCAGGCGCCACGTGTGAGCCGGGTGAGGGATTCCAGCAGCACTTATGGAACAACCACCAGGCTCTAGCCCTGAACGAGGTGCTGCAGGCGGAAAAGACAGGTGCTGTAGGTATCCCAGGGGCACTCAGACCAGCTGGTGGGACCCCAGGGCCAGTTCTGCTCTCATTGCACCCTCTACGTTGCATCGAGCCTGTCTCTTCTGCCTCTGCCATCAGCCTGGACTCATCCGAGTCCATCACCTGCAAAGCTTCCCCTGCTGTGGAAGGCTTCATCTGTGTCTCCTCAGCAAATGCACCGTGCTGCCTGGCACACAGTGGCTCTTCTCCAAATGCTTGCAGACTTGAGCTAAGCATGGGGGTGGGGGTGTCGGATCAAATAGTGCCCCCCCCAAAATTCATGTCCACCTAGAACCTCAAAATAAATGTGACCTTATTTAAAAATAGGGTCACATTACAGATGTAAGTTAAGATGGGGTCACACAGGATGAGGATGGGCCCTACGCCCAATAACTGGTGTCGTTAAAAAGAAAGGAGAAGAGACACAGAGACAGCGACGTGGAGGGAGAAAAAGGCTATGTGAAGATAGAAGCTGAAGTTGGAGTGAGGCAGCCACAAGCTGGGGACGCCAAGGCAGTCACCTGCGACCACCAGAGGCTGGAAGAGAGGCCTGGAACACATCCTTCCTCAGGGGCTCCAAGGAACCACCTTGCCCACAACTGCACTTCAGACTTCCAGCCTCAGAATCCAGGAGGGAATACACCTCTGTGGCTTTAAGCCACCAAGTCTGTGGTCATTTCTTCTGGCAGCCCTCAGAGACTACAGGGTGAGGAGGACGTGAAGACCCTGGGAAGGAAGTGAGAGTCACGGTGTTGATCATGAAGGGCTGAGCTCTGCATGTGACAACAACCCCACATCTCCATGGCTTAAGCCATAGCGGTTTCCTCTCATGCCCTCATAGGTCAGCAGGGTGCATGGCTCACCAGAGCCACTCAGGGACAGGCTGGCAGGAGGGCTGCACCCCGAAAGTCTGCACCTCCAGAGGAGGGCATGGTGCACCAGCAAGTTAACGTGGATGCTGCCAGGAGCACATCCTTTCTGCACAGTGCTCCTTGGCTACAGCCAGCACATGGCTCCACCTCACCAAGAGGGAGACAGAGGGAGGTCTCCTTTGTGCTTAGAAGGGGAGGGGACCTTGGAACCAGTGACAAGCATTGACATCCACCACAGTCACCAAGGACAAAAACTATCCTGGTCTCAGGACCTCTCACCTGGGAATCCCCATGACACACTCCTCCCTGCATCCATCCACAGTGCAAGGCTGTGGAAACAAGTGTGGGGGTGGCTTTGAATCCTGGCCTGTCACAACCCTCAGCACAAACTAGTCTAGCTCTGATTCATTAGCACTGGTGAAGGAATGAAGGAAGGGGAGAAGGATGGGTGGTGACGGATGGATGGATGGATAGTGGGCGGACTGGGGATAGATGAATGGATGGATGGATGGATGGACGGATGGGTGTGTGAGTGAGGGGATGAATGGATGGATGGATAGTGGGTGGACTGGGGATGGATGAATGGATGGGTGGGTGGGTGGGTGGATGGGTGGATGGATGGATTGTGAATGAGGGGATGAATGGATGGATGGATAGTGGGTGGACTGGGGATAGATGAATGGATGGATGGATGAATGTGTGAGTGAGGGGATGAATGGATGGATGGATAGGGTGGACTGGGGATGGATGAATGGATGGGTGGATGGGTGGATGTGTGAGTGAGGGGATGAATGGATGGATGGATAGTGGGTGGACTGGAGATGGATGAATGGATGGGTGGATGGGTGGGGGGGTGAGTGGATGGTGGATGGGTGGGTGGATGGATGGATGTGTGAGTGAGGGGATGAATGGATGCATGGATAATGGGTGGGTTGGGGTTGGATGAATGGATAGGTACACGGGTAGATGGTGGGTGGATGGGTGGATGGATGGGTGGATGAGTGGATAGTGGGTGGATGGGTGGATGGTGGGTAGATGTGTGGACAATTGGGTGTGTGGATGGATGGGTGGGTGTGTGGATGGATGGTGTGTGAATGAACGGATGGATGGATGGTGGGTGGGCAGATGATGGAGGAATAGATTCATTTTTGTTTATTTTGTACCACATGTTTTCATGAATTATGTAATTTATCCTCGTGGCCCCATGTTATCATGGTTTCTAATGGACAATCAAGGAGGCTGAAGTCGAGATGCCTAGCTGGTGTTTCCAGGGTCTCACTGGAAGTGCAGGGTAACTGAGGTGGGATGTAAGCCCAGCCCATGCATGGTCAGGACAGGGTTTACAGCTGGGCTTCCCAAGCTGAGCTGACACTCAGCTCTGCCACTTAGCAGCTGCAAAATCTTGGGCAGGTGGCTTGATCTTCTAGCCCTCAATTTACATATTTTCCCATCTGTGAACAATATACTGTTCCTCATAAGAATTATTTGAGTATTAAATGAAATGTTGTTTATTATTCTGTTATCTCATGGGGACATTTTGGGGAGAAGGAAGATAGGAGGGTTGTAGCTGTGATGGCTATAGGAGACTGAGCTGGCCCAAGTGTGGACCATACGCTTCCCCTCTCTGGGGTTGGGGGAAGGGCTGGGGGAGGGTGTGGGGCGAAGTCACTTCTGCAGCCTCACGAAAGCTGCCATGGCCAGTGCTGTGACCCTGACCCATTATCTTAGGCAGGGAGGGGTGCTCTTGGGCCAAGGCTCCCAGCAGGTGCACCCAGGGGCTATGAGGCTGGACATTTTGTCCCTTCACAGCGGCCAGCAGCAGAGACTTGTGGATCCCAGGCAGGACTGAGAACAAGATGGCAGCCCAGATCAGATCCTCCCAGGATGAGCCCCAGAGGAGGGGACTGAGGCGGAATCCCAGAACAGCAAGGGACTGGGCCAACAGGTGAGAACCAAGTTCTGTCAACAGGAGATAAGGCAGCCAGGGAGGTGGTGTGGGCCAGCCCAGCCCTCACGCCCAATCCACCACGGCAGACACACAGTTGAGGCCCTGGACCACTAGAAACAGAGCCCAACATGGTGCATCTGACTAAGGGAAAGAAGCCACTCCCAAAAGGCCACATATGGTAAGATTCCGACTCTAGGACATTCTGGAAGAGGCGAAACAGCGGAGAAGATGAAAGGATCAGTGGCTGCCAGGGGCTGGGGGAGGGACGAATCAGGGAGCCCAGAGGATTTTTAGGGCAGTGACACTGCTCTGTTCGACATGACAATGGCGGAAACAAGTCCCATGCATTTGTGCAGACCCACAGAGCACGCACCAGCCAGAGTGAGCCCTGATGGAGGCTGCAGGCTCAGAGCGAGGGCGACGCCTCACTGCAGGCTCATCGGTCGTGATACTCACACCACTCGGGCAGGGTATTGAGAGAGGGGAGGCTGTGCATATGTGGGGTGGAAGGTATGTGGGGAATCTCTGACTTTTTGCTTAATTTTGCTGTGAACCTAAAACTGCCCTAAAAATAAAGTGTATGAAAACAAACAAAAGGTCAGAAACGAAGCGCTAGGGCCTCCACCTGGAACAGAAGGCCAGGGCTGGGTGTGGCTCTGGGCACAGCAAGAGGACTGTCCAATGGTCATTTCACAAGATCATCACCTTCCGCTGTCCAGCTTGTGACTCTGAGGCTCAAGGAAGGGAAGGGGAGGATCCCTTCCCCTCTGAGTCCCCATCCAGGCTCTTTCTTGGGTGCTCCCTAGCCTGAGAAGGCAGGATTCCAGCCTGGGCCAGGAGTCCCAGCTGCAGGAGAGCTGCCCCGACCGTGGTCTGCAGAGCTGGTGGCCCTGGCACACTCTCCTGGAACTCCACCCTGACCTGATCCAGGCAGGCCTGCTGCTCTCTCTATCCCTGACTCTCACATTTAGGCCAGACACCCCTTCCCTGCTGGACACCGTCCAGGTGCTGGGATGTAAAGGTGAACAAGATGCACAGAAGCCTGCCCTGGGAAGCTCACGGTCTGGTGAGGGCACCCTCCACGCACAAGGCCGCACATGCATATGCACCCACCTGATGTGTGGTGGCACGCTGGAGTCAGTGCCATGTCGGCTACCGTGTGGAAGGAGATAGGCTAACGAGGGGGCAGTGGGGAGGCCGTGCCAAGGTGGACATGGGTACGAGGCCTGAAGGCTGGTCCGACCTAGCTATCCCAGAAGCATGGGCCCAGGTCGTGGGGGTGGCATGTGCCAATGCCCCAGGGCAGAGAGGGGTTCCAGCAGAGAGGTGGGCAAAGCCAGGTCCTGGGGGTCTGGTAAGGAGCTTGGGTACAAGTCCAGGGCAGAGGAAGTCATCGATGGCCTGTGTTTCAGAGGACTCTGGCTGCTGGGAGAGTGGGTGGAGTGAGTGAGGGGCCAGCTGGAGATGCTAGGGATGATGTCACAACCCCGGGGAGGGGCGTGCATGGAGACAGTGGAGCTGGGAGAAGTGGGAAGACAGCAGAGGGACAGGGATTCGCAGGTAAGATGCTGGCGGTGGTAAGGAGAGACAAGACTTGTAGATGCCTGCCCAGGGTCCCCCACAGCAAACCTGAGACAGGATTGTGGGCAGGTGTTCTGCTTGGGAGGAGTTCCAGAGGCACTGTGGGGTTGGGAAGTGAGACCCTGGAGAGAGAAGACAGCAGAGCCCTGTCACTAGGCTGTTACCTGTTAGAAGGATCCTCTGGGATTGTGGAGAACCGGCCCTGGCACTTTCCCAACGGAGTTCTCAGGCTACCAGCCACCGTCATGTGGGTTAGCACTCTGCCATTTCCTCCCACCCAACCTAGGGAAGACCATGATCAGGAGGCCGGAGAATGTCTCAGGTAGACAGAGGGGGAGGTGAGGACGCCTCAGGTGGAGAGAGGGAGAATTAGCGAAAGAAGATGCATAGGCAGAGGGAGAGAAATAGGGGATGAAGGTGCCTCAGGTAGAGGGAGAGAATTAGGGGGTGAAGTGCGTCAGGTGGAGAGGCAGGAGTCAGCAGGACCTGCAGGTGACCTGGGAGGCTGACAGGATGTGGCTGGCCACAGGAGAATCTCCTTTCTTGCCTTACTCATGGCCCTGGGCCTCTGGCCTGAGGCTGAGCGTGAGCCCATTTCCTGGCATGGGGAAGGATGCATGGGGGAGTTTGGAAGGACAGTAAGAAGGGTGGGGTCCATGTTAGCCCCGGGGAGCTGTATTCGTCATAGCTCCTCAGAGAGGCAGAACAAATTACATATGGAGAGAGAGACATGTAAGAGGAGGTGTGTCGTGGGAATTGTCTCCCGTGACCGTGGAGGCTGAGGAGGCCCTGATCTGCTGTCTGCAGGCTGGAACCCCCAGGAAGCCCACGGTGGGGTCCAGCTCTGTTCGTGCTGTGGATGGTCAGATGCTGCCCACCCCCTTTGGTGGAGACGGGTCATCTCCACTCCATCCACGAACACATACTAATCAATCTCCTCTGGAATCACCCACGTGATCACAGAAATGACGTTTCACCAGCCGTTGGGCAGCCCTCAGTCCAGTGAAGGCGAAGCACAGGGGGACCCAGCAGAGCAGCCCAGCCCCGTCATGAGTCAGTCAGCTCTGCACAAAGCCAAAGAGGCAGCCATTCAACTCGCACCTCACGTCTGGTGCAAATCCTGTTTCGGGACACGGCTCCAGGCCCCCTTCCTGCAGACGTCTTCCCGAGCTTCTCCCATGCGAAGATCCCGGAGCGTCCAAGGGTGAGCGTGTATGTGAAGGGAAGGGCCTGTGAGGTGGGAGGAAAGTCAGGAGTTCCATATGGGGCACATCTAGCTTTAGGGGACATCAGATGCCCCCATGCAGGACAGCTGGGTGATGCATTGGGACAGCTGCTGGGACATCTATGAGCTGGAGTCATCTAGGTAGGGCCCTATGTCTTGCACATGGTCTTTGAGTATAACGTCTTAAGAATGTTTCCATTTGGGACATATTTATACTCAAACATTGTTTGAGAATAGTTTATTTGAGTATATTTATACTCAAACATTGTCAGAAAGTCAGATTTAGTGGCTGGGTGTGGTGGCTCATGCCTGTGATCCAGCACTTTGAGAAGCCAAGGCAGGAGGATCACTTGAGACTAGGAGTTTAAGACCAGCCTGGACAACATAGCAAGACCCTGTCTCTACAAAAATTAAAATTAAAAAATGAGCTGGGTGTGCTGGTGCATACCTGAAGTCCTGGAGGGTGAGGCAGGAAGATCGCTTGAGCCCAGGATTTGGAGACTTCAGTGAGCTGTGATCACACCACTACACCCTGTCTGGGTGACACAGCAAGACCTTGTCTCTACCTTTAAAAATTAAATTAATTTTTAAAAAGGAGAGGTTCAAATTTAACTGGGCATTCTGTATTTTCTCTGGTGACCCTGAGGGGATGTCCGTTAGAGGAATCGGGACAGCACAGAAGATTCCTGTTCTTACAGTGAAAGGGCCTCAGGGCAGGGGTGGCTGGGGTGGCTGGGAGGGTGTGGGTGCCAGGCTGCGCGGGGCCCTGGAGAGGGTGCACTGTGTTCCCGGGTGATGGGCAGTCATTCAAGACCAGGAGCGAGAGAATGGCACCTCTCAGTGTATGCTTTGTAAAGATCAGTCTGGCCATTGGGGCAGAGAGGAAAAAAAGAGTCTGGTTCAGGGGGGATATGGTCAGGGCAGCCGGGAGTCCAGGGAGGAGGCTGCTGTGCTCCCTGGAGGGGAGAGGGTGGTGGGTGGTGCTGGCAGTGGCAACAGAGAGGCCTTTGCAGGTTGCCTTGATGGAGGAGAAAGAGAGATGAAATAACATTCCTGTTTCCACCTTCTGGCGAGTAGGATCCAGATTCCGCATGAGGAGTGGGGGGCTTCCCCAAGGAAGGGGCTGCTGGCTGAGAGAGGGGGATCTCTCCCTGAGACGGTGGGTGCTTGCAGGAGGGGCCGCCGGCCTCCCAACACGAGAAGAAGCAGTGGAGGGTAGAGAAGGAACGGCTTATCCAGGAGACCCCCTCTTCCCAGCACAGACAGCTCACCCCTCAGTGTGGCCCTGCACCTGCCCCTCTGTCCCGGGGTAGAAGGGAGGTCTGCAGCTCTGAGAAGCCACAACAGCCCCCAACTCGACAGCCAGGACCCCGGAGCCGCGCAATTTCACATTGACGAGATGCGTCCCACTCAGGGTCTTTGTGTGAGCAAAACGTTCTTTTTCTGATTCCATTCTTTTTCATACAAAGAAAAAGTCTCATAAAAGGGCCCAAAGCCACAGCGATTCGTCTCCAACTCATTTCAGAGTTTCAATTATCTAAATTATTGCTTTGCCCTGGCAGAAAAGGAAGAGGCTCTATTTTTAAAGTCACTGGGAGATAAGTGCCGGGTTGCCTCCCCTGTCAACAATGCATAAGAATTTTGATCAGGCGCTCATCACGTTTCAATAGCAGCAACAATGGCAGCCACCGGGGTCCCGGGGATTTTATTTTTAGCCCGAAAATCACAAAGGAGGAGCCAGGAGATTTCACACGGCAGCCTGGGCTTTTGAATGTTGCCTCTACAAGGCCAGCCAAAAATCGTGCTTGGCTCCCCGCGAGCTGGGAGAGTCCGAGTGGGAGGGCCACTTGGCTGGGAGCGGAAGGAGCAGCCTCTGGCACCGGCTTCGTGCATCCTTCGCGCATCCATCCACGATGCTCCATTAGCTCCTTCGGCAGATGGCCGGGTACCCGCAGGGAGGGGAGAGCCGGTGCTGCGCGGTCTCTGTCGGCAGGGGCGCTAGTTCCCAGCTGAGGGGCAAGGGCCCTGCTGGAGAGAGACAGGGAATGCCAGGAGGCTCAGGGAGACATGTGGGCCTGACAGTTATCACAGGAGGCTTCTGGGAGGAGGCAACTCAGCCTGAGCCTGGGGAAACAAACCTCACCTTGATGCTTGCAGATGAGAGTGGGAAAGGGGAGGGAGGGAGTCCCGGGGCGTGGAGCAGCAAAAGCAAAGAGCTGGAGACTGAGAAGAGCAGGGAGCACGGGTGGGCAGTGAGTGCAGCACAGAAGAGGGAGGTGAGAGGATGTGGGCACATGTCCCTGACTCAACCACCCAGGCCAATATCCCAGGACATGGAGGTCCAGAGAAGCTGTGACCCAGGAGAGCTGGCTGCTCCGGCCTCGGTGGCAGTGCCCACAGCTGGGGTTCTGAGCTGGCAACTGCCGGGGTACGAGCTGCAGCCCCCAGCCTCCCAGGGCTCGTACTCTGGCAGTACATCCTAGCTACAAGGCTGGGAAAGTGATTCTGTGTGTCTGACTTCTATACTGGAAAGGAACACAGAGAGGGGTCCAGGTGTTGACAGCCAGAAGACCCCACAGGTGTCAGCTGTGCAGGGTCACAAAAGGGAGCATGGCTGTTGGGAGGGGAAGCTGCTGCGAGCCTGCACGGTGGTCTCTGAAGGGAAGGCCAGGTGCGGGGCAGGCTGGGTGCGCAGACCTGGATCGGCTCGTTGGAATAATTTTGGTGGGTGAATCATTTCAGTAGGCTCTGGGCAATGTGGGTGGTCAGGTGTTGGTGACTCAGCCTCTTGCAGACACAGCCAGTAGACACACAACTGGCCTTGGGTGATTTAGGGCAGGGGGCTAGTGTCCCGGGCTGCGGGGGCCTGATGATGGCAGGTGAGTTGTCTTTGGGCTCTGGGTGGGCCGGCTGCATCAGAACAGCACTCTGTGTGGGAGCTTCCATCCCTGGGGAGTGGCCAGCCTCTCCTAGTCAGCCCTGGGAGGGGCAGCCTCTCCTGGTCAGCAAGGTGTCTCGTCAAAGCATGGTAAAATATGCAAAATTGAAAGCACAGTGAATACAGTACCTTCGGCTCCAGCCTCTGCTGTTCCGGGGCTGGGCAGGAGATTCCTGTGGGGAAGGAGGCAGCTCTGCCAGGGCTTAAGCCTCAGCTCCCTGTTGGCGTTCTTGTCCTCCTGCCCCCGTTCCTGGTCCTGCCTGTGATGACAACTTGCTCATGTGATTGCTCCAGGTGCCCGGCCTGGCTGTGGGCCTGTGGACCCAGCTTCCAAGCCTGGAGTCTCTGTCCCTACCTCCTGACCTCCTGACAGGCTTAGGTCTTAGGTACCTGGGAGCACACACCAGGTCCCCAGCCCTGTGGGAACACCTACCACTGACAGAGCCTGGGGCCTGCTCTTCAGACCCTTACAGCCTGGAGACCCCTCTGTCCCTGGCCCTGGAGTGAGGCTCAGGATTGAGGATGACTGAGTCGTGGCCTCACTCTTGGGCTCTGGGCCTCTGGGAGAGGCACATTCATCCATAGAACCCTAAGTCAAGGTGGGAGGTGCTCTCATTGAGAAAGGCCTCACAAGCACCGAGTGGCCTCATTTCCAGTGTGCTGGGAAGTGCAAGGGGTTCTGCCCGAGACAGGTAGGTGGGGTTGGGAGCAGAGCGAGAGAGAAGCAGATGTTCAGGAGCTGGGCTGAGGTGCGCGCTCAGGAGGGGACTTTGGGGGAGCTGGATTTGGGGGGACCACGTGGTGGAGAAGAGAGTAATCCTGAAGCCTTGGCCTCTTGGGTGCCGGGACCTGCAATTTCAATCTCCTCTCCACCCACCCAACCTATCCACATGTGACCTCCACACCGGACACTTTCCAGGGACCTCCACGTCCCTAACAAAGCCCTGAACTCAGAGACCCAGAATGCTGATCCCGTTGCCTCCCTATGCCTCACCCTCTTGGGTGTGTCCAACTGGATGAGACCCTGGGCAGGCTGGCTGTGGGTGCCCGAGGTCACAGGGGTTAAGCCCTGACACGTGGTCCAGCTTGAGTCTGTTCCTTCCGAGAGGCTCTGACCTGCCAAGGCCCAGGTCTAGCCTGGCCTCTCCCTTCCCTCAGCCTCTCAACCCACAGAGCGGAAGGAAGACGTGTTGGGAAACAGCCCAGAGTGCTGGTGCTCCTACCTCTTGTAGACACAGCCAGTAGATACACAACCTAAAACAACACACACACACACACACACACACACACACACACAGAGTTCCTGCCTTGCACCCAGCCAACCTATGGGTTAGGGATGGGTAGAGTCCCATGACTCAGGTCTGAGGCCCTCTGAGGCTTGCAACCCCTTCCCTGGTACTTAATGCAAAATCCTCTGCAGACACTTCTGCGTTCTACGTTCTGCATTCTCCATGTCATGGCTCACCTCGCGAGGCACTGCCTAGGCCTGGTGTGCGTCCACCCCCGGGTCCCACCACATCAACAGGAGCATGTGGCATTCTCTCGGTGCCTGCATCAGCACCGCCCAGCCCCTGGGAGGGCACTGTCCAGGAAGACCTATCTCCTTGCAGTAGACCATGAGCAGCCGGCCCTCCCTTGTTTATTTCAGTGTGAAGATGAACAGTGCGCATGGAGCAACTCCATCACCAAACCTCCTTCCCCACTCCTCGGTGGATGGAGTCTTTCTTCAGTGCCTCACTTAACAGCCTGCCTGACAAAGAGTGATTGGCCCGATGGGCTAGGAGATATTAGCTCATTTTCAGGAGGATTCAGGTTTTCCGTTTATCATCCTCCCCGAGCTGTGCTTCCTGGAGTGATTGATGGGGTGAGGAAGATGAGGGGCTGGTCAGAGGCAGCCAAACCACAGGGAGCTCTCCATTTTCTTCTAGACTTTCTCCACCCCAGCCCAACCGTAGCTGCTCACCATGGCTACAGGTCAAGAGAAGGAGGCGTCCGGTTGAGGGTGGGCTGGCCTTGGTGCCAGCGTCCAGGGAAGGGAGGCAGTGCAAGATGAGGCTTGCACTGGAGGCAGCCAGGGCTGGGCAGGGCAGCCTCAGAAGCCCTCAAGGAGGTGGTCTTGATGCTGGAGCCCTGGCTGTAGGTGTGGGGGTAGCATGCTTGTCTTGTATTTTGAGAAGATCACAGTAAACACAGCATGAAGGGAGGTAGCAGGGGATACACTATGATGCAGGAAGCCAAGCAGGAAATGAGTCCAGGAGACGGGCAAGCTGGGGTTGTTGAGGGACATAGGAGTGGCTTCCCTGAACCAGGACAGAGTCGTTGATTCATGAAATAGTGGCCCCAGTGCATCACTGGGCTGCAGTGTGCACCTGTCTACCTCTCTACTCATGATAGATACAATTCACAGAGTTGGAACCAAGAAGGGTTTTCTGGCCTGCTCACCCCTATGTTGAAAAAGATACTTGGCATAGTGAAAACATGGAATTTTGGTATTAAACATGGTTGAATCTCACTTTTTCTTTGTTGTGAGATCTTGGACACATTAGGTGAGACCCTGGACTTGCTTAAGCTTTTATACCCACTTCTGACCCAGATAGCTCCTAAAACACACCCCTGCCTCGTAAGGCTACAGATGCTGCCTGCCTGTTCTCAGCAGGTTAAGTAACAGCCTCACTCCACAATCCGGACATTAGCACAGGTTGGGGGACTAGACCTCCCACACTCCTGACCTGCAGGTGAACATTATTTATGAGATCAACCCAAGATGC
This sequence comes from Homo sapiens, assembly GCF_000001405.40. Classification (NCBI taxonomy): domain Eukaryota; kingdom Metazoa; phylum Chordata; class Mammalia; order Primates; family Hominidae; genus Homo; species Homo sapiens. Next base: position 141,985,007 of record NC_000008.11, on the reverse strand, counting down.
TAGGCCTTTCACAAGAAATCAACAGACAATGGCTTTGAACTATGGTTGATCAGTATGGACTATGGATGGCCAATATGGACTATAGATGGCCAGTGTGAACTAAGGATTGTTAATGTGGTCTATGGATGAACATTATGGACTATGGATGGTCAATGTGGACTATGGATGGTCAATGTGGACTATGGATGATCAATGTGGACTATGGATGATCAGTGTGGACTATGGATGGTCAGTGTGAACTATGGATGGTCAGTGTGGACTATGGATGGTCAGTGTGAACTATGGATGGTCAGTGTGGACTATGGATGATCAATGTGGTCTATGGACAATCAGTGTGGACTATAGATAGCCAGTGTGGTCTATGGATGGCCAATGCAGTCTATGGATGGTCAGTGTGGCCTATGGAGGGTTCGGTGTGGACTATGGATGGTCAGTGTGGTCTATGGATGGTCAATATGGTCTATGGATGGTCAATGTCACCTATGAATGGTCAATGTGGTCTATGGATGGTCAGTGTGGTCTATGGATGGTCAATGTGGTCTACGGATGGTCAATGTCACCTATGAATGGTCAATGTGGTCTATGGATGGTCAGTGTGGTATATGGATGGTCAGTGCAGTCTATGGAGGGTCAGTGTGATCTATGGATGGTCAATGTGGCCTATGGATGGTCAGTGTGAACTATGGAGGGTCAGTGTGGCCTATGGAGGGTCTGTGTGGACTATGGACCTTCAATATGGCCTATGGATGGTCAATGTGGTCTATGGTTGGTCAATGTCATCTATGGATGGTCAGTTTGGCCTATGGAGGGTCAGTGTGGTCTATGGACAGTCAGTGTGGCCTATGCATGGTCAATGTGGTCTATGGACGGTCAGTGTGGACTATGGATGGTCAATATGGACTATGGATGGTCAGTGTGGACTATGGGTGGTCAATATGGTCTATGGAGGGTCAATATGGTCTATGGATGGTCAGTGTGGTCTATGGAGGGTCAGTGTGGACTATGGATGGTCAGTGTGGACTATGGGTGGTCAGTGTGGTCTATGGATGGCCAGTGTGGTCTATGGATGGCCAGTGTGGTCTATGGAGGGTCAGTGTGGACTATGGATGGCCAGTGTGATCTATGGAGGGTCAGTGTGGACTACGGATGATCAGTGTGGACTATGGATGGTCAGTGTGGACTATGGATGGTCGATGTGGACTATGGATGGTTGATGTGGACTATGGATGGTCGATGTGGTCTATGGATGGTCAGTGTGGTCTATGGATGGTCAGTGTGGCCTATGGAGGGTCAATGTGGACTATGGATGGTCAGTGTGGTCTATGGATGGTCAGTGTGGCCTATGGAGGGTCAATGTGGACTATGGATGGCCAGTGTGATCTAAAGAGGGTCAGTGTGGACTATGGATGATCAGTGTGGACTATGGATGGTCAGTGTGGTCTATGGATGTGAATGTGGTCTATGGATGGTCAATGTGGTCTATGGATGGTCGGTGTGGTCTATGGATGGTCGGTGTGGACTCTGGGTGGTCAGTGTGGTCTATGGATGGCCAGTGTGGACTATGGATGGTCAGTGTGGTCTATGGATGGCCAGTGTGGTCTATGGATGGTCAGTGTGGACTATGGATGGCCAGTGTGATCTATAGAGGGTCAGTGTGGACTACGGATGATCAGTGTGGACTATGGATGGTCAGTGTGGACTATGGATGGTCGATGTGGACTATGGAGGGTCGATGTGGTCTATGGATGGTCAGTGTGATCTATGGATGGTCAGTGTGATCTACAGAGGGTCAGTGTGGACTATGGGTGATCAGTGTGGAGTATGGATGGTCAGTGTGGTCTATGGATGGTCAATGTGGTCTATGGATGGTCAATGTGGTCTATGGATGGTCAGTGTGGACTCTGGGTGGTCAGTGTGGTCTATGGATGGCCAGTGTGGACTATGGATGGCCAGTGTGGACTATGGATGGTCAGTGTGGTCTATGGATGGCCAGTGTGGTCTATGGATGGTCAGTGTGGTCTATGGATGACCAGTGTGGACTATGGATGGTCAGTGTGGTCTATGGATGGTCAATGTGGTCTATGGATGGTCAGTGTGGTCTATGGATGGTCAGTGTGGACTCTGGGTGGTCAGTGTGGTCTATGGATGGCCATTGTGGACTATGGATGGTCAGTGTGGTCTATGGATGGCCAGTGTGGACTATGGATGGTCAGTGTGGTCTATGGATGGCCAGTGTGGTCTATGGATGGTCAGTGTGGACTATGGATGGCCAGTGTGATCTAAAGAGGGTCAGTGTGGACTATGGATGATCAGTGTGGACTATGGATGGTCAGTGTGGTCTATGGATGGTCAGTGTGGCCTATGGAGGGTCAGTGTGGACTATGGGCGGTCAGTGTGGTCTATGGATTGTCAGTGTGGACTATGGATGGTCAGTGTGGACTATGAATGGCCAGTGTGGTCTATGGAGGGTCAGTGTGGACTATGGATGGTCAGTGTGGATTATGGAGGGTCAGTGTGGTCTATGGATAGTCAATGTGGTCTATGGATGGTCAGTGTGGTCTATGGATGGTCAACGTAGACTATGGACAATCAATGCAGACTATGGTTGGCCAATGTGAAGAGGGAATTCAATCCCTGCCAGAGTAGAGAGTTGAGTCTTGTGACCCTCAGGATGGATTCAGCACCAGAGTGTGAGAATATAGTAAGATAGGCTTGCTCACGACATAGGAGAGCTGCCTAGCACAAGGTCCATCTTCAATCTTAGGGCTAGCTCAAAGGTACTGAGATCCATGTCACTGGAGGTGTTCAAGCAGAAGCTATATAAACAGAAGGTTGCTGAAGACATTCTTGTACAGTAAAACAAAACAAAACAAAAACAAACAAAAGTTGAATGAAAATCTAATCCAACCTCCAATACCTCTTCCAGTTCCAAGTTTTAAAAATTTTTCTTGATCTTTGCAGGATCCTCTCCACTTGCCTATCCCTCTGGTGTCCCTTCTGTCTTTAGTCTTTCTCCCTTCCCCTCCCTCCCCTCCTCCACTCCTCTCTTCTCTTCACTTCACCTCTCTATCTGCTCATTTTGGCACCATCTTATCCACAGACTCAGTTAACCTGTTTGTTAAGGATTCTTACCTGCATTTTTAGCCTCTCCTTTAAGCTGTGTCTGTCCCAGTCCATAGCCAATTGCCTTTGGAGCATCTTCTCTTGGGCATTACAATGGTGTTAAAGGTCAGTGGGTCCAAACTGAGTTATGGATCCCCCTAAGTCTTCTCCTCTCCCAGAGGCACAGTCTCTGTGAAGGACCCCTCTATAGATCCAGTGTCATGGCTGGCTCTGTGCTGTGTCTCACCCACCCTCTTGGCCTCCCAAGTTCTCTTTCTGGATATCTACTCTGACTCCCCCAAACTCACCAGTGCCACTTCCTGTCACCCTCCTTCCTCTGAACACATCACACCTCTGCCTCAGGAGCTCCTGGCTTCCCGTGGCCCAAGGAGGAAGCCCAACATCTTCACTTTCAAATATGGTCTTTTGCCTTTACTTGCTTTTATCCTACTAAGCCAGCATCCTCCCTGCCCCCATAAGGCCCACACCCCAGCTATCCTGGACAGCATGGGGTCCCATGGGTGCTGCAATCCCTCATTTCTGTGGCTCCTTTGCATGTTCTGTTACCTCTGCTTCCGATGCCACCCCTCCAGGAATCCCTCCTTCCTCCAGCCCTGATAAGTGGCTGCCCATGCTTCCAAGTTCAGCTGAGGCAGCATCTTCTCCCCAGGTCTTTCCTGCACACGCTCCCTCCAGCCCCGCACTGAGCTCTCTGCTTCTCCTGGACTTCCCTCTGCCCCCTTCTGCCCAGAGTGTGATGATGGCTCAGCACTCTGACCTGGACTCTGGGAGAGAGGAGGGGCCTGACCACCTCCAGCCAGCACCATGTTCCAGCTCAGCTTACCCAAGGCCCCTTCCTCGGAGGAGGCACCTGTCTGCTTTCCCAGCCCCATGGCAGGCATGCTCCCCAACGAGACCTCATGGGAAGGGTGGCCATGGCTTCCTGCCTGAAGCCAGTGTCCTATAGTGGCAGCATAATCCTGCCATCACTTCTAGAAAGTGGTGGGCCTCAGGATCGTGGAAGAAACACCTGTCCCTCTTAAGAGGCCACCGAGAGAAGCGCCGCTGCTGTATCTCTGCTTAGTGCCTGTAGCCAGGTCTCGGGGCATTCCCTGTGCCCAGACCCAGTGTCCTAAGGGGGTCACATTTCTATCTGTCTATGGCCCACCCTACCAGGAGACGAAGCAGAGCCATGAGAGCCTCCGGATGACACCAAGCCACCAGATGAATGGGCTCCATGTCCACGCAAACCAAGTGTGGGCAGAGCCACAGACCACAAGAGAAAGGAACAGCTGGATCAGCACAGAACCAACCAGCCTCTGTCATTGCCCTTGAGAGGTGTGGACTAGGAGGGCACACAGTGCAAGGGGTGAAAGCCAGGTCAGGTACCCCTGAAGCCTTCTCTGAGGGCTCTGTGGGCCCTACTCCCAGGCAGGGACTCAGGGGCTGTGAGGTGCTGTGGGGCCGACATCCTGGGTGGAGGCTGCCTCCACGTGGCTCCTGCTGCTGCACTCACAGCACAGCTGAAACCATAACCACAGCCTCGGGGGGTAAGTTGTGTGCCGCTTGGCTCCCAAGCCAGGCACAGGCAGTGGGAGGACCAAGACCTGCATCCTTCCCTCAGTCCCTGGAGTGAGAGCAGGCACTGGCTGGGAATGTTCCAGTGGTTCTCCTAGTGTCGGGGTCAAGGCTGTGGGATTCTGCTTTTCATCACACGAGGTGCACGTTGGGTGCGGTGCACATGCCATGGCATCTGAGCTCACCCCGAGCTGTTCCTCCAGGAGGAGCCTGGTGCCAGGTAAAGAATGAGCCCAGGTGCGTGGCGGGACACAGCACCCTCAAGTGGGCGCATCACCCGCTCATTCAGCATCTGCAGGCTGAAGAAGTGTTTCGGCTCGGCCTTGAGCTGTGACCTTGGGTGAGTCACAGGTTCTCCACATTTCTGGTCCTCATCAGCAAGGAGAGGCTAGTGACGCCATCCTCCCATGTGCTACAGATGCTCTGCCATGTGGTCCTTGCCACAGCCCTGGAGGAGGGGGCAGGAGGCTTGAGGCCCACCTGTCTTGGCAGACATGCAGATGGCTGAGAGGACCGAGGGCCCAGGGCTAAGGGCAGTGTTAGGGAGCGGTTACTGCGCTGCTCCCGAGGTCTCTGCATGGGCCTCCTTGCATCCTCAGCCTCTCTGTGTGTAGCTCCCTCTTGGGTCAAATAAGAAGGGCATCCTGCCCCCAAGGGCCTCCTCAGAAGGGTGCTGTGAGATGAAAGGGGAAACATGATCCCAAAAGGGCTTTGAGAGAGTTACCAGTGTTCTGGGCCACTGCCTTCAGCTCTGCAAGTCCAGGCGAGGGCGTCATGATGACCAAGCAGGGCTGCAGCCGGAGATGGCTCAGCCTAGGGGGAATGGGTGTCTGCAATAGAATACACTAAGAAGTGGCTGGCAGGGACAAATTGGGGCTACCCAGAGCACTGCGAGCCTAAATGCATGTCTTCTTGCCCTAGACCCGGCCTTTCCTTGCCTCTGCTGAGGGCAGAGCCTGCTGCCAGAGTGGCCCCCACCCCAGGGTACACAAGGGCTGAACACTGAGGGAGCAGCTGGGACGCAGGATACTTGGCTGCTGCGTGGGGCAGAGGGTGGAGGGGTGTGCTTATGTCAACCAGGGACAGCCTGGCCAGACAGTGCGTGGCTCTCAGCTGTGTGGGAAGCACACGCTTTGCAGCCAGATAGGCTGGATGGAGCTGAAATCCTGTGTCTGTGGCTTCCTAGCTGTGTGACTCTGGGTGTGTCTTCGGCCTTTCTGACTGCAGGGAGCATGCCTTTCCCTATCAGGCTGTGTGCGGCTGTGAGTGACAGAGCAGAGATCAACAAAACATATGGGCTGTGTTCATTGACTCTGAGATGCTGCAGATTTTACGATGCACTGTTATTTTAGGTATTCCTAAAAAGAAACAAACCTGCCAGTTATACAGTAAGGCAGCATTAATTGTGAGCTTTTTCCTGGTTTCTGAGCTATTCAGATGTGAACAGATACGTTCATCACTGGCGGAGAAGACACTCCAGAATATTCATTTCCAAAGCAGTATTCACATGTCTGAGAGGGCTTTGTGGGATCATGGAGCAAGTATGCTTTTGGTCGTCACTGAAGCCAGAAATGGGACTGGAGGGTGAGGTTCCCAGGAGATGGACCTGCTCACTGTGAAGAAGCGGCCTCTGGGAGTCAGAGGTGTTTCACGGTGAAATGGCTGCTTTGCAAGGAAGTGAGCTCCCCAAACCCTGGGAATGTTCAATCCAGACTCAGTGGGGTCCAGAGAACTCAAGAACTGGCCAGAGACTGCCCTGAATGCCCGCTAATGTCCTTTTCCATCTGAGACTCACTTCTGTAGACATGAAGCCGAGCTTAAGGAGGTGGGTAGATCAGATGGCATCTCAAAGTGCCTTCCAGCTCTAAGTGCCCAGGGCCCCAGGCTGCCCTTCAGCATTCCTGTCTTGCTGTTGGCTGGTATTTTGACTTAGGAAATGGGTGGTTAATGAAAAAGAGACACAGGAGCTTCTTGAGACGTGACTGAGATTACTGTCTGCCCAAGGAAGACAACTGCTAATTACCAGCTCCAGCTGGCAGCCCAGGGGGACCATGCTGAAGGCAGAGAGACAGACGGAGGAGAGGACCCGGGGAAGGGAGGTGCTTCCAGAAGGCAGCCTGCCCTGGAGCCTTCCAGACTCTAGCCCTGGCCATGGGGAGGCCCTGAGTGACGGATGGGGAACCGAGGCCACCCTCCCTGCTGTGCTGTTCTTGAGCAGGCCTGGGCGAGGCTATCAATAGAGCTGTTGGGTCCATCTGATCACCAGCTCCATGCTGTCCATACCCTTCAGCTGATCTTGGCTGTCACCTTTGACCAGCACATGTGTCGTCCCCACACCGGGGCTTCTGTCCACTTGCCCAGTCACCCATCTCTGACTCCCATCTGCATCAGGACCTTATTCCTGTTGAGCTCTTGTCACCATCCCTGCAGACAGGCAGCAGACGGCCACCATGATTCCATATCCAGTCCCTGCCGGGGGCCAGTGCCTTGCGAGGCAGGCCATGAAGGCTGTCCCACTTATGCTTAGGATAGCACAGGGAGGGGGCTACGACAATTCTCACTGTGCAAACGAGGAAGCCAGGCTTGGGGGTTAAACAGCAGGCACATGTCATCTGCAGAAGTTCCCAGAGACTTGAGTGGCCAGCTCTGCAGCTCTAGGGGTTAAACAGCAAGCCCGTGTCCATTGGCAGAAGTCCTTAGAGCCTGGGGTGGCTGGGTCTGTGGCTCCCTGGCTGGGTGCTGTGCCATGCTGCCTTCCTCTGGGGTCCTGGTGCCTCTGGGAGCCCCACCCCTCTTGACACCCCTGTGGGGCCAGGACAGCCCCACTATGCTTCATCTTCCTCCTCTCAGCCAAGAGCACTTGGAGCCTGGGCCCAGGTCCTCAGTGAGCCTGGCCTCTCCCCAAGGCAGGCTCCGAGTGTGCGGGACTCCCCTGCCTTCCCTGGCCGAGGGCTGCAGCCCTCCTCCCAGTCCTAGAAGGTGGCACCACCCGAGGGACATTCTGCCCTCCCTGCTCCGTGGTCTCCCATCAGGGTTTGCTCTACCTAATTCCCAGACCTGCAGCCCTGCTCCCTCAGATGCCACCTTCCGCTTGCTCTACTGGACTCTGACCAGCACCTGCACCAGGTGATCACCTCCCCACTCCACCTGCCTGGAGGGCATCCAGCACAGGCTCCCCTCATTCATTCTTCCCCATTCAGCTTTATTCTATGGGCTCCCACTGTGCAGACACTCCAAACACCTCAGGAGCGAGTGCATGCTGCCAACCTTGGCGGGGTCAGATTTCAGTGGCCAGGAAGTTTCCTCTTGACCTCAAATCACTCCCTCACCTCAAAGGTCCCCATAACCTTCACCTGACAGGAGGCAAGTGGGAGACCAATCCCCAGCCATCCTTGATCCTCCCGTAGCAGCCTCCCAGGGCTGTTGGGGCAGAGGGTTGCCTCTTGGCTTCAGAGACCAGAAGTGCAGTGGGGCATCGGCAAGGCTGCCTCCTTCCACAGGCTCCAGGGAGGATCCACCCTGGTCCTCTCCCCAGCTCCAGCTAGCCTTGGCCTTCCTGGGCTCAACCTCAGCCTTTGCTGTCATGCAGCGTTTCCCTGTGTCTCTGTTTTCTCTTCTTATAAGGACACCAGCCACTGGATTTAGGACCCACCTTGGTCTAGTATGGATTCATCTTACCTAATTACATATGTAAAAACCCCGTTTCCAAATAAGATTCCATTCTAAAGTTGGTGGTGGACATGAATCTTTGGGACACTGTTCTATCCGGGACACCCCCACATGGCTCTGCCCTCCTGGGGTCTCTCCAGCTCCTTCTCCCACAGTCCTTGTGTCCTCTCATGTTCACACTCAAGGACCCGGTTCCTTACTGTGCCTCAAATCAGCTCCCACAGCCCAGCTTAGGGATGCCTCAGCTCCATCCGTGAGGGTGTGATACCTTGGGGCCACCAAGACTCAGGGCCCCAGAATTATGTCCAAGGAATACTCAGAAAAGAGAACTAGTGACAATGGTGTCACCCCTGGGAGCTGACTTCAGGCTGTGTAAGGAGGGGGGTCCCTGCCGTCGGGCTGTCTAACAACGGACGACAAGAGACGGACATTAAAGAAGGGGCTCAGGGACCTGAGAATCCGCAGGATTCTACCTGGGAGATTCCACTACCTCTTCAAACTGGAAAGGTCCCTGAAATTCCCATCCCCACCTCCCCACCCTGCCCCACATGAAAGGTGTGATTATGCTTACTGTTGTCTGCGTTAGCAATAGTAGCCTTGCATTTGATACTCCTTTATTCTTCTCCAAGCGCCTCTTCTTATCAGTGGCCTCCTGTGGTCCTCCTAGTGCTGGGAGGGAGGCAGCTTGGGCGTCATCGCTCTTCCTTTCAGAAGACACCACCAGCGGGCACCTTCCTCCAGCTGCCACCAGCTGTGGGCTGTCCTCTCCCAGGAGGCATCAGCTCCCAGCAGACAGTGCCGTCTTTCCTATCAGCATCCCTGGCTCCTGGGTTGGTGGTGCTGAAGGGAGGAGTCTTGTTGCCTGGCCTCACTGCAAGCTGGTGACGGAGCTGAGTCTCCTGTCTCTTAGTCCAGAATCTTCTAAGCCTTGCTATTGGCTTTCCTTTTTCCTTATTTTGGAGAAGAGACCTACAGCCAAAAGCCACTCTGATCTGTTGAGGGGAAATGGAAGCACCATGGTTCGGGCAGGAGGGGTACTGCCTTGCCCAAACGCCCCCCCACCCACCCAAACCCCTCCTCAGGGGTGGCCGGGCAGCCTCAGGGGCAAGGAGCCCTACAGGGCATTTGAATAGAGCCTCCTGAGTGAGAGAAACCTTCCCCTAACATCCCAGAGAGGAGCTGCCCTACACATAGGGGGCCTGCACCTGCTCCTGGGTGACCCTGTCCTCCTCCTCCCCAAAGAGGCAACCCCTTTGGAAGTCCCTTTCTGGGTCGCCCCTGGAGTCTCTGTGTGCCTGCAACCCCATAATACAACCTCTGGATGGGTTGTTGGAGACCCCACCCTTCACCCACCTAGCTCCCCTACTCTGCAGATTCTAATGCCATACAGCGCTTCGAGGTGCTCTCAAGGCACTTATGTCCAGCCCCAGCTGGCACCTGCTTGCAATGGGTCTAGTGAGGAGGGGCTCCTGGCCACTGGCCCCAGGGGAGTCTTTGAAAGGACCAGCCTCCCCTGTCAGCAAGGCAGCTGCCTCCTAGTACCCCAGGGCGTGGGAGAGGCTCTAAACCCCCCAAGGGTTCCCCCTGGAGAGGAAGGAGAGGCCCCAGCAAACGGGTGGGATTATACAAGCCCTGTGGAGCAGCCCCAGGCCAAATCTCAGCTTGGGCACTTCGTGTACTGGCAATCCTGTAGTTACCTGGGTGTCCCAAGCCTCTGTTTCCACCTGGTAATTGGAACACCAATTGTTCTCAGCTCCTGTCTTTATTTCATGTTCTCTTTTGAAAACCTACTGTGTCTCAGGCACTGGGACACTGGACCTAGGAGCCTAGGACTTGTGGTAGGATCTGCTGGCATGAGTGTGGATGGCAGCTCACAAAGTCCCTGGGATGGGTAAGGGCATGGTAGGAAATCGTGCCTATAATTCTCGGCAGCAGTGTTGCAGAGAAGGCTGGCGTGCGCGGGAGCAGCCCTTCTGGATTCTCTAACCGTGAAAATGATGATGGCAACGGTAACAGCATCATCCACAACAATGATGCGGACAGCGGCAGCCCTCGATGCTGGGCCCTGCAACAGGCGGGCGCCTCCACTGCTCTCATGTCACCCTTGACAACTCTGGGATAGAGACACCAACATGAAGCCTTTTCACAGGGAAGTAAACTCACGCCCGGGGACGTGTGGGAGCGCTCAGCCGTCTGCCCCAGACCCCAACCTCCTGTGTCTGCAATAGAGGCACCAGGGACTCACCAGGTGGGACGAGGGCAGCCCACCCTCCACGGTGGGAGCTCTGAGACCCAGCTTCCTCTCCTGTGGACGGGTGCCGCTGTCTGCCCACCCCCTGGGGAAAAAAACAGGCTTTCTTAAGCACCCATCATGCTTCTGTGGGGTAGGGGCCTTGTGGGCCTTCACTCCCCAAGTTTTAGAAGGCCCTCCATGAGCATGAAAACGGGACCCCCAGCCCAGATGATGCCACCTGCAGGCACACACGCACACACGTGTGGGCTTGCACATGCACGCATGCTATGCCACACTTGGCCACGGGACCACACGAACTTCTCTTTTGCCTTGAGCGAAGCTGAAGGCCGAGGAGAGGAAATGAGGTGGGACAGGAAAGCGTTTTTCCCGGTAATTATCGCACCTTGTGTCATCTAATGAGCCGTGGAGGGGCCTAGATGGAATATTTAGGCAGAGTTATTGAATGCTTGCTTCCTCACAGTTCACTCAGTTGTAGGAATTAATTGATTTACAGGATGGAAAAGTGAGTGTGTGTGTCTTTGTTAATATGTTTTCCCTTCGTGTGAAAGCAGAGAGGCTGGGCTGTCGGCTGGGCCTGAGGCCTCCCCTGCTTTCAGACTGGCCAGGCCCACAGAGCAGAACAAGGCGGGTGCCAGCAGGCATCACCCTCTGAGATTAAAAGCTGAGAAGCCACCTAGAGGGTGTGGGGGGTGGTGCGCACCTGTAAGCACAGGCACCCGTGAGCGCAGGCTCGTGAGGGCAGGCACCCGTGAGCGCAGGCACCGTGAGCCCAGGCACCGTGAGCGCAGGCACCCGTGAGCGCAGGCACCGTGAGCGCAGGCACCCGTGAGCGCAGGCACCGTGAGCCCAGGCACCGTGAGCGCAGGCACCCGTGAGCGCAGGCACCGTGAGGGCAGGCACCCGTGAGGGCAGGCACCCGTGAACGCAGGCACCGTGAGGGCAGGCACCCGTGAGCGCAGGCACCGTGAGCCCAGGCACACGTGAGGCAAGTACAGTCTCTTGCTCATTCTACCTAAGTGAGTGATGCCTTCTGCCATGGGGATGACGCAACAAGAAGGCCGCCGCCAGATGCAGCCCCCTGACCTCGGACTTCCCGGCCTCCAGAACTGTAAGAAATCAGTCTCTATTCTTTCTGAAGTACTCAGTCTGTGGTATTCTGTTATAGCAGCACAAAATGAACTAAGACAGATCCATGATGTAACAAAGGAGGCCAGAGTGGAATGTCACATCCTAGCACAAAACCTGACAATCCCACTGGATTCCATCAATAAGCCCCTCCTGAGTCAAGCAGGGGCCTGAGGCAGCCTGAGCCGGAGTGACACGGCCCTGCCTGCTGGAGACATTGGCTCTCCCATTGCCCAGAACACCCTGGCTGGGGGCAGGGGGATGTGGGAGAGAAGGCTTCTTCCCTCCTCTTTCCCATCCAGAGCAACACTGGTCAGAGGCCTGGCTAGCTCTCAGTCTACCAGGAAACCAGGTCCTTTCTACTAGGATTCCCTGTGGCGATGGGAGCTGCAGCCCCTGTCTCACGCAAGGAAGTCAAAGCAGTGTGGTGCGAACAGGTTCTCCTGTGGATGTGGTTCTGGAACACACACATGTGGGCACTGAGCCACACCTGGCCACATTCTGGCCACAACTATCACCTTCTTTCTCTGAACCTCAGTTTCCCTTCCTAGATGCCACCTCCAGAGAAGTAAATAAACCACTGTGAGTGAAATTCTATTTCAGTGCCCCTGGCACAGCAGCACCCAAAAGTCCCTGCTCCCTGCTCTGCCTTCCTCCCAGCGCCAGGGAGCCCCATCTTCCAAATGGCCACACTCAGAAGAACGTGTCCACAGGAGGATACCCCTTATTTCAGCTTGAACCAGGCTGCCTTCCTGCACACCTGAGTGCGCTGGCCTAGGGCCTGTGCTACAGCCTCAATCCTTTCCCACTCCTCTGTCTCCATGTTTGCTGGTTATGTTGCCCTCTCTTCTGGCTGGCAGATTAAATGAAGGGAGATTTGCCTAGCAATAAAAAGGTAATTAAAATCACCAACACATGAAAAGGCCATTATGAGATTCCCTGGGAAAGACGCCTCCACTGGTCAGGAAAGATACAGTAAGAGGGTGAGGGGTGGAAAACCAATTAACCAAGCCTGTTAGCCGCCCATTATCAGTGCTGGGACTGCAAATATAAATAGTAATTGCTGCAGGGCCAAGTTGTTAACAGACAACCAAACTCATAAATATCTCGCACACAATTAATGGTGACGAAGTGCATCGCCATGGTGGGGCTTTGAAGAGCTTGGGGTGGACACTGAGGGGGAAGCAGGTGCAGCCGCCATGAGTCTTCTGCTCCACATCCACTCATTGCAGACGCAATTGCACTCCCTGATAAGCATCTGATTGCATTTCGAGGTCTGAATTATGATGTGTCAGTTTATCAGTTTATTCATTATTTACAATCACTTAGAAAGAATATGTGCGTGTCCGTATACGTACATATGTATGGACATACACGCTGATAAAACTAACACAGCCATCAAGTTCTTGTGCAGCCGATAATTAAATTAGAGCTCTCCTGGCTGGCAAGAATCCTGGGGTGATCCCCTTTCTGAAGACAGTGGCTTCTTGTGTAACAATGTCAATAAATGACACCCCATTGGCCATAAACAGGCACTCAGAGCTCAGAAACAAAGGCCCCTGCTGTGGCTTCTCACAGCCTGGGTGCTTCTAGGCATTCTACTGAGGGGTATAATGGCCCCTGCCCCCTGCCGTGATTCCACTCTGGAAAGCAATGGTGAAATCCCAGAGACCACCTCTGTTCCAGAGAGAGGCTCTTTCCACCCCAGGGGAAGATCTGTCCAGCCGAATGGAACACTGTCTGTGGGAAGTCAGAATTCAGGCCAGCTCCCTTCTTCCTGTCCCAGCCCTGCCAGTTGTGCCCATGGATTCAGATCTGCGCAGATGCTGCTCCCAGACAGGAGGAGCCACCTCGGGGTCTGTGGCTCAGGGTCTGGGAAGCATAAAAGGCCACTTTGCTGGAAATGGGATCCATGGCATGTTCATGCAGGCAGGGCTGTGCTCCATGAAGCCCAGGGAGTGCTTGGCCCCTGGAGAGACCTAAGCTAGACCCCCTCCCAGTCCTGTGCTGCTTGGATCATTCATTTATTCACTCATTCCTTTCTTCCTTTGACGACTCAGTCACTGAGTGATCACTTCCCAAGGGGGTCTGCCCGGCAGACTGTGGGCAAGTGCCGAGGGGTGTGAGACGAGTTAGGAGAGTCTCGGTCTGCCCTGCAGACTGTGGGCAAGTGCCGAGGGGTGTGAGATGAGTTAGGAGAGTCTCGGTCTGCCCTGCAGACTGTGGGCAAGTGCCGAGGGGTGTGAGACGAGTTAGGAGAGTCTCGGTCTGCCCTGCAGACTGTGGGCAAGTGCCGAGGGGTGTGAGACGAGTTAGGAGAGTCTCGGTCTGCCCTGCAGACTGTGGGCAAGTGCCGAGGGGTGTGAGACGAGTTAGGAGAGTCTCGGTCTGCCCTGCAGACTGTGGGCAAGTGCCGAGGGGTGTGAGACGAGTTAGGAGAGTCTCGGTCTGCCCTGCAGACTGTGGGCAAGTGCCGAGGGGTGTGAGACGAGTTAGGAGAGTCTCGGTCTGCCCTGCAGACTGTGGGCAAGTGCCGAGGGGTGTGAGACGAGTTAGGAGAGTCTCGGTCTGCCCTGCAGACTGTGGGCAAGTGCCGAGGGGTGTGAGACGAGTTAGGAGAGTCTCGGTCTGCCCTGCAGACTGTGGGCAAGTGCTGAGGGGTGTGAGATGAGTTAGGAGAATCCCCAGCGTCCCAGGCTTCATTACCAAATGTTAGGATGCCTGTTTTCTCATCCGTTCTTCCTCTGTCCCTCTGCTGCACTCTCTCCTTCCTTTCTTTCTTTCTCTCAACAAGTGTTATGGGCCAAGCACTGCTTTTAGAGCTAAAGATGGAATAGTCAACAAGACAGAGTCTTTGCTCTCTCTGAGCCTGAGTTCAACAGGAAGAGCAGACAATAAATAGAGAACATGTCAAATGGTGACAAGTGCCGTAAGACAAAGAGAATGATTGTGGAAGTGCTGTTCTCCGTCTAACAACTACGAGCCAAAAGGCCAGGAGGAAGTGTGAGGGCCACAGGGAGGAGGCCCTGGTGGGCTGTGGCTGGGAGGAGTGAGCCACAGGGGTGGGGGGCAGCATGCTGAAGAGACTGTGCGGGGGTGGTGTTTCACATCACGCAGGCCTTTCTAGGCCCTCGTGAAGAGTTGGGCTATGTTCTAGGTGGGGCGGGACCCTTGGAGGGTGTGAGAGTGACATAACTGTGCTTTCATAAGACCATCCTGGATGCTGTGTTGAAAATAGTCTGGAGAGGTGGGAAAGTCAGAATGACAGAGAGAAAAGGGAAGACATACAAAAAAGGAGGGCAAGAGACTGAGAGACAGAGAAAGGAAGCGAGAGAACACAGGAGAGAGAGCACGACAATGCCGGTGAAATGCAGGTGCGTTTGGACAAACGTGTTAGCATGGAGGTAATGGGAAGTGTCCGGACACTTAAATATGTTTTGAAAGTAGAGGTCATGGGTTTTCCTTTGAATTGGATATAACTGGTGTGATATGAAGAGAGGAGTTAAGAATATCTCCAGGTTTTTAACGTGAGAACATGTGGAAAAGAATTGTGCTGTATGAAGATGGGGAAGAGCAGGCTAATTTGGGGAAGGGAGGAATGTTTGGTTTTGGCCACATTGCATTTGGGGGGGGTCTTTAGACATCTAAGTGCTGTTTTGGTTAGACATTGGATATATAAATGTGGGGTTTAGAAAAGAATTCAGGCTGAGACAATTATTTTACTTGGGAAGAGAATTTAGAGAAAAAGCCTGGCTGGACATCACATCCCAGGAGAACTCCAGGCTCTGGAAGTTGGAATACTGAGGAACCGCAGCAAAGGACACTGAGAAGGAGGGCTTGGGGGATGGAGGAGAACCGGGAGCTGGCGCGTCTGGGAGGAATGCTTCAGAGACGTGGCAAGGGGCCTCTGGACACTGAGAAGGAGGGCCTGGGGGTGAGGGAGAACCAGGAGCATGGGGCGTCCAGGAGGAATGCTTCGGAGACACGGCAAGGGGCCTCTGGCCAAATATGGATAACACGTTGAGTTAAATAAGAGTTGAGAAATGGCTGCTGACAAGCGCTGCTGAGGTCAGATACAGGAACACTCTGACCGGAGCAATGAAGGTGTTGACAGAAGAAGGGGAAGCCTCATGGACAGATGATGTGCTGGAGAGGTCTTCTATAAAGGGGAGGAGAGGGAAGGACAGTTGCTTCGAGGAATGCGGGTAAGTTTATGTGTGCACACACACCCACACCCACACACACATGCACCCACATACACGGAAAGTATTTATACATATTTCGTGTACACACACTTATGCATGTGTGTGTATATATATATATGCAAGAAGACATACACATTTCGTATGTATGAAAGATATTTACAGCAGAATTTTATAATCCCATAAAGTGGGGAAATTTGACAATGCAGGGGACAGAGGCAAGATATTGTCTGGAAATGGCAGCTTCAGGAGAGAGCAGGATCCCATGGCAGCACAGAGGAAGCATTTATGACCTTCGACAGTGAGGTGAAACAAATAGAGAAGAGAGACTTGGTTCTAACATCCAAAAATCGGATTGGAAGGCCGAACGTCCTGGTTCCTCTTACTTCAATTTGAACCCGTCTGAGGTTCTTCAGATAGATCCTGAAGTTACAGATGAGAATATAAAAAAGAGGCTTTAGCAGTTATCCATATTGGTGCATCCTGACAAAATTCGAGATGATGCTAACAGCACAAACAGCTTTTGAAGCTGTGGACAAAGCTTGCAAGTTGCTACTGGATCAGGAGCAAAAGAAGAAGGTCCTGGATGTAATTCAGGCAGGAAAGGAATACGTGGAACGCAGTGTGAAAGAGTGAAAAAAACAATTAAAGAAGGAAGGAGAACCTACGAGTTTAGCAGAGGCTGATTCTGAGCTGTTCAAACAAGCTGTATGTATACAGACAATGAAACGCTTTGCTGAGCAGGAAATTAAAAGGAAAGAGAAAGAAGCCAAAGAGATGCATGAAAGGAAACGACAAAGGGAAGAAGACACTGAAGCTCAAGAAAAAGCCAAATGAGAAAGAAAGCGGCAGAAAAACTTTGAAGAAAGTCGTGATGGTCATGTGGACAGCTGGCGAAACTTCCAAGCCAATACAAAGGGGAAGAAAGAGAATAAAAACCAGACCTTCCTGAGACAACCAAAAGTAAAAATGGAGCCGTGTGAATGACCACCCAGGGTCACAGGCACAGAACCTTCGCCCTGCTGTCTCCCCTCCTGCTTTGAAGACTCATTCTTCCCTCCCACTTCCACCCCAACATAGAATAGTATTTGCTTTTTAGTCCTTTTTGTTTTCAATACAATCTAATATCGAACAGAGTAATTCTTTTGTGCACTGAGATGAGGGGCTTGGTTTAAACAAAAGACCTTTCCCTCTCCCTGCCCCGAGAACCTCCAGGATTAGAGGGTGCTGCCTCCTCTTCCCACAGCCTGTAACTTAATGTTCTTTTCTTCACTGAATTGTGATGGTTAGAAATTTCGTGGATAGCTGTGGAAATCATCCAATTAAACATATTGCTTAAAATGACATTGCTGTGACTTCAGAGACAAGCCTGGAAGGGGCACCTTAGGAAGCCGCTTTGCTTCAGTTACTCACCTGGGTGTTCCAGGTGAGACAGGGAACACTGTGAGCACACAGAGCAGGCACCTGCTGCCCTGATGCCCTGTGGTGTTCGGCACGTGCCCTCCCGTCTACTGACCAATCAGCATGGCATGAGGCCCATGCCGCCCAAACCTTTCACTTTCCAAAGAGCTAGTCATCCTCCACCTTGTACCATGGTGTCCTAGCCTGTCTGCATTTGTTAGTGGTAATATTCTTTATGTGTAATAATTTTTTATACCCTCCAAAAAAAACCATATTGTCCAGTGGCCCCAAGAAAAAGGTAAATACCCTGTGTTGATGGCTTCATTCAGCCAAGGGAGCTACAGACTCCCTCAGTGCCCAGGATGCTGTCTGCGGTGCTGAAAGTGACTTTGCTTCCAGCCAGGATTACACTCATGAACCTGGAGGAGGTGCCTGAACACGCGATTTACGGTTTGGCATTTGACTACATCGGCCTAGATATTTACTTGGTATTTTGTCATCCATTAAATCATAAACATCACATTCTGTATTGGATCCCATCAGTACTGAGGAGGATGGCATCTGGAGGAAAGGGGGATGGGAGAGAGAGGAGGTTGGGTCTTTACACAGAGCCCAAAGCATGCCAGGCATGTTGCTAGTCAGTTCTCCTCAGTCATCTCAGATACCTCCATGGACACCCTGACAGGTGGGTCCCAGGATGGTCATTGTTCCAGTGTGGCTCAGGGAAGCTCAGAGCATGGGCGTGCACAGCACATGACAATATTTGAACCCAGCTCCGCCTACTTGCCCTTATCCCCTTGTGTGACCTCAGTCACCATCTACAGGACATGTTTCTCCCATCCCCTTCCTCCATCCCCACTGCCTTGTTTCTCCCAAGGTCAGCAAGGAATAAGGCAGAGACAGGGGTCAGTATGGCTGGCTGGAGGAACCCTGGGAAGGCTCAGGCTTCGTGTGGATTGTGAGCCTCAGGGGAGTAGGTTTATTCAGGGTCTCACAGTCACCACAAAATAATCAGTTTTCATCGAGTGCAAGAGTGCTCAGCATAATTGGCCAATGGACTCACAACCACCTTCTGGGCCCCCACCTCCTGTGCACCGCGGCATCAACCTGCCCTCATCCCCCTTTGTCTTCAAAGCTGTTTGCCTTTGAAGGAGAGTGGGAGGCACTCCCTGCCTTCACCTCCTTTAGCTCCTCTGCTTAATCCTCCACAGATGTGCCTGTAGCACACGACCTATACATCCAGCCCCACTTTGCACTGCTTCTTGATGGACCCAAACTAACTCAGACAGGAGGAGCTAACCTGCGATGGGGCTCCTGCACCAGAAGTGGCTGTCACCAAGGTCTCACCCAATGGCCTCCTCTCCTCTGTGTGTGTGTGTGTGTGTGTGTGTGTGTGTGTGCACATGTGTGTGCTCTGGTGCTCAGTTCTGACAATCAGCCCCTGGGAACCCCCTTCTAGATGAGGATTTGATCAGCATTTTTTTTAGTGAGAGTGAGAGAGAGGGTCTCACTCTGTTCCCCAGGCTGGAGTGCAGTGGCCCAATTACAGCTCACGACAGCCTCCACCTGCCAGGCCCAAGTGATCCGTCCACCTCAGCATCCCAAGTAGCTGGGACCACAGGTGTGAACCACTATGCCCAGCTAATTGTTTGTTTTGTAGAGATGGGGTCTCCCTGTGTTTCATAGGCTGGTCTCAAACTCCTAGCCTCAAGCAGTCCTTCTGCTTTGGCCTCTCAAAGTTCTGAGATTACAGTCATGAGCCACTGCTCCTGACCTGTTCAGCATCTTGACATCAATAACAGGGTGACTCTAAGGGGGAAAGTTCTCTTCACCTCCATCATCGTCTTACAACTTCCTCTTTCTCCTTCCCACAAAAATATTGCTAAAGGTCCCCTTCCTAGAGCTGGGTCAGGCCTGTGTTACCTGGGCTGTCACCTGACCAGCTCCTTGAAGGCCGGTGGTGCCGTGCAGCTGGATAGAGAGGCGTGAGGCCCAGAGGCTCAGTGGAGGAGCTGTCCTGATCCAGCACTGGGCCCTGTGTGATGGTCTCTACCTGCCTGCAGCAGAGTGAACTGCAGTGGTCTCAGACGATTTTAAAGTAGTATTTTGATTCTTTGTGTTGATTGAACTCTCTGAAGTTGCCATTTTTGTGGATCAAGAACAGCTGACTGCCAGTGATTTCCTGTTTTACAGAGATGCCTTCCTTCAGAATCTTGCTGGGGCCATGAGTGGAGGAGACAGCATGGATTCAGTTGAGGATTCGGGCATTCTTGGGTCCCTGGTCCTAATAACAGCAAATATCATTCAAGCCAATCTCTTCCCAGACGGGCCTGCACAGATCCCACCCGGGAATTGCAATGAAGGTGGGGACTCAGCATGAACTCCAATTCCAATCACAAAAAGCCCAGCTGTTTTCCTAAACAAAAGGGCGTGGATGGGTCCCCTGAGAACCCTTTTCCCTGCACCAGGAGGCAGTGCCCAAAGTGACAACATTAGCCTCAGTCTGGAGGATTGGAAGGGAGCAGGGAGGCCAAGTGGCATGGACCGAAAGCATCCCTACACCACTCACCTGGGTACCAGCACTGCACACCCAGGCTTCAGGCCATTTTCTCTTCCTCCCAACACTCATGATCCCCACTCTTTCTTAAATTCCCAGTCTCGCCCCTCCCGCCACACAGCTGCCCAAACCAGAAACCTGAGGCTCTTTCTCCTCCATCATCCCCATGCCAACCCCTCACTAAATTCTGTCCCGTCTGCCTCTGAACTGCTTATGGAATTCAGTCCTTGGGCTCTAGCTCCCTGCTCCCACCACGGTGAGACCACCAGCCCCGCCTAGGTGATAGTGACAGCGCCTTTCCAGCCTCAGCACCCCACACAAAAGCCAGAGCAGTCTTTAAGTCACAAATCAGCTTCCGCTATAGCCTCATTTCAATGTCATCAGTGTTTCCCACCACTTTCAGGACAATGCCCCGTTGCAGACCTTGACCCAAGGCCCTTCCCCCACCCAGCCTCATCTCTCCCAGCTGCACCTGCGCCTGGAGAAGCCTCGCTCCCAGACACCCTCTGCTCTCTGCTACCTGTTGGCCTTGTCCCACTGTTGGCTCCTCTGCCCAGAGAGCCTTCACTCCCCTCACTTACTCAGGGTTGCTGCCCTCTCATCCTGGAGGCCCCCCATGAGCCATATCAGGCTCCCCTCTGCCAGGACTCCCACTCAACACAATCCAGGATCATGGTTTCTCTGGGAACGTGCTTCTTCCTTGAAGTCACTCAGAGGCCAGGGCTGCACTGCACCTGCATTTCCAGGAGCTCTCCACGGGGACTGGGCACAGCTGGACTCACGCAAATGAAGGTTGCTGTTGTCTCCACAGCCCTTGGGGTCTCTAAGACCTTCCTCCCTGACTGTGGGTCCCAGGATGCAGAACCAGAGGAAACCCATGGGATGTGGGTGATTGAAAACGGGAGGTTGTACTTCCAGGGAAAAGGCACAGAAGAGGATGTGAGGAAAGGCAGAATGCCAGGCTTCAGGCTCAGTGGGAAGGGGGATGTTTAGGGGCTGTGAATTCTCACCAGCAGCCCTGAAGTCTAGTCCCTCAGGGTGACGCTGGGGCCAAATATGTGGGCAGAAATGCTCACTACAGGGTTGGATTACATTCTTCAGTCTTCTTTTCTTGTATTGTATTTGGAATCAATCTCTTAATAGAGTGATAGGATATATCTATATCCATCTGTCTGTCTGTTTATACTTCTATCATCTATTTATATTATCTGTCTGTATCCATCTATCTATCCCACTATCTGCATGTATCTATTTGCCCGTATCTCTCTGTACGTATCTATCTGCCTGTATCTATGTATCTCTCTGGATTTATCTCTCTGTATGTATCTCTCTGCATGTATCTATTGCCACATATCTCTCTGCATTTATCTATCTGCATGCATCTATCTGCTTATAGCTCTCTGCATGTATCTCTCTGCATGTATCTATCTGTATGTATCTATCTACTTATAGCTCTCTGCATGTACCTACTGTATCTGCATGTATCTCTCTGCGTGTATCTCTCTGTGTGTATCTCTCTGCATGTATCTCTGTATGTATCTCTGCATGTATCTACTGTATCTGCATGTATCTCTCTGCATGTATCTCTCTGTATGTATCTCTCTGCATGTATCTACTGTATCTGCATGTATCTATCTGCATGTATCTATCTGCATGAATCTACTGTATGTATCTATCTGCATGTATCTCTTTGCATGTATCTATCTGCATGTATCTCTCTGTATGTATCTATCTGCATGTATCTCTCTGCATGTAGCTATCTACATGTATCTACTGTATGTATCTATCTGCATGTATCTCTTTGCATGTATCTATCTGCATGTATCTACTGTATGTATCTATCTGCATGTATCTCTCTGTATGTATCTATTTCTATCAATATGTGCATCTATCATCTCACCTACATAGAGAGAGAACAGAGTCTTGGAGTAGAAGGAACCACAGCTGGGATTCCTGTGATGACCCCACCCCATTTCCTGGCCCTGTGACTTTATTCAGCTTTGCATTCTAGAAAGAGTTTGGCCTGCATTTGGGCATAGAATCGATTCCTATGTCTGCTCTTGGTGGCCGTGAAACCTTCGACTGTCACATGAACTCTCTGTGCTTTGGTCCTTCATGTGTGAAGTGAGGGAGTTGGTAACCAGTTTGGAGGCTGCAGTGAGGAGTCAGTGAAGCAGGGGTGAGAGTACCCTAGCCTCAAAGAGCCCCCGTTTGCCCTAATGTAAAACTGCATATCTAAGGGTGAGCTTGGGGCCCAGCTAGGCTGGGGTGAGACTGGAACCTAAGCTTTGTTAGGGCAGGGTCCACATCAGTCTAGTTCTCTGTCTAAAGCCTAGCACCTTGCCAGGCAAAAAGCAGGCATGCGTAAAGGTTGATTGAGTCTTCTTGGAAGGGCTGATTTATCTCTGCTCCGTCACATTTCTCAGAGGTGCGCCCCCCTGCATTCCTGAGCCCCAGCCCCCGACAGTGGGGATCTGCCGATGGCCTTTTCTTCTAATTAGCTCCGCATGTCAGCTTGCAAATTGGCAAAACTGTCAGAGAAGCAACAACAGAAAAAAAAGTTTTTAATTAGTGCTTCATAAAGATCAGGAAATGTGGTAAGGGAAAAATGCTTGAATCTGCACGTGGTTCTTTGAACTATAATTAGTATGTTGAGTTTAAAAGTGGTAAAAGCCCATTAGCTCCTGTACTGGCTGCTGAAAAGTTAGATGAAAAAGAGGAGTCTGGGGAAGGCTGGTGAGGATCAACGTTTTCAATTTAAGGAGATGCATTCTCCAGGCCTTAAATGCTTCAGGATTGTCCTTTTCTCTGCATGCACACCCACCCAGCACAGCTGCCTCGTAGTTGGGTGCTGCACTTAGTGATGAGGATAGTGTCCATCTATGGGACGTTCACATCTGATGAAGGGACCAGGATTCTTCTTGCCACAGTTTCTGGACAGGCTGGGAGTAAGAGTTCAGGGCATGCTTGGGTACTTGGGGAGCTGAGAAGTGACCTGAGCCGGGTTCATCTCAGGCCCACGTGGAACCTCAAAAGGCCCCCTGACCCCTTTGGGCAACAGTTTCCTCCTTGGAAAGTTGGAAGAGGTCAATCAGGGCTGGGCTCTGTGAGTCTTTGAATTTCCTGATAATGAATCCTATTTAAGTAATGGGGAGGGGGGAAAGAAAGGGAACCCCCCGGCCAGGCGCGGTGGCTCACGCCTGTAATTTCAGCACTTTGGGAGGCCGAGGTGGGTGGATCACGAGGTCAGGAGATCGAGACCATCCTGACTAACACGGTGAAACCCCATCTGTACTAAAAATACAAAAAATTAGCCGGGTGTGGTGGCGGGCACCTGTAGTCCCAGCTACTGGGGAGGCTGAGCCAGGAGAATGGTGTGAACCCAGGAGGCGGAGCTTGCAGTGAGTCGAGATCATGCCACTGCACTCCAGCCTGGGTGACAGAGTGAGACTCCATCTCAAAAAAAAAGGGAACCCCCCAAAAGTTCAGTTCACCTGAATTCATTGGCCCCGAACCTCATTTATTCCTGAAAGGGCACCTGAAGTCCCACCTTCTCTCAGAATCCTTCCAAAGCTTCCCACCTGCAGGAATTTCCCTTCCTTAAGCTCCATGACATCATAATAGTAATTATAAGGATTAGAAACATGAAGAAGCCACGTTCTCTGTGCCTTCTAAGTCACAACTCACCTATTTCTCACTGCATTAGACTCATTTTATAGATGGAGAAACAGAGAAAGAATGTGAAGCCGCTTCTTGTGGCAGAACTTGAACTCAAACCCAAGCCTGACCCCAGAGCCCACTCTCTTAACTGACACCCACCACCACAATTTTCTTTTTTAGCAGGTTGACCATACACCAGGTGTTGAATTAGGTACATGAATTAGGTTGTCTATTAAACCTCAAACATTCCCGTAGTGAGGCTCAAAGATGCAACCACTGAAGTGGAGGAAGCTGAAATATCTTCCCGCTGTTTTGGGCTAGGAAACTGCCGAGCTGAGATCTGAACTCAGAACTCTCCTGGCAGTGGCTGCCTTCATGTGGCATCAACAGCACATGGTTCGAATTCCACTGCTGATCATTTCACAGCACTGTTTAGCACTTTAAGTAGAATACACATTCAGAGAAGTGCACGTATCATAAGGGAACACACTTGATGAGATTTTACAGAGATTTTACTGAGTGAGGTCCCCCAGCTAACCATCAACTGGGTCAGGAAACAGAACATCACTGGCACCACAGAAGGCTCCCTTCCCTGCCTGTGACCACCTTCCAAAGGTCTCTGCTATTCTAACCCTGACACAGAGATGAGTTCTGCCTGACTGGAGTTGGGTACAATGCACTCCTGTGTGTCCGGCTCCCTTCTCTCTACATTGTGTCTGTGGATCATCCCTGCGGTTGCAGGGAACAGCACTCCCTTACTTTAATTTCTCTATTACCCCTCCCCCCGTATGACACCATGGAGATTTATCTCTCCATTCTACTGTTGAGGGACAATGTAATTGGTTCTAATTTTTTTTGCCTATTATGAGTAGAACTGCTATAAAGCTTCATACACACCTTTTGGTAAATAAACACATTTATGTTGGGTATATATCAATGAGCAAATTAACAGGTCATAAATGCTGGCAGGCGTGGTGTTGGGAAACACGGGTGGATGGATCTTCAGCATGGCTGTGTCAACTCACTCTTACCAGTGTATTGCCAGTTACTTCACATCTTTGTCGACACTTTGTACCTTCAATTTAAAAATTTAGCCATTCTGTGTAGTGATACTGTTTTGTAATTTTAATACGCATTTTCTGGATAACTCATGAGGGTCAGCACACTTGTATAGTAACCAATTCAATATCCTTATGGAGCGCTTGTATGAGCTATTTGCCAACTTTTTCTAAAAAAAAATAATTGTGTGGTGGCTCACACCTGTAATCCCAGCACTTTAGGAGGCCGAGGAGGGCAGATCACTTGAGGTCAGGAGTTTGAGACCAGCCTGGCCAACATGGTGAAACCCTGTCTCTACTAAAAATACAAAAATTAGCCAGGTGTGATGTTGGGCACCTGTGATCCCAGCTACTCGGGAGGCTGAGGCAGGAGAATGGCTTGATCCCCGGAGGTGGAGGTTGCAGTGAGCCGAGATCATGCCATTGCACTCCAGCCTGGGTGACAGAGGGAGACTCTGTCTAAAAATAAAAAATAAAAAAAAATAAAAGTTTGTGTTTTTTCTATTAATTTTTGGGGGTTTCCTTTAAAACATATATTCTGGAGATGAGTCTTTTGATGGACATAAATGATCAATTCTGATAAAATCCCATGTTTTAACCTTTTCCTTCATGGTTAGCAACCACCTCAAGGTCATGCCCTATATTATGTCCTGGAGGCTTTATTGTTCTACCTTTCACTTTCAGGTCTAAAATCTATCTGGCCTGATGCTTTGAGGTGGTTTTTAAGCTACTTTTAAATCATGTGAAATGAGGGTCAATTCATTTTTCCCATCTAGTTATTGGATTAGGTCAACATGATTTATTAGGAAGACTCGCCCCACCGTATTGGAGCGGCACTGCATCAAACATTCTGAGGATTTTCTTTGTGAAAGGATTTTTATCTACAAACTCAGTTTCTTTGTATAAGTTAAGGGGTATCCCAGACAGCTATTTCTTTTTGAGAGAACTTTGGTTATTTGTGTATTTAACTAATTTGTGAATTTTATCTAGTTTGTCAAATTTATTGGAATGAAGTTAATCATATTTCCCAACTATCTTTTTAATATCTATATAATCTGTAGTGATGTCATCATTCTCATTTCTGATATTTATAATTTATGTCTTCTCTCTTTCCTCCAGTCAGTCTGGTTAGAGGTTTACCAATTTTAATGACCTCAAAAAAAAAAAAAAAAAAGCTTTTGGCTTCATTGATCTTCTTTCTTGTTTTTCTGTTCTCTATTCCATTGATTTATTCTCTTTTCTTTATTGTTTCCTCACTTTTGCTTAATTTCAGTTTAATTTTCTTTCCTTTTACTGGCTCTTTAAGGTTAAAGGAGAGAGCTTTGATGTGAAACCTTTCTTTTCATCTACTAGTGGTCTTCTGGGCTCTAAATCTCCTCCTATCTGCTGTTTGAGGGACATCTTTCAAGTTCTGATATGCTCTGTTTTCATTTCCATTCAGTTCGAAACACTTTCTAATTTCCCTTTGGATTTCTTCTTTAATGCATGGGTTATTTACAAGTATGTTATTCAGTTTTCAAACATTTGGGAACTTTCCAGAAATCTTTCTGCTACTGATTTCTAATTTCAGTCCATCGTGGTTACAGAGCACACTGTGTGTGAGCCTTAGTCCGCCGTGTGCTGCTGCAATAAAATCCCTGAGACCAGGTAATTTGTAAAAACCAAAAATGTATCTTCTCACAGTTCTGGAGGCTGGGAAGTCTGAGATCAAGGTGCTAGCAGGTCCAGTTGCCTGGTGAGGGCTGCACCCTCCAGACAGAAAGGACACCGAGTCCGCACAGGAGGAAGGCGGAAGGGCTAGTGGAGGAAGCCTCGGGCAGAACGGCCTTCACCCCACCCACGGGAGGAGCCGCACGGCGGATCACCTCTCAACATCATCACGCTGGCGAGACCTGCATTTTGGAGGGGACACACTCACGCCACAGCCCATGACCTGAATCCTTTCAAATGTACTGAGATTCTGTTTTGATGACCCCGGATAGGGCCTGTCTTGGCAAATGTTTCACAGGTATGTGAAAAGGAAAACGTGCTTTATAAATAACTGTTAATCAGGTCAAGTCAATTCATGCTGCTGTTCAAGTCTTCTATGTCCTTACAGACTCTCCCTCCTTATTTTATCAATTAGGGAAAGATGGATGTTTCCATCTCGCTATTTCTGTGGATTTGTCCATTTTCCTTTTGTTTCTAACAGTTTTTGCTTCATGCACTGTGAACCTCTGTTATTAATCCATGAACATGTAGGATTGTTATGTCCTCTCGATGAGTTGACCCCTTTATCATTTTTGAAATGATCTTAAGATCTCTTGTAACACTCTCTGCTCTGAAATCTATTTTGTCTGAGTTTAATGTAGCAACTCCAGGTTTCTTTTGGTGAGTGCTAGCAAAATATACCATTTTCCATCATTCTACCTTTATTTGTGTCTTTATATCCAGAGTGGGCTTTTTGCAGGTAGCATAGAGCTTGGTCTTTTATTTTTTTTCTTCATCCAATTTGGAAATCCCTGTCTTCTAACTGAGGTATTGAGAACATTTAAATTTAAAATAATTATTAATAATACTTGGTTTCATGCTGCGTTCTGAGGTTTATCTTCTATTTGTCCTTTTTTTCTCTTTAATCGACATAGCAATGTCCATTTCTAGAAGTTCAATTTGGGTCTTTTCCTATCTTCTGTGTTATGATGTAATACGTCCAGTCTTCTCTGGGTTTTTTTTTTTTAATATACAGAATATAGTTATAAGAGCAGCTTGAATGTCCTTGTGTTTTGCTCTTATGATCTGTGCCATCGTCTCTTGAATGCTTTTTTGTCGTCAACTTGGATCAGACTTTCTGCTTCTTTGCATACCTGGTAAATTGATTGTATAACAAATGTTATAATTTTGTCTTGTTGGGTGCTGTATATTTTTGTGTTTCTGTAAATATATTTGAGGATACAGTCAAGTTACTTGGAAATAGTTTGATCCTTTTGGTTCTTCTTTCGAGTTTAGTTAGACTGAATCAGAGCCACAGTTACTGGAGGGATAATTATTCCCTTCTACTGAGGCAAGACCTTTCAACACCTGATGCCCCATGAATTGTGATGTGTTGAAGTTTAATTGTTGGGATAGAAAATATTCCTAATATTTCCTACCCTGCAGGAGCCTAGAAATTTTTCCACAGCCTTGGTAATTTGGGGGTTTCCTCACCACATGCATATGCTATCATTTTACTTTAACATATGCTATGAATCCCATACAACATTGTTATTATTTTTGCTTTAAAGTGCTCATTTCTTAAAAAATGTTTTCATCATAAAATAATAAAATGCATACAGAGAATAAAATACAATACATGTGTGGTTTACAAATTATTCTTAAGCAAACACCCTGGTAACTCCCATCAGTTTAAGAAACATGGTTTTGTCACCCACCCTGGGAACCATGTCCATCAGCCTTGCCTCAGTCAGGCCCCTCCACCTGCTCCACACCCCATAAGTAAACATAATCCTGATTTTTATAGTAATCGTATCTTTTTAAACAAAATAGTTTTATCATTCAAATGTGAATTCCTGGACATTACAAATTAGTCTTGTCCAATTTTAAAATTTGACATGTCTTTTAAGCTTCTTTTATCCTGTAAACTCCCTTTCTACTTTTTTTCTTTTCTGTGCCATTATCTGTGGGGAAGTCTGGTTCCTTTGAGTCGTGGACTCTCCTGCAGTCTGGAATTTGCTGATAACACTCTCAACATGCTCCTCTGTCCTTTATATTTTTTTTGCAAATTGGCAGCGGGAGCCAGAGACTGGGTCATGCTCAGGCTTAATCCCTTTGTAAAGATGCTATTTGGTGTTTGGCCAGAGCGTGGGAGGCACGTAATTTTCAATTGTACCTCTTTTTGCCATGCGAAACAGCATCGATTTTTAATGCCCACATTTACTAATTCATTCAGAGTTGCAAAGCGTGATATTCTCATTCTGGTGACTTTTTGGCTTATTATTTGTCAATTGACATTTCAAGCATTTCAGGAAAAAGTCATCTTATTTACCCACATCTGTTCCATTTCCAGTGCCATCCCCTTTTTCCTTTCACTAAAGGAAATTTTTTGTTCCAGTGTGAAAGTCCTGGTGATGAATTCTCCCGGTTTTCATTTTATGAAAATATCTTTATCTGACCCTCAATTTTGAAAGCATTTTGCTGGTTATAAAATTCTAGGTTCACATTTAAGACGCCACTCCATTGTCTTCTGGCCTGAGGGTTTCTGATGAGAAATAAACTGCGACCTGTTTCTTTACCTTCTGCCTGTCTGTCCCTTCTTACCCCTCCAAATGCCTTTAGGATTTTCTCTTTAACTGGGATCTCTATCCATTTGACAAGGATGTGCCTAGCTGTTCTTTTCTTTGCATTTATTTTGCTTGATTTTATTGAATTTTCTGGAATAATAGATTGATGTTTTAATCACATTTAGAAAATTTTTAGCTAATATGTATTTAAATATTTTTTCTTCCATTCTGCTTCTCCTTTTTGGATTTCTGATATATATATATATATATATATATGTGTATGTGTATATATATGTATATGTATATATATGTATGTGTATATATATGTATATGTATATATATGTATGTGTATATATATGTATATGTATATATATGTATGTGTATATATATGTATATGTATATATGTATAAGTATATATGTATATGTATATATGTATATGTATATATGTATATGTATATATATGTATATGTATATATGTATATATATGTGTATATATATACATATGTTACATTGCTTAATATTTCTACACAGGTGGCTAAGGCTATGTTTACTTATTTTCAGTCTTTTTTTTCCTCTATACTTCAGTTTATTCAAACTCTCATGCTCTGCCTTTAAGTTGAATGATCCTTTCTATTGCATGGATTTTGTTCTTCTCTTTTAGAATTTCCATAGCTCTCCAAAAATTTCCTACCACTTCACTCATTATATACATTTTACCCTATAAATACTTAACATAGTTATGGGTATTTTAATGTCATTTTCATCTAATTCCAACATCTATACCATGCCTGGGTCTTCTTCTATGAACCGTTTTTTCCTTTGACTTTGGATGACAGCTTACTGCCTCATTCCATGTCTAGTAATTTTTGTTTTTATAATGAACATTGTGGATGATAAGTTGTAGAATCTCGAGATTCTGTTATCTTCTCCAAAGACTGTTAATTTTGTTCTAGATGGCAATTAAATTACTGGCATATCATCTTGGTCCTAAGGTCCTACCTGCTGTTAGAAAAATCTATTCAATTTTGCCCTCAGCCTTAGGGCCTCAGTACTAGTTTTAGGATGCAGTTCTGAATTCTTCTGGGGTTCCAGTGGAATGCCCGCAGTGTTTATCAAGGCCCTCTAACATGGTGAAACTTGAGCTCTAAACTGTTTCTGCAGCACTGTGCAGTTGCTGAATTCTCTGCTGTCTTTCAGCCTTCCAGCTATTTTTTGGTGAGGCTCCATAGAGATTTGCCCTGTGTATGTGCATGTGCATGTATATGTGTGTGTGCACATGTATGTGCATCTACATGTGCATGTGTATGTACATGTGCATGTGTATTTGCATGTGTGTGCATTTGCATGTGCATGTGTACGTGTGTGTGCATGTACGTGTGTACGTGTATGTGCATGTGCATTTGCATGTGCGTGTGTATGTGCATACGCATGTGAATTTTCATGTGCGTGTGTATGTGTATGTGCATGTGTGTGTGCATTTGCGTGTGCCTGTGTGTTCATGTCTGTGCATTTGCATGTATGTGTGTATGTGTATGTGCATGTGTACGTGTGTACATATGTGTGCATTTGTTTATGTGCATATGTGTGCGTGTACATGTTTGTGTATGTGTGTGTGCATTTTCATGTGCATGCATATGTGTATGTGCATGTGTACTTACATGTACCTTTGCATGTGTACATATGCATATTTGCACATCTATGTGCATGTGATTTTGCATGTGCATATGTGCATGTGCAGGTGTACGTGTGTGTGCATTTGCACATATGTGCACGTGTATGTTTATGTGCGTGTGTGCATGTGTGTATGTGCATTTGCATGTGCATGTGTGTCTGCATGTGCATGTGCATGTGGATGTGGATGTACGTGTGCATGTGAGTGTGTGTGCACATGCATGTGTATATGTGTGTGCATGTGTATATGTATGTGCATTTGCATGTGTGTGCATGTGTATGTGCCTGTGTAAGTGTGTGTGCATTTGCACATATGTGCATGTGTATGTTTATGTCCATTTGTGCATGTTTGTGTGTATGTGTATCTGCATGTGCATGTGTATCTGCATGTACATGTGTATATGTATGTGTTGTACATGTGCATGTGAGTGTGCATGTGAGGAGTGTGCATGCGAGGAGTGTGCATGTGAGTGTGCATGTGTATATGTATGTGCATTTGCATGTGCGTGTGCATGTGTATGTGCCTGTGCACGGCAGAGTGAGCCAAGAATTTGAGGGAAGTGTACAGATTCAGGGAATCATCCTATGCAACTTCCTCAATCCAGCATTTTCTTCTTCAATTTCCAGCCCCGCTGGAAGTCCTAAACATGGATTCCTGATTCCCCAGCCCGGTGAGACTGCTGCTTTCTTGTCCTCTAATCTTCTTGGGCCCTGCAGACGGGAAATTCCCTCAGGAGAATAGCCAGATGCACATAAAACTTACCCAGATTAAACCCCTTATCTCAGGAGCTGTGTCTCTCCTCCAGATTCTGCCTGTTTAGTCACTCTCCAGTGCCTCCCAACAGTTATTTTGATGTCTTACCCAGAGCTTATACATGCAGAGATTGGACATGTTGCAGGTTTGGTTCCAGACCACCACAATACAGTAAATATCACAATAAAATGAGTCACAGTTTTTTTGGTTTCTCTGTACATATAAAAGTTATATTTAGACCATCCTTGAGTCTACTAAGCGTGCAATAGCATTATGTCTAAAAATGTACATACTTTAATTTAAAAATACTTGATTGCTAAAAATGCTGATGATCCTCTGAGCCTTCAGGGAGTCATCATATTTTTGCTGGTGGAGGATCTTGCCTGGGTGATGTTGGCTGCTGATGGATCAGGGTGGAGGTTGCTGAACACTGAAGTGGCTGTGTCAGTTTCTTAAAATAAGACAATAGTAAAGCTGGCTGCATCAATCAACTCTTTCTTTCACAAAAGCTTTCCCAGTAGCATGAGGTAGCAATTGACCCATGGTAGAACTTCTTTCAAAATTGGAGCCAACCTTCTCAAACCCAGCCACTGCTTTCTCAACAAAGCGTATGGAATATTATAAATCCTTTGTTGTGATTTCAACAATGTCCACAGCATCTTCACCAGGGGTAGATTCCATCTCAGGAAACCACTTTCTTTGCTCATCCATAAGAAGCAGCTCGTCATCTGTTCAGATTTGATCATGAGATTGCAGGAATTCAGTCACATCTTCAGACTCCACTTCTAATTCTAGTTTTCTTGCTATTTCCACCATATCTACAGTTCCTTCCTCCACTGAAGTCTGAAATCCCTCAAAGGGTTGGAATCAACTTCTTCCAAACTATTAATATTGACATCTTGGCCTCCTTCCATGAATGACAAATGTTCTTCATGACAGAAATCTATCTGTGGCATCTGTAGTATTACAAAATGTATTTGTTAAATAAGAAGAAAGTTGAGATGACTCCTTGATCCAGGGCTGTAGAAGGGATGTTGTCCTAACAAGCATAAAAATAGCAAAACAACGTTCATCTCCTCGTACATCTCCATCAGACCTTTTTTTTTTTTTTTTTTTGGACAGAGTCTCACTCTGTCTCCCAGGCTGGAGTGCAGTGGCATGATCTTATCTCACTGCAACCTCTGCCTCCCAGGTTCAAGCAATTCTTGTGCCTCAGCCTCCCGAGTAGCTAGAATTAATTACAGGCATGTGCCACCATGCCTGGCTGATTTTTGTATTTTTAGTAGAGGTCGGGTTTCACCAAGTTGGTCAGGCTGGTCTTGAACTCCTGACCTCAGGTGATCCACCTACCTGGGCCTCCCAAAGTTCTGGGATTACAGGCATGAGCCACCATGCCCGGCCTCCATCAGAGCTCTTGAGTGACCAGGTGAACTGTCACATTAGTATTTGGAAAGTAATCTTTTCTTCTTTTTTTTTTTTTTCTGGGCAATAAGTCTTAACATTAGGCTTAAAATATTCAGTAAACCATGCTGTAAACAGGTTTGTCATTCAAATGTTGTCATTCAGCCTTGTTGTTCCATGTCTAGAGCACAGGCAGAGTGGATTTAGCATCATTCTTAAGGGCCCTAGGATTTGCATAATGGGAAATGAGCATTGGCTTCAGTTTAAAGTCACCAGCTGCATTAGCCCCTCACAAGGGAGTCAGCCTGTCCTCTGAAGCTTTGAAGCCAGGCATTGACTTCTCCCCTCTAGCTGTGAAAGTCCTAGATGGCATCTTCTTCTAGTAGAAGGCTGTTACATCTACTCTGAAAATATGTTGTTTATTGTAGCCACCTTCATGTTTATTGTAGCCACCTTCCTCAATGATCTTAGCTAGGTCTAACGGACGTCTTACTGCAGCCTCTCCACAAGCGCTTGCTGCTTCGTCTTGCACTTTTGTGTTACAGAGTCAGCCTCTTTCCTTAAACCTCATGAATCAACGTCTGCTAGCTTCAGGCTTCTCTTCTGCAGCTTCCTAACCTCTCTCAGCTTTCACAGAATTGAAGAGAGCTAGGGCCTTGCTCTGGACTAGGTTTTGGCTTAAGGGAATGTTGTGGCTGGTTTGATCTTCTGTCCAGACCACTCAAACTTCCACCATCTCAGAAAGAAGGCTGTTTCACTTTCTTATCATTTGCGTGTTTTCTGGAGCCGCACCTTTAATTTCCTTCAAGAGGTTTTTCTTTACATTCACAACGTGGCTGTTTGGCCCAAGAAGTGCAGCTTTTGGCCTATCTCAGCTTTCAACCTGCTTTCTCACTAAGCTGAAGCATTTCTAGCTTTTGATTGGAAGTGAGAGAAGTGTGACTCTTCCTTTCATCTGAACATGAGGCCATGGCAAGGTTATTAATTAGTCTAATTTCAATATTGTTGTGTCTGAGGGAACACAGAGGCCCTAGGAGAGGGAGAGAGATGGGGAGACGACTAGGAGAGCAGTCAGGAGACACACAACATTTATTGGTCAAGGTCATAGTCTTTCATGGGCACAATTCATGGTGCCCCTAAACAATTGCAATAGTAACATCAAAGATCACTGTTCACAGATCACCATAAAAGGCATAATTTAAATGTTCGAAATATTGCAAGAATTACCAAAACCTAAGAATTACAGAAATAACACAGAGACCTGAAGCGAACCCATGCTCTTGGGAAAATGGCACAGACTTGCTCAGCGCAGGGTTGCCACAAACCTTCCAGCTTTGAAAATCGTAGTATCTGGCAAGTGCAATCAAATGGGGTTCTCCTGTGATGATTTCTGGTGGGAAGGTTCGTCCAATGTAAGCCCCTTCCCATTTGGCAAAGCTGTGATGTTCTCATGCATTCTTCTTTCGCATATGTGTGAATCCTACTGTTTTTCATTATTATCCACATATTTGCCCTCTTCGTTCTTCTCATTGCCCTTCCCAATTACCCTGCTTACATTGCAGATAGTTTTCTTCTGAACTGGGAAAGCTTTCCAGAGAATTTTATAGGCAACTTGATGTACGCTAAGCTGCTTGGCAGCCCCGGCTTATGACACCTCAGGGAACTTCCCCACACAGCGGACCAGAGCCATGCTCTCTCCAGTGAGGTCTGGATTGCAGATGTGGGTCCCCTCTTCCAGATGCCTTCCTCACTCAGTGGCACCACCACAGTCCCTGGGGTAGGGCTCTCCCTGCAGCTTTTATCCCTGTGCTATTTGCTGTTCTCTTTGCACCCTGGTAGGAGGTCCTTGGTATCAGATACTGATTCTTTCTGTTAATATTTCTCGGTTCAGATTTATGGTTTCTGTCTCCTACAGGGGTTCTGGCTTAGAGCATTCTTAGTTTCAATTATTGTATGTTTGAGTTGTTATTCTTCCCAGTTGTGGGGTAAGATTCTCAGTTTGATTATGTATTTTCTTGAATTATTACATTTTTGTTAAAGTCTCTGTCTAAAAACTGCAAAATCTAGATCCCATGGAGATCTGTTTCTATTGTCTTATTTTTCATGTTATTCTATCTTGTCTATGGGCAGGCCTGGCACATTTGTGTCGAATGTCTGAGATGGTGCATGGAAAGCATTAGAAGGTCTGGATGAGGCTGTCTTCCTCGAGAGCGCATTAATCTTCTCCTGCCCAGCTGTTAGAGTAGAACAGGATATAGATACAAACAGGCCCTGAAATGTTTTGAGGCCAGGTGTTGGGCATTGCAAAGACTGACTTGGCTCTAGTTTGTCTTTGCTGTTGGTCTACAGCACTGCTGAGGCCTCTACTGGAACAGGAGGTGCTCACTAGGGCCCTTTCTCTTCTTGGAAGTTTTTGTCTTATTTGACTCTCCAGCTCTCCTTGGCTACTTAGCACTGAGCAGCTGCTTTGTGCTTGATTTGTAAGCCTCTTATGAACCTATGCACCTTGAGACTTGACAAATTCCCCAAGAGAAAAATCTGTGCAAAATGGTGGACTCGCTTCTCTGGAAATCTGTTTTCTCATGGATCGTGCCCCCTCAAATCCTGACGGCCTGGAAAGCCTTGGCTTCCCCTTTGATCTTTTCAGATGCATGGGACGCAGCTGTCTTTTGGACTCTTCCCCACATGGCAGATGATACATGCTCCTGAGGAAAGGTGGCTACAGCACTTAGCTTGTCTCCTGTGTTCCCTCCTCTCGGGGAGGCGACCCTGGCACCTAAGATCTTTACCATCTTGATTACTTTCCAATGCCTTGAAACAGCAGCTTTTCTTGCCTGCTCTCCAGCTTTAATATCTATTAATTGTGGGAGGGTTGGTCTGGTGCAACACATTCTATAAGCAGAGGGTATCTGTTCTATTCAATTGATTTTTTGCCATAACCAGACAATAAGCTTCTACAGGCTGGGTTTTTAAAAATGTTTTTAATTTCACACAACCTAATTTGGTTCTGAGCTCTCTCTTGGGGGTCCAGCAAACACAATTTTATGTAGAAACCAAAAACTGAAGCAAATACTTAGATTATTTCAGGAAAAATCATCTCTGGTTGTATTTATCCAGGCTGCCTGTACACAGTCCAGACAAAATCAAGAATAATTTGGCAGTGCTTTGGAGTGTAGACCACACACCAATGTTTGAATTTCTTAAATAAATGTTATTTGAGCTCTGTCATAGCCAAATTTGCATTTCTTTTACCTGGAACTCTGAATTTTGGTCTTGTCTATGCTGGAGGTTCTGAGATGCTTTTGAGCACAAGTAAGTTTTCACACCATCATGTCAACTTCAAAGATGAGTGGGCGTGTTCCTAGAACACACAAGTGCCCTTAACATCTCATGATAAATCCATCCTTCTGGAATTGTCCATGGCCATCAGGGGCTACTTTGGAAGTAAGACTGGCTAGGATTGGATTTCCATTCTAAGCAGAGGGACTCTGCAAAGGTTCCTGAATTTCTATAAGTCCCAATTTATTCATCACTTAAAGGAGAGTTGCAGTTCCCACCTCAAGGATTTGTCATGAAAATTAAAAGCAATAAAAGAGATGTTGCAGTAAAGCACAGACAGACAGACATCAAGAGAAGCTGATCTCTATGTGCCACTGTTCTTTCCTTCTCTCCTAAGCCATGTTCTTCCAGATCCCCCAGAAAGCCCCCTGCTCCCCCGCTCTGTACCCCAAGGCACTCTGTCTCCATGTCTGTTCACTTCTTAAGGTCAGGAACTTGAGGTCTGCTTTATGCTTGGGCAGAGGGCCCGGTTTGGAGGAGGTGCTCAGGGCAGCTCCATCCAGTGCAGCAGACTGGTTCATGCACATATGTAGGGCAGCAGCACCGAATGGGCACCTGCTGTCTGCTGGGACGTGGGGATGCAAAGAAGGCCCATGAGCCAGGCCTCCTGGATGAAAGGCCTCTGAGGGCCTGACTGCTGGGCAGTGGTGGAGAAGACGCCCCTGAGCGGCGGTTGTGCATCTGGTGGAAGAGTGTGGAAGGCGAAGAGTGTGGAAGGTGGCTTGTGGGAAAGGATGGGAAGGGCTTCCCAGGAAGAGGCAGTGTGAGGAAAGGCGCTGGCCCCACATATCCCCCCCGGGAGAGGTGCATGAGGAGCACTGGAGGGAGTGCTGGGGAGAAGTCACGTTCTCTGTCATGGGAATCACACTGTCTCCTCTTCCCATTCAGGCAGCTATTTGGTGAGACCACCATTAATTTGGTGAGCCCAAGGAGAGCCACCACCCTGACTCCCTCCACCCTACCATGCCTGAGCTGGCTCACCCCTAACTGTTGCTGATGATGCCCTGGGCAGAACAATGGGACATGGAGCCTCAGACCACACATGTCCCCAGATGGGCATGCCCACCACTCTGTGCTCCAGAGGTGCATGCCTGCAGGGGAGACCCTCAGGCCAGAGCATTCATAGTGAGCAAGAGTGTTTGCCTCTAGCCCCACGTGTCTTACTAATAGGGAGCTCCCCACGCCATGAACGAGGCTCAAGAGCGCCTTCTGGCTGGAGCCAGGGCTGACCTGGACATGTCCCCCTTGTTCTGCTCTTCCACCGTGAGGATGACCGGAAGCAGGAGCAGGCACGCAGGGAAGCCCCTGCCCCTGCTCATGATGCAGGGTGCTGCTTGGAGCCCAAGAAATGCACTTCACAGAGCACGAAGACACTCTCAAGGCCCACGTCTTATCTGCGTTCCCCAGAAGCAGATCCTGAGATGAGGATTTTAGGTGCAAATTGTTTATTTGAGAGGGATTTCAGGAAGCACCAATTAGAGAGTGGGGACCTGAGACAGAGGAAGAAGCAGCCAACCAAGGGGGCGTTTCCAAGCCAGTGACCCAGTGGGCACGAGAAGCCCACCCCCAGGACTTGTCCTCAGTGTCTAGCACACACCCTAACCTTATCCCACTTAAGGGGCGAGAGAATTGGGGTATTCACATATCAACTCCCACCACCGCTGGGTGAGGGCTGCTCCTGGGGAGTGTGAATCCCCAGAACCTCTGACCCCTTCTGCATGTGGGCGGGGCCTCCTGGCAACCAGGGAGAGGGCAGGTAAAGGAGCACTGATGGCTGCAGGTGGCAGCACGGCTGTGTGCACTGGGAGAGTGAAGCCGGGTGGAACTGCATGCCGGCTACAGCCTCTGTCCCAGCCCCACCCAGTCTGACTGCCCTTCAGGAGTTCACTCTCCTTCCAATGAGGGAAGAGGATGCAAGGCAGATAGAGAAGGCAAGGCAGACAGAGGAGACCAATCCTATGCCATCTAATGCTGGGTGGAGCAAAGGGGTTTGCAGTCTCTCCGGCCTCCCACTGGCAGCTCCAGCCCAGGAGCCTTGGCCCAGAGGCACTTCTCTCCCCTAATCTCTTCTTCCTGGGATTGGAGTCAAAGGAGAGCCTCGGTTCCCCAAAGCTGACCTGGGTTCTCCGCTGTGGGCTGCCCAGGCATGGCCTCTGCCTGGCAGATACTAAGTTGGGTGAGTTGGACCACAGGCTTCCAGGATGAGGGACTCACCATGGGATGGAGGACTTAGAACCCTGCCCATAGGCCTTGGGGAGAGGCCTTCTCCCTTCCCCCTCTCGCCCTCATCTCCAGCTTCTACCTCTGTGAAGCCGAATCTGACCACCTGGAAAGCACACCTAGTTCCTTTTCTTTTCTTTTCTTTTCTTTTTTTGTTTAGAGAGTCTCACTCCATCCTCAGGCTGGAGTGCAGTGGTGTGATCACAGCTCACTACAGTCTCAACCTCCTCGGACTCAGATCATCCTCCCATCTCAGCCTCCCAAGTAGCTGGGACTACAGGCGCATGCCCCATGCCCAGCTAATTTTTGTATTTTCAGTGGAGATGGAGTCTTGCCATGCTACCCAGGCTGGACTCAAACCCCTGGCCTCAAGCAATCCACCCACCTTGGCCTCCCACAGTGTTGAAATTCCAGGTGGGAGACCACGTGCCTGGCCATGCTTCTTCCAGGTGAGGCCAGCATGGAGCTCCTCTGTCTTCCTTTGAGTCTCCTTCTAGAAAGAAAAACCCAAGTCCACCGTACACTTGAATTACTCAAATGTTTCCACCCCCTCTGCCTCTCCTTTCCCCTCTTGCCCCCTCCCCACCGAGCTCCCCAAGCTGCCCCCGCAGTGCACAGGCCAGGAGCCGCCTCAAGGAAGCCGCACTGCATGGTTTGATGCTGGACACCCGGAGCGCAGGATCTGCCAGCCTGACTCCACCAGGGCCCCTCCGGCATGAATCGGAGGATGGTTTAGAGAGCAGGAAGAAAGGGGTAGATAAGGCAGCCCAGCCTTCCTTAGCTGCTGGAGATAAGAGGAGAAGTGCCTGGAAGGTGTGTTTTATCACATGGAGTTGCTTAAAGTCAGTGGCCTTGTCCCCACTAAGCCCAGGAATCTCAGAAATCCTTAAGGGAGCCCCTGTCATTACTGAAAAGCTCTGCTTGTGAGAAAAGGGCCTCTCTCGATTGAGTCAAAGTCGGCATCCAGGTCTTCCAGACATTGGCTCCCAGGTCTGCTGTCTTCTGGCTCACAGCACCCTCCACTCTCTGCCCGTCACTCCTTGTAAAAACATGAACACAGTGAACATCCCTGCTCCACAATACACACACGTGCTCGCACATGCGCACACACATGCGCATGCATGCATGCACTCACACATGCACACGCACACACATGCACACGCACACACATGCACTCACACACATGCACCCACACGCACACACATGCACATACACATGCACACACACATGCACACACACGTACACACGCACACACGCACATGTGCACACACACATGAACACACATGCACGTGCCCTTCCCTGAATCTGTATCCAAGCCCCCAGTCGCTGCTCACCTCTGCTCACCACGGCAGGTTTTCTCACCCTTGCCGTGCTAGGACTCCTCCTCAGAGGCACTCATAAATTATAGACTCATGAAATGTCACAGATTTGGGAAGGGCCTTTGGAGGTCATTGGGTTCAACGCCCTTACTGTACTTGCGGGAAATCTGTAGGCCCAGAGATTGTACGCAGGACGTGCCACGGGCCACGCAGCAAATCAGTGGCCGAGCCCGCCCCTGCGTTGATGTCACTTGACTCCATGACTAAGCTCTTTCCCAGGTGCAAACTCCACCCTAATCTGTTCATACCGTGTTCCTAAAAATAGAGCCCTGTGCTGAGGGAGGGAGGTGGAGTCCCGGCTTCACTCTCCTTCATGAGGAAGAAGTGGCTTCCAAGGAGTCTCTCTAAGGAGCTGGGGGAGCCGCTGTTCCCCCACAAGTACTTGCACAGCAGGTGAGCTGTGCTGGAGTCAGCCTGAGGAAAGCCGCCGCCAGCTTTGCAGAAAAGCCTTTTGCAACCATAGAAGTACAAAGCACCTGAATCCAGTGGACTCACCCTCATGGGAGAGCAGATAATGGCTTCCAGGTCTCCACTCCCGTGCAATGGGCTGTCCTGAGTTGGATGCTGTCCAGCAGAATGTTGGCTCAATGGAAGAAGGACTTTGCAAAGATGGAGTACACAAGAAAGGGGTGCTGTCTGAGTTAGACATTGGGGTTAGATGTTCTGCCCTCTGCCAAAGGCATTGGGGATGCCCCCAGTATTGTCGTCCAGTTACTTCCCCACCTCAGCTGATGCTGAGCTCGGCCATTTGACTGCCTTTGGCCAAAGGAACATGGGCGGAAGCGACCGTTTGCAATTTTGACCTGAGGCCCTCAGAGGCCATGCATTTTCCTCTTGCTTTCTTCTTTTGCTCCTAATAGGAGAGAAATGAATAGAGCCTGCCCCAGGCTCATCCACTGGGCACAGAGAAGGCATCCTGAATCCATCTTGCAGCCGGGCCAGCCCAACCTTACCACCTCAGCATGGTGCTAACTGTCCCTTGTTAACCACTGGGCTTTGCAGAGGCTCGTTATGGACAGTTATTCCTCAACTGCAGACGAGTACAGCCAGGTTCAAGAAGGAGATAACGAGCATTGTAAAGATGCCAATTTCTTCTAAATTAACTTATGGATTCAATGCACTATCTGATTAAACTCTCAATAGGAATTTTTGGAACTTGAAAAACAGACTAGACATTATGTATAGAAAAATAAACCCTAAAATAGGTTAGCACATTCCGAAAAAACAAGTAAAAATTCAGTTGTTGGGGGAAGCTCATTTAGTCGACTTTAAAACAGATGAAAAAGCCACAGGAATTGCGAGTGTGAAGCTGTCAAAAAACACAGGACGTGAGAGGATGCATGTGGAGAAAGAGAGGCCCCCGTGTCTGTGAGAATCGGATAAATGACAACAGATATTTGGGGAAAGCGTGGATTATTTATTAAGTCGTGTTGAGAAATTTTGGCAGTTTATGGATAAGAATAAAATTGGTTTTCCCCTTCACACCACATTCACGAAATTAACTCTGGATGGATTTAGCACATAACGGAGAAAGGTTAACATGATAAAGTTAATTTCGAAAACGCAGGAGACTATCTTTGTGACCTTGGGGCTGGGGGGCACTCTCTGATCAATCATTAGCCGAAGTCAGGAGGAGGGAAGTCACTGGCCGGTTATGTCACCTCACAGCGAACTTTTTCCCTTAGTGAAGGACTCCAGAGACCCACGGGCCACAGGGGGTGGAGCGATCTGCAGAGTGCTGGCTCCTGAAGGGTCTGCGGCAGGAAGGCCGATGAGAAACTCAGCAGGAAACCAGCACCAACAGGGAGAGGAGAGCCGCAGAGAGGAGGGTCCACGGCCAAGGCCGCCCAGGCTCCAGGGAGATGCTCAGCATCACCGAGGCAGAAAGACCTCACTGCCACCCTGAGATGCCATCAGAGTGACAAAGATCAGACAGGTGGGTACCAACGAGCACTTCTGAGGGCTGGTCATCTATGTGACCCTGTGGAGCTAAGGAGGCCTGCGAGGGAGGGCCTGCAGGACAATGTGGACGGTCTCAGTGACATGGCAGAGCCGCCCCTGCCAAAAGCCGGCCACACAGTTCCTGGGCAGCCCACAGAGGCCCTTGTCCCGAGGCTCAGTGAGGCATCTCTTTGAGGATCTGATCTGTAGCGTTATTTGGGGTGGAAAGAACCGAGGCCCACGGGCCACCCACACCTTGAGGCACAGCTGTGGGACAGAGGCCGTGGAGTACTCAGAAGGGCTGTGCCAGCGGCACCTGCAGGCACAGGGGCCGAGCCTCAACGAAGAACGTCAGCAGAGCCGGGACTGACTCAGCGGCCTGAGGGATTTCCCAGGGGTTTTGCCTCCTGAGGTGGTTTTGGCGAGATGGTTCTTTGTTCTGCCCACGGCCTCCCTGAGATTCTCTGGGCCCAGGCCTGGGCCCCACGCATCTTCCCCCAGCTCCGTGTAGGAGAATCAGGGCCAGCAGGGGCTCCTCCCTGGTCCCAGCATACACCCTGAAGGGCAGCAGGAAAGGGGCCGTGGGTGTCGGAGTTGAGAGGACGCCTCCTCCTCTCACCCACCCTGTCCGTGCGTCCCTGAGCCCTGCTTGGCTGGTCCACCAAGGAGCTTCTGCCTCGGTTTCCTCACCACACCCTGTGGGGACCTGGGCAGTTCTGGACCACAGCCTGCCTGTCTGGGGAGACCTGTATGTCACCTGCCCATACAGCCCTGGCACTCACTGGGAATGGGCCAATGCCGGTCTCCAGGCCTCTGTCCGCCAGATTTCCAGGGCTAGACTCCCTGCTGGGGCTCGCCCGACAGTAGGGTCTCCTCACACCACAGGACTTGCCCGAGCCAGGCCCCACTAATGGCAATGCTGTCATCATCTGCGTGACCACTTGGTTGTCCCCAGCAGGAGACCCCATAACCATGAATGAAGCTAACAGACCCTGTCCTGGCTTCGCCCCCACCTAGCACTGCTCAGCCCTGGAATTTCCCAGCCACCTTCTGCAGAGCAGCGGAGGAGCCAGCCCTGTCTAGGAGCCAGGCATACACAGTGCACCACGCACACAGCCGTCAGTTCAATGCACATCTGAGAGTTCCTGGTTTGAAATGCAACATGACACCCAGCCCGGCTGGTGACAGCTGACGCATTGCAGAGGAGAGCCTTGGGGGCATGGGTTGTTACTATTCTGCCTCCCCAACCTGGCCCAGCTTTGGTCTCTGAGCAGAGGCTTAGACT
This sequence comes from Homo sapiens, assembly GCF_000001405.40. NCBI lineage: Eukaryota > Metazoa > Chordata > Mammalia > Primates > Hominidae > Homo > Homo sapiens. The sequence continues at coordinate 141,942,155 of NC_000008.11, read as the reverse complement.
AGGCTGTGTCATCTGCACCTTGCCCTGCACACCTTTCCTTGTGCCCAGAGCCCCCAGGGGTTGGAATCTGCCAGTTTTTCCCACCACAGCCAGCATGGGCACAACGGGTGGCCATTTGCCCCAGGACCAGACCAACTTCCAACTTCAGTGCACAACCCAAGCTGCTTCTGGGATGTGCACACATTCGCCCTAGCCTGTGAGTTAGGCTCGGGGCTCCAACTTCTAGGGGGAGAGGCTTCAGCTTATTTTTCTATTGAGATTGAACTTGAGGATATGTGTGTAGAGCTGCTTGGTGGGGATTCCTTTTCTGCACATGAAGCCCAGGTTAGAAATGGTGCTAACGTGGAGGAGAAGGAAGTCAGAGAGAGAGGAGGCCAGGTTTCAGCCTGTGCCTGAAGCAGAGGTCCCCTTTACTTTCAGCCATTGTCTGAGCCAAAGCATTCCTTTCCTTCTCTCCTCTTTTCTCCTTCTCCTCCCTCTCCTCTCTCTTTGTGTGTGTGCGTGTGTGTGTGTGTGTGTGTGTGTGTGTGTGTGTGTGTGTGTAACACCTGTTTTAATTCCTGCCACCGCTTACAGCAGACCAGGTCCTGACGGACACGGTGGGGGAGTGCAGTTGGCTCCATGACCTGGGCAGGCTCCTGTGTGAGGCTCGGCCACTGCTTCCCTCCTCAGCCAAGCCCTTCCCAGCCACTTTCAGGTTCCAGGCTCCCCCTGGACCAGCCACACCAGGTTTCCCCCTTTATTGGAAGGGGCATGGCAGGAAAGCGGATCTGTCCTGATTGGATGCTGTCCGGCAGTATGTTGGCGCAATGGAAGGACTTTGCAAAGCTGCAGCACACAAGAAAGGGGTGCTGTCTGAGTGGTGGTCTGATCTGTGCCCCTGGAAGAACTCCAGCAGTGGAGAGGCTGGATGTGGGAGCACAGCTGGCCAAGCAGGGCGGCAGGAGGAGAGGGCCCCTGAGCCCGTCCTAACTTGAGCAACTCTGAGAAGCAGCATGGGGCAGCCAACATTTCCCGCATCCTCTGCGTGCGGACGAAGCTCCGGTGTGCCCACACTGGACGAAATGTGTCAAAATCCAACAGTTGGCAGCCACGACAGCCCTCGAGGGTCCCCTGCTTGGAGCTGGCATTTTGCAAAATGCTGATGTGGCTGAAACTATGAATGTGTGGCCAGCGGGCAAGATGCTTGAAGCAGGACAGATGGATTCGGGCCAAGCCAGGCTCTCGCTGGCTGCTCCGGGCTCTCTCCTGCCATCTGCTTCGACGTCTATTCCAGGGTTGCTGGAGGCAGGGTTGGAGGGCCTGGTGGATCACGGGTCCAGGCCTAGGTGGGACAGGGGGATGACAGCAGCAATTATCAGCCATATCTGAGAGCAGCACGTGGAACAGCTCACAGCGAGCAGGTGTCTGTTCTTCCTGAGAAGCATATTGTTTCCAAGAGGACAAATAACACAAAGAGAAGCAGAGAAGCAAGGATGCAGAGCTTTCTAAACCTGAACCATCCCCACATCCCATGGACTTCCACAGCACCTGCGCTTCTGCGTCTGGAAGGCCAAGCTTTCCCAAGGTGCTGCTCTTGTTCTAGAAGATGCACCTGGAGTTGGGAGCTCAGCAGTGAGGTCCTCATGAGCAGGGGCCAGGAAAGTCCCTCTGTCAGAGCAGCTGGAGAGGGGGCTTGGAGAGGAGGGAGGGGAGGGCTAGCCAGTAGGGTCAGACATCAGGAGACTCCTGGGCAGCAGGGGGACACCGCCATGCCTGTGCCCTCCTGCCAACATGTAACATGGTTATATGTTGCTGCAACCAACCCCAAAACTTAGTGACATGAAAGAATAATCTCTTATAATGTGTGTAGATTGAGCGTGGCTGGGTTCTTCTGTACCACATGGTAATGACTGGAAGGGCACTCATTAGAGAGCTCTTCTGGACTGGACACCCTAGATGGCTGACTCACGTGCTGCGGTAGAGAAGGCTGAGATGCTGGAATAGCCAGGTGTCTCTCCTTTCCTCTCTTCTCCTCTGCTGCCCTCCTCTCCACTCCTCCCCTTCTTTCTCCTGTCCTTTCCTCTCTTCTCTTTTCTGCTCCTCTCTTCTCCTCTCCTCTTCCTCTTCCTCTCCCTGTGTCCTCTTGCCGTGGCCTGAGAGGAAGCTCTCCCCAGAGAGAGCAGGGTGTGCCCAAGGTCACCCACGGACCTGGGAGGGCCCGAACCCTTGATTCTTAGTAGTCAGGAGGCGAGGACATTCTCAACGTTCCAAGCCATTTGATCCAATTCAGCCAGGCGCTGGGGGAGTGAGCAAAAGGAAGACACAGCCCTGACTGTTGGGAGCTCAGTGTATCTTTGGGGACAGGAAAAGTGATTTCCGCAGTTAAGTATTTAGAATGTTTCAGGTACAACCTTATGAAATTGTCATTTTTGTGGCTCAAAAATGGCCAAACCTCAGTGATCTGGCAAGGGCCAATGGCAACGACTGGGTGCCAAGGAAGGTATGAGAGGGCGTGGGTGGGTGTGGGTGGTGCCATGGCCTGTGGCTAATACACAGGTGTCCCCGTGGTGCTGAGGCCTGCATCTAGGAACTGGGGGTCCCCCGTGCTGTGCACCCCTGTTCTACAGCCTTCTGTGGGGTGTGTGGGGCTGGCTGGGAGTCACTGCTTCCGTGCCCCTGCCCTGCCTGTGGGGTGTGTGCACCCCGGGTCCATTGTGTCTGCGGGTTCCACAGGCACAGAGCCTTCACTCATCCACTCTGTGACGGACGCTCTTGGGTGGCCTCTGAGCAGGAACCCTATCCCGGGTGCTGGCTCTCCGGGGCAGACCTTGTCCTCCAGCCTCTCCCGGTGAGTGGAGACACCAAGCTGTACCCGGCTGAGAAAGTCCCGAGCCCTGTGGGAGGGTGGCTCCGGGAAGCTCCCCTGTGCAAGTGCCCTGAGTGCTTCCTTCCACCTGACGTTGGTGGCCAGGCCATGCCACCCACCCTCTGACTCTGGTTGGGGGTTGTGGCTGGTGAGAGGTCTTGGCCCACACTGGGGGGTCTCAGTATTCAATGATCCCCATGGATCCTTTCGTGTCCAAATACAGCTTTTTATTCCAGGGACTTCCATTCAAGCGGAGGACAACCAGGTGCCCCCAGGGCCTGTGGCGGAAGCACAACCCACTTCCCCTTTCCTAGGCAGGGAGAACCAACACCCAGAAGCCTGCTCTGGAGCCGGCCTGCCTCCCAGCACCTAGGGTTCAGCTGCTTCTGAGACAGCCCCTGGCTGGAGACCCAGCAGCCTCTGACTCACAGGCTGCTGCCCTGGGCCTCAGTGCTGTCCTGCAAAACCAGCCGTCTCAGTGTCTGGGTCTGCTCGGATGGGGCCTGTTGGAGATTTCTTCTTCTCAAGACTGGAACCAGGGAGCTGTCCAGGATGAGGTCACCAGGGGCGTCTGCTGGGAAGGAGCCCGCAGGGAAGGTGCAGTCCCATCCCCTGTGTGGTCATCCCAGGGCCCTGGGAGTCGGGGTGTCATGGGACCAGGGCACCTGTCTTCCGGGCCCCCTCACCACCTGCTAGCTTTGGGCCTGGGGACAGGGGAGCTGCCTTCTGACGGTGGTATCTGGATGTTGTTTACCGCGGCGCAGGTGTGAGGAGCAGGCAGGCTTCACAGGAGGCCTCTGCCTATGAGCTACCGTGAGCTGAGGCCACCGGCTCAGCCCTGTCTGCTGGCTGGGTGACCCGACGTGAGTGAACATAGCTAAGGGCTTGGGATCTGGAGCCAGCCTCACTGGCTCAGCCCACTCAGGGACTAGCAGTGTGATCATGTCCGACCTTCCCCATGGGTGGCTGAGGGTCAGGGGTCCTGGTGGGATTTCACGTGCACAGGGCTGTGCCGGGCTCGGGCCCCCTCTCGGCAGACAGGAGCCGGGGCCACCCCCGGAGGTCCGTGCCTCTGTAGGAAGCTCTCTAGGGACAGAGTCGTAACTTTAGGGTGGGGGCAGCGCGTCCTCTCTCTGGACAGTGTTCCTATTGGGTGTCAGGCTAGGGGCAGCACAGGCCTCCGGAGATGGCATCAGGGCCTGGGCAGGCTGAGCAGGGTGGCCGGGCTCCAAGGCCGGTGCCCACATCTGCAGCCTTCCACAAAGGATGTGCATCCACCTCCGGGATGGGGTGCCACCTTTTCTTCCATTCCTCTGGTTTTCCAGCATGTTTTCAGTGATTTGAGTTTACAGGGGAAAGAGTCTCCTGGCTGGAAGCACAGATGCCTCCTCAAAAGGGGAAGGGCCCAGCTAACTGCAGCCCATGCAATTGCCAGCACTGGGGTGAGGGCAGATGTGCTGGAGTCCCCTGGGGAATCTGGGCAAGGGAAGTGGGATCAGAGAAGAGGGGGTGTAGCCAGGGAAGGGGCTGTTGCAGGAGGGCACACCATGCACCCCACTTCTCCCTGTCATGTCTGTGTTTGCTGTGAGGCAGAGGTGCTGGGGATCCCTGTGTCCGGCCCCCAGGAAGCTCTTCTGAAGTGTCCTCTGTGCCTCCTACGTGCTTCCAGCTGTGGGGTCAGGGCAGGACCATGGAGCCCACTCACCACTCACTGTGCTTCTGAGGGAAGGAGAGAGGAGGGAGAAAGGGAAGGGTAGAGGGCAGAAAGGAGAGAGAAAAGGAAGAAGGGAACGGGAAAAGGAAGGAGAAAGGGAGAGAGGGAGGAAGGGAGACAGGGAGGGAGAAAAGAAAGGAAGGGAGGGAGGGCAGGGAAGGAAAGAGGGAGGAGGGAGGGAGGGAGGTGGGAGGGAAGGAAGGAGGGAGGAAGGTGGGAGGGAAGGGAAGAGGGAGGAGGGAGGGAAGGAAGGAGAGAGAAAAAGAGGAGGAGAGGGAGGAGGGAGGGAGGGAGCCCGAATGCTGGCCTCATAGCCTAGTGTAAGCAGGGCATGCCCACCTACCCTTCCAGGTCCTCTTTCTCCTTTAAGGACTCAGCTCCGCCTCTTCCGGGAAGGCCTCTTTGATGGTTTGCGCAGGCCCTCTGCAACCTGGATACCCTCCCCATTTCCTCATCCAGTCCCTGCGAGCGTCTCTGGATTAGAATCATCCTGCCTACCTATCCACTTCGAGCCTCTGACAGCACCACCCACTCATGTTGGGCTCTGTGCCATCTGTGTGGGGCCACACATGCTGGCATTCTCTAGGCGCAGGTGTACATGTTGTCTGTACCCTGGGGGACCTCGCCCTTCCAGAACTGGGTGCTCTGCTTTTCCTGTGACAGGAAGTGGAAGGGCCGGCAGAGTTGGGAATGCAGAGCCCAGGTCACCCCGAATGGGGGAAGCTGCCAAGCAGGAGAGGCAGTCCCATGGTGAGCGCTGACCCACCCAGAGCATCCGATGGTCTCAGGAGGGCACTTGGGGCAGGGCTCACCCTTCTCTCCCTACTGCACACTCTTCTTACATACAGCCAAGTGTCCAGGTGGTGGGGTGTGACCCGCCATGGGAGCTCCGCCGTGGGCCCCAAGGACCAAGCTTGCAGAACTGGAGGTCCACGCTCATGGGCAGGTGTGGCGCAGGCCGTGTGACAAGAAGGAACAGAGTCAGGAGCACAGACACGATGGACCTTACCAATTCCCCCTGTGGGCCAGCATGGTGGGCTTCCCAGCAGAGCAGCAGGGGGAAGGCCAGGACCCCACCTTGCTCTCTGCTCAGACCTCTCTGAGCCTTGACCGCCCCCACTGTGCAGGGAGCTCAACCCTCCATCCCCTTCATTTATTCACTCAGCTCCACCTTGTGCAGGGACAGAGTCACCACAGCAGCCCCTAACCCAGCAGTCCTGCAGCGCTTTGCACAAGCCGGGGTCAGAGGGATGTGGCTTCACATGCTCACTGGGCAATGTTGGAGCTTGTCACCTTGGGCCTGTCACTCAAGTGCTCAGAGCCCGGGCTTCCTGCTGCTGAGGGGGGCTGGCTGGAGGTCAGTGAAGGGGTACATGCCGGGAAGAGGGCCCGGTAGGACCTGCACAAACACTGGTGGATCCCGGGGCAGGTCCTAGTCCTGGAGGCTGGGGCTTACTCTGTTGGAGAGGTGGATGTGTGCAGAGGTCAGTGCAGGGCACAGGAGACCCAGGAGGGACCAGGGCAGCCCAGGGCAGGTGGGAGGGCCTAGGGAGGGACTTGCCTGGACAGAGACCTGAAAACGAGCCCAAAGTGACCCGGGCAGACAAGAGCAGGGGCACCTGGTGCAAGGCGGTCTCTGTCCTTCCGGAGGGCACCTGGCCTCCCCGCCCCCGCGGAGCATCCCACACCCCAGGAGTTCCCACGAGGCTCTGGCCCAGCTCCCTCTCTGAGATCCCAGTCATGCCTGGGTGTGGCCGCGGCCTGAGGACATCAGAGCTGCCAGTTCTAGAGCTGACATCAGGTAGAGAGGCCTCAGCAGAAGGTGGGTGGGTGATGGGCTGAGTACCTTCCACGTGGAGGGAGGGACAGGGTCTCACAGAGACAATTTGTCCTCAGGGAACACTGAGAGGTGAGGCTGAGCAGAGAGTCGCTTGTCACAGGCCACGAGAAGTGGCCTGGGTGGGAAGAGGCCATGGCCAGCCTCATGCTGCCCTGATGGCTGCCGTCTGCCCAGAGGCGAGAAAGCACCCTGGGGGCCATCGTTCTGTTGGATCCTCGCCCACGGGGAGAGGTGCCTTGTCCTGGCTGCCCTGGTTGGACCACCATGGGCTGCTGGCTCTGCTCTCAGCCCTCGGTGGTGAGGGGACATCGAGTGGCCTGCAGTGACGGGAGGTGGCAGGAGACAGGGCATCTCTCATCTCCCGTCCCACAGGTCCAAGTGCAGGAGAAACCAGTGCAGGCAGTGTCCCTCAGAGGGCTGGGTGTAGGGGACTCACCTTCCTTTTGTCTCTTTTCCAGGACTGTGGCCTCCTGCAGGCACTGCTCTCACACCCGGCCCTGATACGTAGTGGTGTCTGGCACAGGCTGGGCTCATGATGACTCCCCAACTTCCCTGGGATTTGTTCTGAGGGGTGCCAGGCATCAGCTCCCCCAGTCAGGTTTCCTTGAGATGGGAACAGTGCTGGCCCCGTAGGGTGCTACTTAACTGGGAGGATGGTGATGGAGACTGGCCAGCAGCCGCCCTTCCTCAAGTGCCACGAGGGAGGGGTGTGGACAGTGACCTGGCATGGCCGTGCCCATTGGGCAGAGCTTCCTGTGGCACACAGCTCTGTGCCACTTGGGCAGGCCACCTGTCCAGCCTCTGGCTTCAGATCCAGGAGCCCGTCAGGCCTTTCTACACCAGCCAGCCTGCAGGAGGATTCTGCCACTCACACAACTAAGGGCCTCAGCCAGGCCAGGGTGGGCAGCTCACCCAGACTAGGGCAGCCCCAGGGGGAGAGGGAGGGCTTGGACAGCCCTCAAGCAACTCGGCTCCCCTTCGCCCCTCAGCGGAGGCCTCAGGTCTGCCCCGACACGTGTTTTCACCAGCTGCAGAACAGGCCCCCTTCCAAACGCAGGGCCCCACTTTCTGACAGCCAGGTCCCATTGGCCCAGCAGCCCCAGAGAACTGCACAGCCCACCTGGCTGTCCCTCCAGTTTTGTCCTAGATGCTGTCCTTGTGGCCTCCAGTTCATTCCTCTGCAGCCTGAAGGCCAGACCTATACCCATCTCTGCAAGCCCAGAAGCAGAGACCAGAGGTGGCTTCCTGCTTTCTCAGCACGTCACACCTGGCCCAAGACCTCTGACCAGCCACCTTGCTGGAAGTCCTAGAAGACAAGTGTCCGGGCTCCTGGCTGAGCTGCTGCCCTGGCCATTACGAGCTGTGTGGCCTTAGGCAAGTGACCTGACTCCTCTGAAGCTTCCATGGTCAGCATGAGCCTGAGCAAGCGTGAAGCGTGGGCAGTGAGGGGAGCACAGCAGGTACTTAATTCATGCCTGGCCCTTTTCTTCTAGGACCAAGTGTATGGAGGCAGCGGCCATGGAGCGTCGGCTGTGGATCCCACCCTGCAGGTTAGGGCAGGTTGTGGGTGGAGTCCAGCCCCAAACTCAGGCCCAGGACATGCAGCTGCTTGAGGTGGACGAGAGGGCAGGACTCAGGTTCCTGAGGGAGGCGAGGAAACCCCTGCTCCTCACAAAGCCTGTTTCCCCAACTGCACGAGGAGCAGGCTGGAGAGACAGCTCGTCAGCTTCTTCCCGTGTGCGACTCAGCTGCCCCTCCCTGCCCTGGTAGAGGCTGCCCCGAGGCCCGGAGCTGGCTTGGAAAGGCCAAAAGCCTCCAGGACATCATCTGGAAAATGAGAGTGAGCAGGATCGATTGGCAGCACTGGAGGCAGCCACAGAGGCCCGTGCATCGGCAGGCAGGAGGGCTGGAGAAGACAGAGCCCTGTAATGTTTGCTCCTTCCCTGACACCCTGGGAGTGGTGACAGCTATCATCGGATCCCGAGGACCTGGCTTGTCAGTTGTCAGGGAGGGGAGAGTGGAAGACGGCTGTAGTGGCCCATGATAGCCGCAAGGGCGCTCCACCCAGGTGGGCCGGAGAAGGCAGGTGTCTGTGGGTGAGCTGGGAAACCAGTGTGTCCCACCCAAGAGAGCTCACCCCAGGCTCTGGGGAGCCAGGGAGGGACATCCCAGCCATTCTGGAAACCCGTGTCCCCCTTCCCCCTCCAAGGTTTGTTGCTGATATTACTGTTAGGAAGAGCACGTGCAAGCAAGATGGGGTGCTTTGGAAAGAGGACATAGAAGAAGAAAAAAATCCAAGTTCACAGCACCCTGACATGGTGCTGCTTCTGAGCAAAGGGCTTCCCTGGGGATTTCATGCTACCCTGTGTCATGTCCATGGAAACAAGGTGTGGAAATGGCCTGTTCCCGCCTTGCCCCGAGGTTGGGCTGCTGTCTCTCACCACGAAGATGCTCAGGTGCTCCCAGGGCCCAGGGATCTGTGGTCAAAGGGTCCGTCTATCTATCCAAGCAGGAAGACTGTCATAAGCTGAGCGGCATCCCCGGAACTCCTAGGGTGAAGTTCTAACCCCTAGTATTTTAGAATGAGACTATGTGTGGGGATAGGGCTTCCTAAAATGTAATTAAGTTACAATAAGGCCAGAAGGCGGGCCCTCATCCAACCTGCTGGGGTCATTATTATCGGAGGTTGGGACACAGACATGCACAAAGGGACGACTTCATGAGGACACAGGGAGCACACGGCCATCTACACGCCAAGAAGAGAGGCCTCAGGAGGGAGCAGCCCTGCCGACGCCTTGCTGTGGGGCTCTGCACTCCAGGACAGGAGGAATTCGTCTCTGTTGCTTCAACCGCCTGGTCTGTGGCCCTGTGCGAGGCAGCCCAGGCTGGGGAATGCAGAGAGCCAGGCTCACGAGGGGCAAACGGCCTGCTCAGCCTGGGGGCCCTGGGTTCAGTGTCTTCCCTCACCACGCAGGCTCTGCGGCTCAGAGCACCTTGCTGGGCACAGGACACTCATGTGTGGCTGGAGAAAAGCTGAGGGCCTGTGGGCCGGGATGGCATCTCAGCACACCGGAGGTCACTGTCCATTCATGACTCATTCGACCCCTGAATGGGCAGAATGTGCTCATGTGTGTACATGCATGTGTACACATGTTCCTGCATCCGTGTGCATCGTTGGGGTGACCAAGCTGAATGAGGCCCAGCCCCTCCCACCCTCAGGAGTCCCCCAGAGCGGGGTGCAGAGGCGGCGAGACCTGGCGGCTGCACTATTCTGCCGTGATGAAAACGGATGAGGCTCAATGGCACTGGCCTGGAACGATGGCCACCGCAGATTATTACATGATGGGGTCTTAGGGAACAGAGGCAGCGGAATGCCATTTTGGCTAAAAAAGAAAGCAGCAAAAAATTATAGATATAAATTATATATATATACACATATATATGTATATATTTCCTTATGTTTGTCTGAGGTTGAAGGAAATTATACCACAAGCTGGGTGCTGCTTCATCACCATTGGTGACCTTGACAGGGCCAGAGGGAAAGGAGATTTGATTTTTTCTGCAGTGGGGACTGCATTCTTGGAATTCTTAAGAGTGCAATGACTTTCATCCTAGAGAACCCAGTGTGGTAGAGGGGAGAACAGACCAGAGCTGACCGGGAGCCATGGTGGGGGACAGAGGGCTGCGGTAAGGGAACACCTGCTCCCCGTTAGGACTGGGGCTCCCTGGACAGGAGACACTGCTGGCCTAGGATCTGGGAGGGGAGGCCCCTGCACCCCTCCTGTGGTTCTGGAGAGGTTGGCAGGGGAGGGGTGAGGTTGGGGAGAGGGACAGGGGGATAGGGGGAAAAGCTGGCCTGGGAGCTCCCCTCCTGGGCGGTAAGGGGTGTCTGACTCCTGGCCTGGGCGGTGAGGGGTGTCTGAGAGCACTCTCTCTGTGGGACTCTGTGGATGGAGAGCCGGGCATAGACCTTGCCGGTTCCAGGTAGACTGTGGCCACTAGATCCCAGGACCCTGTCGCTAGGCACAGCTGTCAGCTGACTGCAGGGAAGGCCAATGGTGGGCAGGGAAGGTGGCTCCGCACTCAGGGCCAGAGCCTACCCACCAGCACAGAGCTCCATGGCCATGGAGCATCCCACCCAGAGGCTGTCCCTGCCCACACGGAGCCATCTGACCAGCTCTCCCCACAGGGGGTGAGGGAGATGGAGGCTCAGCCATGGCTGGCAGTGCCCTGCAGACCAATCTACCCCAACACACCTCCACCCCCACTGAAGCCTTCCTCATGACACCCCCAGGCCTCCCACCCTCAGGTCTAGCCATCCACCCTAGGCACCCCCTCCTCCTTAGGCCTCCCCCTCCTCACCTCCTCCTCAGGCCTCCTCCTCCTCCCTAGGCCTCCCCCTCCTCCTCCCCTCCTCCTTAGGCTGCCCCCTCCTCCCTAGGCCTGCCACTCCTCCCTAGGCCTCCCCCACCTCCCCTCCTCCCCAGGCCTCTCCTTCCTCCCTAGGCCTCCCCTCCAGTTCCCCAGTGTCCTCGGGAATGCCCGTTCCTAGTAGAGCCTTCCTTGGTGGCCTAAGGTGACCTGGCCCTACCTGCTCCAGCTGCAGTCTGGCCCTCACTCTGCCTGTGGCCTGGCTCCATTGCAGAGTCAGAAGGGAATCACTGGCTTGTTCTTTCTCTGTGTCAGGAAACCCTGGCAAAGCCCCAGCTGAAAGCTGGCTTGGCATTTGGTGGTGGGTCTGGAATCACTGGAACTGTTTCCTCTGCTTTACAGCTGGGGCCAGTGAGGCCTCACAGCTCCTGTGCGGGTTGCCTGAGGCTCCAGGAACCTCTGCTGAGGAGGGGCTGGTGCAGCCCAGCTGGGTAGCAGCTATCGGACAGCTGGGAGCATGGCTTCGACGCCGGGCTGCCTCTGCCATCAACAAGACCTGGGGTCCGGGCAAGTCCCTTCTCCACTCCAGACCTCGGTTTCCTCATCTGTAGATGCAGGGTGGTTAGACGGGTGCTCTGGGACCCTGCTGCCGGCAGATCACCCAGAGCAGGCTGCTTCGGTCTCAATGCTATTGACATTTGGAGCCAGATCCTTCCTTGCATAGGGGCTGTCCTGCGCCCTGTGAGATGCTGAGCTGCACACCTGGCCTCCCCCAACGAGATGCCAGGGCCCCTTCCCTCCAGCTGCACAATCACAAATGCCTCCAGACATTGCCACACGTCCAGAGGGGCAGAACCACCCTGGTGGAGACCCCAGCCCTAAAGATGCTCTTGATCTTGACCTAGGGCCCAAGGATGGGTCTCAGGGTCCTTGAGCCCCCTGGATCTATATACAAAACAGTGTGCACATATGTGCACTTTTCCGGGGAGAAAGCCACAGAGGTTACAGGATCTAAAAGGAATGTGTGCACCCCAAGTTAGAATCCCCATGGCTGCTCTGCTTGCGGGATGCAGCCCACGAGGAGAGCCCCCACCGTCCTTGCACAGAGCAGTCGGCCAAGGTCTTTGTCTCCCGGCACCAGGCTGAGCTCTGCCTCTGGGCTGGGTTGCATTTCCTGACCCCAGAGATCTCTGTCTTCTCACTGCCTCTCCTATCCCTCATTCTCATTAGAAAATCTCTTCCATAAATTGCCCCTTTATCTGAAGTATTCCTATCGGGTTTCTAAACCCCGCTGATGGAACAGGGCTATTACATATGCGATCGCCTGCATTTATTTACATATCAGCAGCAAAAGGGGCCCTGATTTTTCATCTGGGTGACACAGCTGCACTTGTAAAAAGGGCGTCTATTAGAAAGGCCATTGCTTGGTACAAGCTGCAGAGTCTAATTGGCTTCTCAGGGACTTTTTTTTATTATTGTTATTTGCTCGGGGAACTGTTCATTTGAGCAAACGATATTAAATGACTATTGTCTCAGTCTTTTAAGGAATTACCAGCTGAAAAACAATGCAGAGATGTCAGCCATGGAGTGACAAAGGCTTCTGGCAACACGTGTGCCCGTGGACCCAGGCCTGTCACATTTCCGATCAATAATAAGCTGGTTTCAATAGTGATGTGATCTAACTCCAGTTCCACAGAACCTACAATTAACTGGAATAGATTTTCCTTCCCCTTTTACAACTACTACAAGAAAACAGTCAAATTACATGCAAATACAGTGCTCTTAGGAATGTCTGTTTAAATTGTGTAAGATTTGAGCATCTATTGAATGAAAGGAACAACCAGTATTTGGGGGAAGGATGGAGCAGGGGAAGGCCCTCCAACCCCATCTGAGGCTCTGAGGAGCTCTGGGGCCTGCTGGACACCGGCTCTTCCAGTTGGTTTCTGGTTCCCTGCAGTGGGGCTCCCCAGGACCCCTTCCAGCCCTACTGAAGCAGAATGTCTGAAAGCGAGGCCTGCAGGGCTGAAGAGTTAAAATTCTGATGCACCCAAATGCTCTGCACTTCAGTGTTTATGCCTGTAAAGTAGAAGTGACAGTGTTTCCCTCCAATGTTTGCTGTGTGGGTTCCAGAGTTCACGTCTGCAGTGGGTTCCAGCCCAGGTTGGTGCATGGTGAGGCCTCATGTTTGCTGTGTGGGTTCCAGAGTTCACGGCTGCAGTGGGTTCCAGCCCAGGTTGGTGCACGGTGAGGTCTCATGTTTGCAGTGCGGGTTCCAGAGCTCATGGCTGCGGTGGGTTCTGGCCCAGTTTGGTGCATGCCGAGGCCCCGTGTTTGCTGTTTTTTTCTAGTGTCACCACTGGCCACAGCCACACTAGACCTCAGGCAAGCTCGGGCACATACAGGGGCTCAGAGAGTATTTGCACACACAGTAAACACTGGGGCAGGTCGCTGGTCCTCCACAGGCCAGTTTTGCCATCCGGGGACACCGGGAAGTGTCTGCAGAGGCTTTGGGTGGTGGCGTCGGAGGTGGGTGGTGCAGGTCTCTCACGGGTGGAGGCCGAGGATGCTGCTCAGCTGCCTGCAGTGCATGGGGTGGCCACAGCAGGGAGAATGATCCGTCCCAAATGTCAGTGGTGCTGAGGCTGAAAAACCCTGGGATAAGAGGGAGCAGATAATAAGATGGAAAACAGGAGGGCATACTGGGGGTTGGGAAGCAAGAGAGAATGTGAGGACCCTTGATTCAAAGGATGCTGTTGGAGAGCAGGCCTGGCGCCTTCGCTGCCCCACGTGGTGTGCTGGTCTCATCCACATCCAGGCGACGAAGCCCTGCAAGGCTGAGTGCTTTCCCCTATCAGTTCCCTGACTCCCTGGGACCTTACCCTGGATTTGAGACCTGGGCACTTTTGGGATCTGAGAGGGTGAAGGCTCAGCCAGGCTCACCTGGTGTCCTCCACGCTGATCTGGGTCTACCGCCTTCTCCCATGGCTGAGCTCCGGAGGAGCCCCCCACCACAGATATTTGGGCTTGTCCCGGTCAGGAAGATGACCAGGAGCTCAGAACAGAGCCCCATGGGCCACAGCAGGTGTGCTGAGAGAGGATACATGTTTCCTGGAGCCCTAAGAGTGTCACTACCTCACACTGCTCAGGACACCCCAGGGTCAGGGAGCCAGAAGCCTGTGAGGTCACGGTCAGTGGCCACCCAACAAAGCAGGAAGAAGCCCCAGGCCTGCAGGCCTCCACTGCATCCTGTGACCTTGGTGGAAACCAGCTGCAGGGAGCAGCGGTCAGACCCACTTCAGTCCATCCAGGGTGATGCAGGCCCCAGGGCTGTGGGACGAGCTGGGCTGGGTTCCTCCAGGAGGCGAGGGCTGAGCTGGACTGAGGACGGCAAAGGGGAGGGCAGATCCACAAAGCTGGGTGATTCCGAGCTCTTGCTGGCTCCGCTGCAGCACTCAGGCCTAAACTCACAGGAGCCCACCTGGGCTCTCTCCCGCGCCCAGCCTCTCCAGCTCCCCATCTCTGGGCTGTCAGCGGCGCTCTAATTAGCGGCCCGCAGGTGACACACACACTGCGTGTCTGTAACTTCTCCACCGTCGACTCCAGTGCAGCTTGTGAAAAGCCCCGGGGTGGTTTTCATCATGATCCTCAGCGCCTCTGGGGAGAAAACCTGACATGTGGGATGTGATGATGAGTGGTGGGTTTGAGTCCCTGGAAGAACGGCGGGGGTGGGGGGCTCGGCTGCCTTATGGGGAGGGAAGCCAGGCGTGTGTCATCCCACAGTGAGCCCAGACGAGGAACAGCAGCTGACACAGAAGCCCGCAGCTCTCCGATGCTGTCAGCCACACCCCCCTCCACCACGGCCCCATCAGCTGGGGTCACAGGCCCTAGAGAAACTTCCAGAACCGTGGCCAGGTACACAGCAGTTTGCAGGGTAAGTTATAAAGTTCAAGGAAGAACAAAGCTGGAATGAGTTTCCCAGAATGAAAACATAACATTTCAGAGGTAATTTCATAAAAGGAGTCATCAGACCAATATATCACCACGTCGATTTTAACTGCGGAGTTTAAAATAACCTTTGCTCTGATGTTTATTGAATTGTGGAACCTGCAGGCTTCTGGAGAAAGAATCTAAATGTTACATGCATGTCTGTTTCAGACAGCCTGCGCCGTGCTGTAATGAATTGTCCTAGAGCCAATGACGCACCCAGGAATCAGAGTAGAGCACACGTCTTATACTCCTGAGACCCTGGGGTATGGGTTCTGGGGGAGCCAAGGCCAGGGGCACCCCTTGGATTGAGGTGGCTGGCAGCACTAGAGATTCCGTCAGTGGGGCTGGGCGCAGTGGCTCACACCTGTAATTCCAGCACTTTGGGAGGCCAAGGCGGGCAGATCACCTGAGGTCGGGCGTTCGAGAACAGCCTGACCAACATGGAGAAACCCCATCTCTACTAAAAATACAAGAAATTAGCCAGTGTGGTGGCACATGCCTGTAATCCCAGCTCCTCGGGAGGCTGAGGCAGGAGAATCGCTTGAACCTGGGAGGCAGAGGTTGTGGTGAGCTGATATGGTGCCATTGCACTCCAGCCTGGGCAACAAGAGCAAAACTCCATCTCAAAAAAAAAAAGAGATTCCATCAGTGTTGGTTCACAAACACTTCCTGAGAACCCACCAGCCTCCAGCCCCTGGGACAGACTCCGGAGGCTCAAAGGCAAATTAGGGAGAACCCATGCCACCAAAGGGAGCCCAGGCTAGACAGGGAGGGCCAGGGAGATAGGTGGGAAATGGGAAGTGATTCGGTTTATTCATCTATGCATCCACCTGCCCATTCACTCACTTTGCTTCGCACGTGTGCGTTCATCACCCTCACAGCTGGGCCTGCCCTGTCCCACATGACAGCCCTGAGCTACGCAGGGTGCTGGGCACCGGGCACGTGGCTGTTCCTAACTAGAAGAGGCTGCAGTGTAAAACACATCCCTCAGTTTGAAGAATTAATACAAAGCACAGACTATCAAATGCCTCAAACAGTGTTTATGTGGATCACATGTTGAAATATTATTTTTGATATACTACATTCAATAAAATATATTATTAAAATCAATTTCACCTGCTTCTCTTTACCTTTTTAAATGCAGCTACTAGAAAATTTGAAATTACACACGTGACTGGCATTTCTCTTGGACAGCTCTGGCCAATAGCCAGACAGCTGGATTTCAAATCCCAGTTCCACTATTAAACTGCTACCTGACCTGGGAAAAGTCACTTAATGCTCCGTGCCTCAGCTGTTGTAGCCAGCCCAGTGAAGCCAGGCCTGTTTTGATACAAATGCACTGGAGGCTACTGTGCCCTCCTTAGCACAAAGGGTCCACAGCTCCTTAGTCACTTACTTTCCTGCTTCCTCCAAGAATATTTACAATTGACTTGATATCTGATTGACGCTTAATAGTTGCCAGGTGCGTTAGGACTGCAACCCCCCCTCCCTCCTCCTGGAAGTCCTAGATACAGGAGAATGGTTGCACCATTCCCAGATGAAGACCCCAAGGCACAGAGAGGCTGCAGTCTCACAAAGGCAGAAGCTGGGCTGTGCACAAACAGCTAAAAGCGGGCCCCTTAGATTTAAGCCCGGGTCATGCAATTCCAGAGCCCACGCTCCATGGTTCTTCACACAACTGTCTTCCCCATGCTCAGCAAGGCAGTGGAGCTGGCGACGGCCCCCCTTCAAGGTTTCCATGACAACAGATGGCAGGACTTGCACCAAAGGTTCACCCCAGATCCTGGGGATTTGCTGACCCAAATCCCGACCCTCGATCCTTTTCTCAACCCCGACGACAGTCCCCTGGATCTGTCCTTCCATGCCTGTCACTGGCCTGTGTCAAGGGCCTGCTGAGGGCCCTCCCATACAGCATGGGCTGGGCAGCAGTGGTGCCATGTCCCACCAGCCATGGTGAGGACAGGGCAGGAAGTAGCCATGGAGGGGGCGGTGCTGGCTCTGTCTGAGGGCACAGGTGAGAGGGAGCCAGGCGGGGCCACAGAAGCATCAGAAGGGGAAGGATCCAGACACACTGTGGTCCAGGGAGGCTGGGCAACCTATGCCTTCTGAATCACAAGTCGGGAAACTTTTTCTGTAGAGGGCCAGATAGTCCTCTATTTTAGGTTCTGTGGGCCAAATGGTCTCAGCTTTTCTGCTGTTGTGTGAAAGAAGCCTCAGAATGCATGAGAATGAAGGTGCATGCCTGCGTTCCAATCAAACCTTATGGAAACAGGCTGCAGTCTCGGTCAGCCCGAGGGCCATCATTCACAGGCCCCCGTCCCCAACCCTTGAGGGTCACTGATGTAACCCATGTGGGCCGGGGCAGTGGGCGGGCCCCAGGCTGCAGGGACTGAACTCACCCATGTTTCAAGCATCTCTGGTCCGCGGGAGGTGGCTTTTCCCACTTGCTGTGCATTGTCCCTGGGCTTCTGGGGGAGAGGGCATGGATGTAGCCTCCTGTTCCCCAGAATGCTTTCATCAAAGACCCCCTGGAGAAGGTGAAAGCCTTCCTGCCTGAAAGTGGTTAGGACAAAGGACAGAGCTGAACTCACTGATGGCCACTGCAAATCACCCCAGGAGGCTGGGCGTGGACATCCCCTCCTCGCACCCCAGTGTGGCAGAGGCCCTTGCAGGCCCCAGCGGCTGACAGGGGCATGAGGCCATCTGGGATAAGGACTCACAGGTGTCAAGCAACTTGATAAAGTCTCTGGGTCCAAATGGCTTCTCTCTGGAGTTTCTCTTCTCACATGTGGTTGGTTTGGTGAAAGAGGACCCAGAACCTTTTCTGGAGGGAGAGGGACATGATTCCTTCCTTCTCAGAAGGCCAAGGGGAAATCAGGCTGGACCCAGGGCTGTGCCTGCACCACGCCCGCTGCTAAGCCCTGATCTTAGCCCAGGCCATGGTGCAGGGCAGCGGGGACAGGGGCAGTGGGCCTGGGGCCCTGTCATGGCTGCCCCAGGGTGGGGGCTGTGGCGGGCTCGAGCAAGTCCCTGCCGTCTTCACAGCAGCCTGAAGGTCGCCCGGCCTCACAAAGAGGAACCCTGGTCTGCAGCATGGAGGTGGGGGCCCTCGGCGGATGGAGGCTTAGCTGAGGCCAGCACCTCTCAGGTCTTAACGTGTGCAGGGAGGGGTCACCTGGTCATGGTGCTAGTGTGATGATTCCGAGGCAGCAGGTCTGGGTTGGGGCCTGGGAGTCTTCATTTCTAACAAGTCCAGGGGACGGGTGCCCTTTGCTCTTGGCCCACATTTGACATTTTGAGGAGCCAAGGTTTAGCTGTACAGAAGGGTTTGTTTGTTTGTTTGTTTTTTACGCCGAGATGCTCCCAGGGCTTCCCATCAGTTCATATGCCCTTTCCCTTGGGATGGAGCCAGTTCCCCATCAGGAGGTAAAGTCTGTTTCTCCAGCCCTTGCATCTGGGCTGGATTTGACCCATATAATTGGGCAGAAGTGAGTTTGTGGGATTTCTGAGCCCTGAGGTCTTGCAGCTGGTGCTCTGGCCTTGACCCTGGAGGGTGAGAGAAGGCCCAGCCCAGAGCCAGCACCAACTTGCCACCAGGCCAGCCTGGGCTGCCAATACTGCTGATCCAGGCAACTGCCGCCCCTGTGTGAGCTCAGACCAGCTGCCATGTGGGGTGCTGGCGGGGCCGCAGAGGTTGACTCGTATCCTGCAGGGAACATTGTCTCTGCCTTCCCTGTCCTTGGCTGGCGTCTCTCTCAGGCCCCTGGGCATGGGCCCTGCTTGTGGGAGGTTACCCTCCTGGCCCTGCCAGGGAAAGCCAGGGAGGCCAGTCCCTGCCCTCTCCTAGCTCTAGGGGAGCTCACCCACTGCTGAAGGAGAGATTTGCCCTTGGCTCCTATTCTAGAGGCTACCTCATCCTCCATGTAGAAAGGCTGAGGATGGGGCATGTGCATGGGAGAGGGTACTGGGGTTGGCCACAGGGCTGACTTCACTGCATCCTTCCATCAGATGAGGAAGGGGCCTGGAAGGTTCCCACGTGGCCCTACCTGCTACCACGAGGGCAGACTCCATTCATCGCTTGGAGTCAAAGTCCCAGCGAGATGCACCCCTTGGGCGCCTGCTGGAAGGGCCCTCTGCTGGGCCTCACTGCTGGGGGCCGGGGTAGGTGGGTGAGGGAGTAAGTGCAGGGGATCCAGGTTCCAGCCATTTGACGACCTCTTCTTGCTCGGAGGCAGAACTAGCTAGCAAAGGAGCAGTGTATCCATCAGTCAATGGATGGACAACTGAGTAGACAGGACAATAACAGAAAGAAAAGCCCAGGGCAGGTGCAAACACTTTATCCACTAAGCAGCCAAGTATTTCTTCCTTACCTAAAGCATCGTGTCAAACAGCACTTAAAGACCTCACAAGTTCAGGGCATCATGTCATGGGCACACAAGGCCCTGGTCTCCCAGTATAGAGAAGCCATGGGAGCAGGCAGCCTTGCTTCTCTGTACTGGGAGACCAGGGGAAAGGGCATATGAACCGGATGGGAAGCCCTGGGGGCATCTCGGCCCAAAAAACCAACAAACAAAAAAATCCTTCTGTACGGCTAAACCTTGGTTCCTCAAAATGTCAACTCTGGGCCAAGAGCAAAGGGCACCCGTCCCCTGGACTTGTTAGAAATGCAGACTCCCAGGCCCCAACCCAGACCTGCTGCCTCTTGAATCATCACACCACTGCCATGCCTTGGTGTCCTGGGGGCTTCCCACAGGGCGTTCCCCACTGGCTGCGCAGACTATGTCTCACCCCATCCACACAACCATGCCAGGGGGCGGGATCTGGTCTAATGCTATGTTCAGATAGCTGCAGCTGGAGAGATGAACAATTCTGCACAAAGCTCCGTGGAGGCTGCCCAAGGGACCGCATAAGGTGTTAAGTGCTAGTCCTCTTCATCGGTCTATTCTAGAAGACGGCTTGAAGGAGCCTGCGGCCCTGGACTCTGTCCAGCCTTCCCGGGATCTGCTGGTGGACTCTGGGGAGCTGTTTCCCCTCATCTAGCCATGCTCCTCCTGCGAAGTATGCCTTCAAGTCCCGCCCTGCCTTCCAGCAGGCCCTCAGGAGCATCAGATGAGATCAGGCGAGGGGAGGCCAGTGTGGCTGCGACGCACTGTGCACGCAGCCCGGCATAAATCACCATTTAGAGCAGGGAAGCGGTTGCTTCTGGGGTCAGGAGGTGAAAGAAGTGCTTGGGAGAGTCACACAAGAGAAAGAAAACTGCACCAGAAGCTGGCACATGCTCACATTTATGCAAAAAATATGCAGAAGTGCGTATTTGTATAATGAAATTAAATTAGAATTTTAAATAAATTAATCCCCTTACAGGTTTCGTAGAAGGTAGAATTTAGGACAAGTCCTGAGTCTGAGGTCCGTATGTTGATATAAGCAGAAAAAATTCCCTGCAACGATATTCAGACATGATTCAGTTGTGTCCCGCACGGCACTAGGGGTGAGCACAAATGGCCCCTGAGAGGAACGCTGCGGTTCTCAGGGACTAAGATGTTGCGGGACCACGTGTGTGGCTTCTTTCTATTCTATTCCATTATGTCAAATTAGGAGACCAACTTCAGGTCTGGATGACCAGTTTTCTGAGCTACCCTTGAATCAGCAGCATCTCTCAGGGGGCGTCATTCCAAGAGTGTGTAAGTGTCGTTTCACTTACCAGAGAGTTCAAGTGGCCAGGAGCAGTGGCCAAGGCGGGGCACCCACGTGCAGCCCCCATAGGAGTCCTGGCTCTTTCCCAGGGGCAGGTTCACTCACTCTCAGCATCTCCCAGGCAGGCGGACGGGTGGAGGAGAGGGCACCTTGGAGGGCTGCCACAGTGAGAGCCAGGGGTTCTCTATTGCGCTGGCTCTGGCATGGGTCTGGCCCTCAGCTGCTAATTCTTGAATGAACTTGTGAGTGACCAGTGGCAGCCTCTGCCCATCTCACTGCCCTGCAGATGGGTCAGCAGAGAGGTGGCGTTCCACACTCACCCTTCATGCTGACGTTGGAAGTATGTAAATGTCCATCATTGTCTCTGGTTGGCAGAGGCAACCAATGACTCATAGAGAGAAGGTACCTGCCATCCTCAGCTTTCTCACCGGCCCTGAATGGCTCTGAGCCTGAAGTCCTCCAGGGCGCGCACATCCTCGGTGCCCTGATGGTGGCTGGCTGTGGCGGCTGGCTGTGGCAGCGGCTGTGGCTTCCTCCACTCTCTGGCTAATACAACTCATGGAGCCTTGGCTCACACGGACCATTAGTCTTGTCAGATCTGGCTCAGCACCAAAGAGCTTTAATTATTCCCCCAGGGAAACCAATGCTCCCCTCGTCACCTCAACCCCTGCAGAAGACAGATGAAAAAAATAAAATAAAATACAGTAAAGCATCGCCAATCCATCAGCCACCCAATGAAGACAGACGGCTGACACTGAGAGGGGCTCTGTGCTGGGGAGTTATTAAGCGTGGAACGGACTGGTTCAAATTAATTGGTTCAGCTGTGACCTCTGGTCCCCAGGAAAGGTTGGGAGTGTTGGCTACACAGGGTGGAAAAACCCAGCCGAGCGGACACAGTAATTGGTCCTGAACTCTGTGCCAGCTGGGTGGTCCATGAGGAGAGCTGTTTCCTGCCTGGCCCCTGACCTCTCCTGTGATGTCTGCCTTCGGCTGCCAATCTGCAAAGGGAAATTGGGACGCAGCCAAGGGGAGGGAGCCACAGGAGACTGGCAGGAATCACAGGAGTCTGGTGGGAGCTTGGGAGGCTGGTGGGACCATGGGGGGAGCTTGGGAGGCTGGTGGGACCATGGGGGGATGGTGGGAGTCCTGGGAGGCTGGTGGGACCATGGAGGGTGGTGGGAGTCCTGGGAGGCTGGTGGGACCATGGGAGGTTGGCAGGAACCATATAAGTCTAGTGGGAATCTTGGGAAGCTGATGCTTATCCTGGGAGGCTGACAGGAGTCCTGGGAGGCTGGTGTGAATCCTGGGAGGCTGGTGGGGATCCTGGGAGACGGCTGATGGGAATCACTGGAAGCTGGTGAGAACCCTACGAGTCTGCTGGGAGCCCTGGGAGTGTGGTTGAAGCCATGGCAGGTTGGAAGAAACCATGGTCTGGTGGGATTTTGGGGAGGCTAGGAGGAACCACAGGAGGCAGTGTGAGTCATGGAAGTGATGGAGGTCTGGTGGGACTTAGGGGAGGCTGATGGGATTAGGACTGGTGGTTGTGGGAAGAGGTGGCCCCATGGACTTGTCCCTGTGCCTGCAGCTGACCTCTGTCCTGAGAAGGAGATTGAAGTCACACAGGGCCTCAGTGGAAAACCCTTCACAGCCCATTGCCAAAGCTGGCCCCAGATGCAGCAGGGGTGTGCCGCCCACATCCTCACACCTGCAGCCCTGGACCCTGGGCCCTCCTCAAGACCCAGGCATCCTGCCCAGCTCACCAGGGCCTTCAGGCCAATGTCTTAGGGTAACAAGAACGTGCCTTTTCCCACAGATGCCCCTCCACACATCACTCACATGGCCGTGACAGGGGAAGGGCTTGGGGTCCTGCAGGTCTCCCCAGGTCTCATCCCAGACCCAAGTTGCTGCCCGTTTTTTCTGATGCCCATCACGGCCACAGTCCTGCCTGTTCCCCTCTCGCCAGCCACTGACACCAGCTGCTCCTGTGAGTCTTAAATGTGTGGTGTGACTTCTGGACACTGTCTTCCTCTGGGTTCAGCGACTGCTGTCTCTTGCTCCTCCCTGAGCCTCCTCGCCCTGCGCTCCCGATGCTGCCCCTGCCTGCTTCTCATCTCCACCCTCGGTTCCTGGGAAATCAGGGACACACCTGCAGCTTCAGCCTCCCCCCACACTGACCATCTCCAGGCCAGCTCGTGCTTTGGAGATGTCCAGCATGTTCTTTCTGCCTCAAACGTCTACTCTAACTTGTCTGTGGGTTATTACCCTTCATTCATCTCCCTTGGAAACCTTTCTTGAACCAAAAAATAGATTTCCCTCAGATAGCTGCACGCCTGGTGCCAGCGTCTTCTTACAATTTTATTGCAGATGAGAAATTGGAAGCCGGTGTGATTTTTGTTCCTTTGTAGTATGATTTTTTTTCAGACAGAATGCTAAAAGATGACATAATTCATTCTTCAGATAAAATAAATAGAAAAATAGCTGCCAGGCCTATGGCGGTTTCTCTGATTCTGTTTGGGAAAAGAAATGTCCTTGTGACCTTCCTGCTCTGTTCTTTTTCTACCCAGTAAGGTTTTACTCAATTATGATTTTGATAATTGCTCCTGCTCCGAGTTATCTGATTTTCTCCTTAGAAACATTTCTACACTTTCAAAGTTTGGATTTCTATTCTCTGCCTTCCTTAGCAAAGCCCTTTTTGACCTAAGATTCAGGTATTTATAATTTTCTTTTAAATTGTGACGCAGCATCTCAGGGTTGTCACTGGCGTGCTCTTCCACCCTGGCACATCCTTTCTTCACTGTCCCTGGACAGGTTTTTTTTTTTTTTTGAGACGGAGTCTTGCTCTGTCACCCAGGCTGGAGTGCAGTGGTGCAATCTCAGCTCACTGAACCCTCTGCCTCCCAGGTTCAAGCTATTCTCCTTCCTCAGCCTCCTAAGTAGCCAGGATTACAGGTGCCCGACATGATGTCTGGCTAATTTTAGTATTTTTATTAGAGATGGGGTTTCACCATGTTGGTTAGGCTGGTCTCAAACTCCTGACCTCGTGATCCACCAGCCTGGACCTCCCAAAGTGCTGGGATGACAGGCATGAGACCCCGTGCCCAGCCCCCTGCAGAGGTTTTAAGCTGTGATTGCATTTTTGGTTCTCCTGCAACCTTTGCTTGTCTCCTGTTGGCAACGTTTATTGTCTTTTTATCTCACTCATTTCCTTCTTGTGGTTTTCTGCCCCTGATTTTCAGAATGCTGCAGCATTCATTTTGCATCCAACCAAGAATGCATGTTTTTTAGTATATTCTTCCAGTTTTAGTGACAATCCCTGTCCAAAAGTCTTTTCTTCTAGAATCTTCCAGTGAAAGCTGTTTATTAATTAAGACAACCATTACATAATACATCTCATACACAGAGCGTGTATGAAACACACACATGAATTTAAGTAATCATAACAAAACGAGGATCCATAGACTCATCAGGGAGGTTAGAAAAGAGAACACTGTCAGTGCCCAGGCTCCCTGCGTCCCTCCCCTCACCCCATCCCCCTCCTCTTTCCCAGAGGTTTCGGCAATCATTTTCCTTTGCTGTGTCTTTATGCTTACATCCTTAAACCATATGTTGCTTAAGCTTGCTGCATTTGAAGTCTGTGCACACGGAAGCAGGCTGCATGTGCCCTTCCGGGCCTTGCTTTTCTTACCCTCCATTATGGTCTCGGGTTGAGGCACAGGGCGTGTGCGGCCGCAGCCCCTCTGTGGGAATGTGCCCCTGGTGTGGATTTACCATGGTGCACGTATTTGCTTTATTTTGCTGGATATTTGGGGTTTTCGGATTTGGGATGCTTATTTTTATTTTCGTTTTTATTTTTTATTTATTTTTTTTTTGAGACCGAGTCTCGCTCCATCACCCAGGCTGGAGTGCAGTGGCGCAATCTCGGCTCACTGCAAGCTCCGCTTCCCGGGCCTCAGCCTCCCCAGCAGCTGGGACTACAGGCGCATGCTGCCAGGCCCGGCTAATTTTTTGTATTTTTAGTAGAGACGGGGTTTCACCGTGTTAGCCAGGATGGTCTCGATCTCCTGACCTCGTGATCCGCCCACCTTGGCCTCCCAAAGTGCTGGGATTACAGGCGTTTGAGCCCCCACGCCCGGCTGGGATGCTTATTTTTTTAATTATTTCTTTTTTTTTTTTTAAACTTCCTGGGTACATGTGCAGGCTGTGCAGGTTTGTTACATAGGTAAATGTGTGCCACGGTGGTTTGCTGCACCTATCAACCCATCACCTAGGTATAAAGCCCAGTTTTATACGTAGGTATTAGCTATTTTTATTTAATGCTCTCCCTCCCCCCACCCCACTCCCCGACAGGCCCCAGTGTGTGTTGTTCCCCTCCCTGTATCTATGAGTTCCCATCGTGCAGCTCCCACTTACAAGTGAGAACATGGGATGCTTATCAACAATGCTGCGCTGGGTCTCCTGGCACATGCGTCCCGTGTGCTGAGGTTAGTCACCTAGAAGAGAAATTGCCAAGCCCTCCAATGTGGGCGTGTTCTGATTTCTCAGGAATGCCGGGTTATTTTTCTAACGGCTGTGTTGAAAAGTGCCGGGAAGTTTCCGTGACTCCTCCTCCCTGTCATCATTTGGGATCGTCTAACTCCCCTAATGTTGCCCATGCAGAGGACGTGTGGCGGCATCTGAGCATGACTTTCATTTTCCTTTCCCTGATTACTAGCCACGCTGGGCGTGTTTTCATGTCTATGAGACAGTTGGGAGTTTTTAGTGAGGTGTCTCCCTCTTTTTTTTTTTTTTATTATACTTTAAGTTTTAGGGTACATGTGCACAACATGCAGGTTTGTTACATATGTATACATGTGCCATGTTGGTGTGCTGCACCCATTAACTCCTCATTTAACATTAGGTATATCTCCTAATGCTATCCCTCCCCCCTCCCCCCACCCCACAACAGGCCCCGGTGTGTGATGTTCCCCACCCTGTGTCCAAGTGTTCTCATTGTTCAATTCCCACCTATGAGTGAGAACATGCAGTGTTTCATTTTTTGTCCTTGCGATAGTTTGCTGAGAATGATGGTTTCCAGCTTCATCCATGTCCCTACAAAGGACATGAACTCATCATTTTTTATGTCTGCATAGTATTCCATGGTGTATATGTGCTACATTTTCTTAATCCAGTCTATCATTGTTGGACATTTGGGTTGGTTCCAAGTCTTTGCTATTGTGAATAGTGCTGCAATAAACATACGAGTGCATGTGTCTTTACGGCAGCATGATTTATACTCCTTTGGGTATATACCCAGTAATGGGATGGCTGGGTCAAATGGTATTTCCAGTTCTAGATCCCTGGGGAATTGCCACACTGACTTCCACAATGGTTGAACTAGTTTACAGTCCCACCAACATATATGGTGAGGTGTCTCTTAAAGTCTTTTGCCCTTTTTTTCCTGCTGAGAGGAGTTCTTGTGTTTGGAATCATTGCTTTGTTGGTTAGACATGATACAAACCTCTTCTCCTAGTGGGTGGCTTCTTATACTTTTAAAGATTTCTTTTGATGAATAAAAGCTCTTTAATTCTACGTAAACAAATTAGTAAATCTTTTCCTCTGGGTTTCTACTTTGTGTGTCTTATTAAAAAATCTTTCTCTATCCAAAGGCTTTAAAAATTCTTCTGCTACAACATTTTGCAATAGCACTGTGGCTTTGCATTTCCCAAATCTTAAATCCATGTAGAATAATTTTTTACGTGTCGCATGAGGTAGGAACACAATTTCATTTGTTTTCTGCACTGAGACTCAATGTTCCCAGCATGATTTTTTGAAAAGCCCAATTGTTGCCCTCTGATCTTGAATGATAACTTTGGTCTGTGGTAATGCCCATCCATTTATGGGCTTGTTTCCGGACTCCGTTCCGTTTTGCTGACACAGATGTCTATCCCTACGCAATAACAATTGTTCTGTGTTACGTGCTTGTATAAAAGTCTTGCTACCTGGAAGGACAAGTCTGCCTACGTCACTAATTTTTGAGAGTATTGATGATTTAGGGCCCTTTGCATTCTCATACTTATTTTAGAGTTTGGCAGATTTTGTATCAAAAATTATGAGGTTTTGTATTATTGCATTGAATTTATAAATGAATTTTGAGGAATTGACATTTTCCATACTGATCCTTCCAACCTCTGAAAATAGAATGTTATTTATTCACTTACATTTTATTTAATGATTCCCAATGAAACTATATAATTTTGTACAGAGTTGATAGAATGTTCACTAAAACTGTGAAAATTTCTCTATGCTTTATCCACAGAGTTTTTGCATGGCTTTTGTTGTATAGCTGGTAAGTAGAAATACAGTCGATTGTGATATTTGGGTGTGTATCTAGCAATCATGTTAAGAAATGCTGTGGATTCTAATAATGCATCTGTAGATTCCTTTGGATTTTGCATGTACACAGGCATGGTTGATTTCCCGTCCTTTTCTCATCCTTCCTCCTTTCATCTCCCTCTTGTCTACCATCCAGGCTCCAACCTCCAGTACAATGTTGAACAGAAGCAAGAGCATGCATTATTTTCTTTCTTTCTCTTGATCTGAAAAGGAACACTTTCTACATTTAACAACTGAATATGATATTTGCTGTAGGTTTTGTTTTGCTCAACTCTTTTCTAGCTTGCTATGGATTTTGATCATGAACAAATGTTGAATTTTCATGTAGGTCTGTGATCCATGTTGAGTTGACTTTATATATGGTATTGGTATGGATCTAAGTTCATTTTTGTGCATATGGATAACCAACACTTTCAGCACCATTTGCTGAAAAGACTATCCTTTCTCCAAAACTGTTTTTGCACGTTTCTTAAAAGTCAGTTGTCCCTGTATGTGTAGTTATAGTAGTTTTTTACTGTCATATGCCAAACCTAGTGGCTTAGAACAATGTCCGTGGATTCTCTTTTGGTTCCAGGTGGGCTTAAATAGGTTCTCTGCTTAATATAGGGTCTCATCAGGCTGAAATCCAGGTGTCAGCCAGGTCGAGCTCTTGTCTGAGGGATCTCGGACAGAATCTGCTACTAAACTCATTCAGATTTTTGTTAGAAATAGGTCTCTTGCGCTTTAAAACTGAGGTTTCCATGTCCTTGCTGACTGTCAGCCACTGGCCAGTCCCTGCTCCTAGAGACCACCCAGCCCTCACAGTGGACCCTCCTGCTTCCAAGCCTGTGGCAGGGGGTTCACTCTGCCTCCTGCTTCAAATCTCAAGGCTCCTCTTCTGCTTTTAAGCGCTCGTGTGATTAGGTTAGTCCCACCCAGACGATCCACAGTAATGTTCCTATTTGAAGGCCCGGTGAGTAGTAACCTTAACTGCATCTTAATTACCCTTTGCCTTGAGATTGAAATATTCAGAAGCTTGATAGCTCCTCATAGTCACGGTCCTGGAGATTAGCATGGGAAACCTTGGAGGGAGAAGAGAGACTGAGAATTCTTCCCAGCACAGTTGGGCTTCTTTCTGGGCTCTCTATTCTGGTCCACTGACCTACTTATCTATCTCTATGGCAATCCCACACTGCGTAAGTGTGGAAAGCAGGTCGTTTCAGTTTTCTCGTTTTGTTCCAATTGCGTTGGCTATTCTAGGTCTTTTGGATTTTTATACAGATTTTAGAATGTGCTTCTCGATTTCTACAAAAGCCAGCCTCCTGGGATCTTGACTGTGATGGCCTGGAATCTGTATGATAGTTTTTAGTGGCCCTGTGCCTCTGGGATGTGACCTCTGCTTTTAGTTCTCAGCTTCAAAATTTCTGAGGGCTTAGTATGGACTAGCTTGAGCACTAAGAAATCCTGGGCGTCCACTCTAAAGGGAAATCACTATCCTTTTGTGGGTTTCACCTCCAGGATTTCCCCCACAACTCCCAGGTTCTGACAGTGAATACTGGAGAAAAATCCTTCCCTGTTTGGCCAAGGGAAGGGAAAAAGTAGCCATTTTGAAATAATCCAGAATGTTCCCCACAACAAAGAGCTACCCAAGAAGAGAAAACACTTACCAGACCCTTGGCAGACTTGAGAGAAGATAAATTACCCAACTCCAGCCCCCAAGACACTTCCTGTCTTCACCTAAAGAGGGAAAAAGAAGCTGACTTTTTTTTCCTTTAAAGGAAAAAAGCCCTTTAAAAATATTGCTCCACTGCCTTCTTGCTTGCATTGTTTCCAAAAAGTCGGCTGTCATGCTTATCTCTGTTCTTCTGTATGTGACACATCCTTTTCTCTCATTACTCGTAAAATTTTCTCTTTCTCACTGGTTTTGACCAAAATGATTATAGTGACACTTGGTATTGTTTTCTTCATCCATGTCATTGTCAAAGTTTATTAAGTTTCTTGGATCTGTGAATTTTATAGTTTTCATCAAACTCATAAAATTTCTAGCCATTATTTTTTCAGATTTTTTTTCAGTCTCTATTCATCTCCTTTGGAGACTTCAGTCACACAGATATTAGGCTGGTGGACATTGTCACACAGCTCACTGATACTCTGTTAAATTTGTTAGTCTTTTTGCAACAAATCTCCGTTTTGCTTGCATGGTTTCTTTTGCCTTGTCTTCCAGTTCATGAACCTCTGTCTCTGCCATGTCCTCTCTCTTCTTCATCTCATACAGTGTATTTTTCAGCTAAAACACTATATTTTTCACCTCTAGAAGTGTGACATGAATGCTTTTCCTATCTTCCATATCTCTACTGGACGTATTCAATACTTTCTTTAGCTTTGGGAACATATTGGATATGTTTACAGTTACAGTTACAGCTGTTTCAGTGTCTACGCATGCTAATTATAACATCTCTGAAAGTTCTGGGCCAACCAAAGGATTGATTTTTCTCCTCCTTATTGGTCATACTTTTCTTCTTCCTTGTATATCATAATTTTTGGTCAAATTCCCTACACTGTGATTTTTACCTTTTTGGGTGATCCATATGTTTGTATTTCTATAAATTCTTGAGGCTTATTCTGGACTCAGGTTACCTGGAAACAGTTTCATGTCTTCCTTTTAAGATTTTTGTTTTAGGCAGAGGCAGAACAGCTTTAATCTATAACGACTTCTTCCCCACCTCCAAGACAAGACCAGACTGTGTACATTGCCCAATGCATCATGAGTTGGGAAGTTTTCCAGTCTGGCTGGTGGGAACAGGCACCATTCCCAATTCTGTGTTTGCGTTTGGCACTATTAGTCTTTCTGGTCCTTCTTTCCCCAGACTTGGGCGTATTCCTCTCACACATGCACAGACCACTGAACACTCAACTGGGACCCCCTGCAGACCACTGGCCTCTTTCTCTGTGCGTCTCTTTCCTTCTGGAACTCTGTGCTCTGAAGTCCAGCCACCTGGGCTCCCTGACCTTTCCTCTCCAACCCTCAACTCAGTCTTCTTGGTTCTGCCTGGGTCCCTATTCCCTGTGCTACAGCCTGAAAACTCCAGAAAATAATCGGGAAAAATCTGACAGCATGCTTCTTCCCATCTCCCAGAGATGACTGTCTCTCCTCTGATGCCCAATATCTTGGAAACCATGGTTTCACAGATGCTGTCCACATTTGGTTGTTTTTGCAAAGGAGACAGCTTTGTTACCGTGTCGTGGCTGAACGTGAAAGCCTCTCCTCATCTTCTCAGGACATTCAGCAGCTGTGGCTCCGTCCCCTCTTCATTATCGTTCTTGTTTATTTCTGCCTTATCTCTTTTTGGGATCAGCCTCACCAAAGATTTGTCATTTTTATTAATATTTTTCAAAAGACCATTTTTTGACCTTGCTGACCCTCTCTATTATCTATGTCTTTCCCATTCCATTAATTTATCTTATCTTTATTATTAATGTCATCATTCTATTATTCTAGGTTGGGTTTATTTTGCTAGGTGTTTTTTTCTAATTTCTAATGATGGGTGCTGAAGTCATTACTTTTCAGCTCTCTTTTATCTTCATGTGGATATCTGAGGCCATAGCTTCTTTCCTAAGTGTTGCTTTCATTGTATGCCACAAGCTTTCCCTAGCAGTCATTCATTTCCATCAACTTCTATTTTTCTAACCTCATTATTTTTTTTATTTGATGCATGGTGAAAATGAGTTCCTCCAGAGAGGGTTTGAATTTGCTCTGTCCAGATCTTGGAGACCCTATCAGTTCTTTAAAGTAAGTTATGGCATTGAGGTTTTTGGAGACCACCCAGGTAGTGTGAATTCAGGCCTAAACCCACTTAAGGGATGGTTTGTGTTCAAGTCATTTCCTTCTTATGCCAAGGTCTGAGTCAGTTGATTTTCCTTATAATACACCAGGGAGATGGCCTGGGTTAGCATCTGATTCACATGGGCATTGAGTGTGCAGCCCTGTGGAGGGGACAATTTGTTGGGGGTAAGCTCCTACCCTCTCCTTCCGGAACTTTGTGCTCTTGGGTAGACCTGGGCATTATTCTTTGTTTCCAGAGACCTTGGGAACTGGAGCATGGGGCCACCCTGGTGGAAAACGCCATCAAGGCAAAGCTGCCTGCCCGCCTTGCTTGTCTTGCTGGTTCCCATCTGATTTGTTTTTATTGTGCTGAGAATTCCTCTGAACTTACCTGACCATAGAAGCTCTTAAGAAGACTTTAAGTTATGTGTGTATTCGAACTAGTTACCAAAGCTACCCTTTTACTGCAAATAAAGGTTACTGCATTTCTTTTACATGAGCATTACATTGTCATTTTATGTCTTATTGACTCAGCCTCAAACGAGGAACCTGCTTCTTTTCTGCTATATCTAAAATCTCTTGATTTCCTTGATATTTTTGATATCTACATTGAACAAGCCCAAATCTCTCCCATCTAAAAAAAAAAAAAAAAGCTTCGTCTCAGCTTTGCCTTGCCTTCTGAGCCTCCCCTTCTCGCCTTCACAGTGAAGCTTCTTAAACACACGGTCCTCCTTTGCAGGGTTATGTCACCAACCTCTTACCCCTGAACTCACTGTCATCTTGCTTTCACCTGCACAACTCCACCGAAACTCCTCAGGCCAGGCCCTGGGGGACGTCTCAGTGACGTGGTGGACTCTGTTCAGCCCCATTTCCACCTCTTGGTAGCCCTGCTCTTCAGGGCCCTTGTGCCTCAGGAGCTGCTGGGGCTGGCTCAGTTCTCTGGTGTGGTCTCTGGCCCCTTCTCTGATGTGCTTCTCTGGGTGCTCCTCCTCCCCTGCTGGCCCTCCGAGGCTGTCATGCCTCCAGATCCTGTCAGCTGCCTCCACGTAGGCTGCTGGTTCTCAGACTTGAATGGTCAGGGCTCCCCGGAAATCTCAATGCACCACAGATGGAGCCCATCCCATGGTGAGCACCTCACACACTGTCATCATCCACCCAAATTGCTCCTCCTTTAGCATCCCCCTGATCCCCTGGTTGTGAGTGCCTGGGCCCCTTCTGGATGTCCTCTTCCCTCTCCTCCCCCGTGCCTCCCTCTTCGTCACACACAGATTCCTTGTCCTCAGCGTCTGTGGATGTCTCTGCTGTCCTCCATCTGTGCTGATCATAAATGCAGCAGCTTCCTTAGGCTTCCAATCTTCCTGACTGTGTCAATCCATCCTCCATGGGCAGCTTGGGCACAGCACTGCCAGGGTCCCGGCAGGCACCCCGGGAGGTAGGTGAGCACTGGCTGAGGGCTCTCCAGGCACTGGAGGGTGACAAACAGCCCCTGGGCCCCTCCACTTCCCTCCCTGCCCACCCTGAACCCCACCTGTCAGCCATGCGGGCAGTTCTCAGACGTGCAGGCTCTCATGCACTGGCCTTCTATGCCTCATCTTTCCCTTTGTTTTTCACACTTTGCTCCCTCTTTACAGAACTCTTGTCTCCCCTTTACAGAACTCTTGTCTCCCCTTACCAGAGCACACCCATGACCCCCAGGGTGGCTCGTAACTCAGGTCTGATGAGCATCTGTGTCCTTGTCACTCCTGGACCGTTTCCCCCACCAGAGAAGCACGACCCTTGGTATACCACAGGCACTTCATCAATATTCACCACTTGCGTGAGCGCTGACCCAGCATGCGTCAGAGGCAGGGCACAGCTCACCTGCAGCCTCCCTCATCACCCCCAGGCCTCGGAGCATCACAGGTCTGTTCTGCAGCCTTCGTTGAAATCACAGCAGCAGCATTGATTAATTCTGTGTATCAGAGACATCATGAAGGCCTTCCCATGCCTAACCTCCTTAATCACTGTAACAGCTATGAGAAGACGGCCTTTCGATCAGTAACTCTGAGGCTCAACAGCTCATTCCCACGGTAGGCAAGCCTCGGGGGTGGGTCGTGAACTGCCCTCCCTGTGCTGTGGGTGAACAGAGCTGCTGGTGGGGTCCAACAGAGGTGGGCCTTCCCACACTGCGATCATCTGGCTTCCCGTCTACCTCTGCGCTGAGCCGTGCATCCCTGGTCAGGGGATTTCAGCCCACTCACCACTGCATCCCTGGTTCCTAGTGCTGAGATCACCCCCTGGGGGGCCCTGTGGCTCTGTGAAGTAAACAAATGAGTGGACTATTTTACCAAATTCAGGCCACAGGCCTCAGAGACAGAAGGGAAAAGAAGTGTGATGACTTCTCAGCCATGGCAGAGGGCTCAGCGGAGCCACCGCGGGAGGTCCGAGTCCCGCATCTCATGCTTTCAAACCAGCAGTTTTCAGGTGGCATCAATTCCCAAAGATTGGAAAAAGAATCAGAGTTAATTTAGGGGAGAAATCTATTCTTACTAAGTCAGCCGTGTCGCAGAGGTGCAGAGGGACAGGAGGAGGAAGCTGGCATACCAGGAAGTTATGGCCTCCCTCAAAAGCTCCAGGTTGGAAGGAATGCACCCTATGGGCACCTTGCTGGCAAGGTCTGGAAAGCGTGATGCCCTCAGGGCCACCAGCCCATTGCTAGAGACATGCCCACTCGCATATGCGGGACAGACTTCCTGTCCGGGAGGGCTCAGCTGCCCCGCCCACCTTGTTTTCCTGGGACTTGGAATGGAGGCTCTTACCTGTCAGGCAGCAATATGGAGTGGGGAGGATCCAGGCTTCTTGGAATCTTTAATCCTCAGGTGTTTAATGGGGCCCATGGAGACCACCAGGCCTTGGGGATCTTGCCTATGTGGCAACAAGCACATCGAATTTGTAGAGTTCTGATCTAGTAGAAAAAGACAGCCACGCCACTACCCCTGACGGTGCTGGGTGCAGCCAGAGGCTGGCACAGCTTGGGGCAGAGAGAGCCCTGCCCAAGGACTAGGAGCCATGGGAGCTGAGAGCCACAGGCTCAACCCCCCACCAAGATCGGAACTCTGACTGTGTCCCAGGTGGACCTGAGTCTGGAACAACTGGGAGAGGGCTGGCCTGGTCTGGGTGAGCAAGGAGGCCAGGGCACCCACAGGAAGAGCTGAGGGCAGTTGATGGCACGCTGGCTGGTGGTAACCTGGGCACCATGCATTTCAATCCCACCTCGTCTCCCTTCCCTTCCACTTTTCATCACACCTGAGCCTCCTTCTGCCCCAAGGCCCCTCCCCCACAGCCTGCAGAGCAACTTGGGGACGAGGCAGGAGCAGTGGCCGCTTGTGTGGCTCCTCCAGGAGAACTCCTTTGTAGAGAACCAAGTGTTGGCATTGATAGGGGCAGACACCACTGAGCACCTGCCTGTGGGCAGAAAGCTGCTGGTGTGGGACAGGGTAGCCTGCGTCACATGGGCATGTGGCACCCGCCCCAGGGCTGCTTCTGGGCCCAGCCCCGGCCACACACAGGCCACCTGCCGTTGACTGGGCTGTGGAAGACACTGGAGGCTTCCTGCCCCAGGCCTGCCTTCTGGGCTTCTGTCCCTGGAGCTGCTGCCTCCCAGCTCTCTGCTTTGACCTCCTGTCCTGCCTGTTTCCCATGTCCCCACCTCCCTGGCCTGAGGCAGCCCTGCACAGAGCTGTGCTCATCACAGGGACATTTGGCTGCTTCATGCATCTCTCTGGGCATGTGTCCCCCGTCCTGCAGGCCCCTGCACCGAGCTGTGCTCATCAGAGGGACATTTGGCTGCTATGTGCATCTCTCTGGGTGTGTGTCCCCCTTCTGCAGGCCCCTGCACCGAGCTGTGCTCATCAGAGGGACATTTGGCTGCTTCATGCATCTCTCTGGGTGTGTGTCCCCCTTCTGCAGGCCCCTGCACCGAGCTGTGCTCATCACAGGGACATTTGGCTGCTTCATGCATCTCTCTGGGCGTGTGTCCCCCTTCTGCAGGCCCCTGCACCGAGCCATGCTCATCACAGGGAAATTCCACTGCTGTGTACGTCTCTCTGGGCATGTGTTCCCCCTCCTACAGGCTCCATTCCAAGCCCCCTACCTCGTCATCTCCCCGGATGCTTCCGCCTGCAGAGTCCCTAACCCAGCATCTCACAATCTAACGTCTCACTATGTCCAGTATTTCCCATCTGCCCGCACTCTGGCCCTTCTCCCTCCCACAGAAGCCCTTCCTCCAGACGCCTGGGCTTCATCCCGTCCCCAGCCCTCCCCTCTCCTCCTCCACGCTACTCCAGCCACACCCACCCTCAGGGAGGCACTGGACCCGGGAGTGGCCGAAGTCGCAGTGGCCTTCAGTCTACGGAGGAGGTAGCCCCCAGGGCTGGAGGGGAGGAGCTGGGGGAGCAACAGCTAGGGTCCACTCCCTCCTACCCCACCCTCTGTCCCGTGCCCTCTTAATCGTGCCCCACGCTGAGCTGGAGGCCAGGGCGCCCTTAGGTGTAATCCATAAGTGCCCATTCCCCACATGCAGCAGGAGGAAGGCCAACGTTGGGTCTGGAGGGGCCACATGGAGCAGGAGGAAGGCCGAAGGTGGGTCTGGAGGGACCTCATGGAGCAGGAGGAAGGCTGAGGGTGGGTCTGGAAGGACCTCATGGAGCAGGAGGAAGGCTGAGGGTGGGTCTGGAGGGACCTCATGGAGCAGGAAGAAAGCAGTGGATGGGTCTGGAGGGGCCACACGGAGCAGGTGGAAGGCGGAGGGTGGGTCTGGAGGGGCCACAGAACCCCAGACACACTGTGAGAGCACTCTTTCTTGCCAGGCACACTCCTGCCTCTCCCTTCTGCAGTTAAATTCCCTAGAGCCATCTCTCCTTGCCGTTTCCTGTCCTTCCACTCCCGTCTGTTTCTAGCCCTCAACAGCCTCCACTCCACTCTCCTTGGGGATGGTTGCCGCTGGTGTCCCTGGAGCCGCAATGCAGGCCCCCGGGGGACTCTAAGACCTCGGCCCATGGCTCAGTGAAGTTCCAGACACTGCCTCTTCCCTAAAGCATCCCTGTCCCTTGGCCTCTGTGAGACCACTCCAGCTCCCCTCCCACCTTTCCGGAACCTTCTCTGCCCCCTGCCCTGGCTTCCAGTCCTGGCTCCTCTACCACCTTTCTGGAACCTTCTCTGCCCCGTGCGCTGGCTTCCATTCCTCGCTGGCCTCCCAGTGTTGGCATCTGCCGTGGTTCGATGGGAAGCCTCCCCACCCCATCCCACAGCCTCTCTCTGGGAAGGCCCCTCCACACCTGCTGCTTTAACGAGCACATTTAGGCTGATGGCTCTCAGATTTATGTCTCCTGAGCTCTGCTGCCAAGCAGGGCCCCACCAGGAAGCAGATGGCATTCACGAGGGGCTTCACTGCAGGGCCTGTTTACAAGTGTGTGGGCTTCACAAGGAAAACCAACAGAATCGGCACTAGCAGGAAGCCGGCATCACCCCAGGTTGGAGGAGACCAGGGAAGGGAAGTTAACAGAATGTGCAAGAGCCAGAGAGTCTTTGGGAGAGTGGCATGGCCCACCCATGATGAGAGAGAGGGGAAGGGAGTGCCAACACCTCCATCTCACCCCCTCCCCCGCCCCCACGCCCCTTGGCCAAGCTCACCCGGAAGCCAGGGGCAGGGCGGTGTAGCCCAGTCAGCCTCCCAGGGCCACAGCTGCATGGAGCCGCGCAGAGGGATCTGATAGGGTGGCAGTGGAACCAAATAGCCACCATAGAGGAGCTGCCCAGGCTGCAACGTGGAACCGAATTGCCTGGCTCGACTTCACACGTCACCTCCCGTTAGCTGTGTGACCTTGGGTTAAGCTACTAACCACCCTGTGCCTTGGTTTACTCATAAACTACAGGGGTTGTGAGTATAGGGTTGCTGTGAATTAATTAGGATAATGCTTGTAAATCACTTCTAAACGTGTCTGCTGCACAGTAAGGACTTTGTAAGCCTAAGTTGTGCTGACTGATCTCCGTCAGCGAAGGCTGGGGCACCCCAAACTCAGTTTGTTTAACCCCCATTCCCCCAGGTCAGGCTCTGCCAATGCCGGCCCACCCAGCATCCGCCACCCACACGAAGGCTCACCCTGATAGTGCTCCTCCCCTCCTCCATGGCCAGTTCACAGCCACGCCGCCGCCTGAGCACAGCCTCTTTTTATTCATGCGTAGCTCTGCAGCTCCTGGCCGGCACCCCAGTGCCATAGCATCAGCTCCCACAGGCCTTTCTTAAGAGGAAAGAACCTCCCCCAAAGCCCTCCCCCAGGACCTGCGGGTCTAAATGAGGTCATGAGCCCAAGATTGGCCCATGGCTTTGACCTAGGGAATGCCTCGCTCCGATTGGTGAGACCTGACTTTCTGCACCAGTCCCTGGGTCCAGGGAACACGCCCCTCCCGGCCCAGGCAGGCAGCCTCCACTGCGGGCAGGTGGCCATCGCCCTGTCGACTTACAACAACCCTGTATGTTGTTGTTCAAACTGAGACATAGGAGGGAAGTGGGGAGTGATGGCTAAACACCAGGAAGGCAGGCTTACGTGGAGAGTCCCCAGGGAAACGCAGTCATGTGGTCACACCAGCTGCTTCCCAGAGCAGCTCCAGGGGCACCGCAGGGCCTGTCTTCATAGCTGCCTGCCCCTCCCTGCCTGGCAGGAATCACTGTTTCATTTTATCAAGGAGATAGAATTGAATAAGTGTGACACATTAACTGGTAAAATAGTAACAGGAGAAGAGCTTGGTTTCTAATACAAGCGGCTGTCCTCTAGCTGGCTCCTAGCCCCCGCTCGGTTTCTAATACAAGCGGCTGTCTTCTAACTAGCTCCTAGCCCCTGCTTGGTTTATAATACAAGTGGCTGTCCTCTAGCTGGCTCCTAACCCCCGCTTGGGTTCTAATACAGGCAGCTATACTCTAGCTAGCTCCTAGCCCCTGCTCGATTTATAATACAAGCGGCTGTCCTCTAGCTGGCTCCTAGCCCCTACCCCACCTTGTTGAACCCTTTCAATTGAACCTTCTACTAATTGCCTTTCTATTTCAAATAAAATTCCTATACCACCATTGGCAATTTTTGTCTTTCAGTTCTCTGCATCACCCATTGGCTTCCTACAACAAGAGGTGAGAATTTAGCTCACCTCCTCACCTCATTCTCCAACAAATCAGGAGCTTTACCACACCCACTTACCTTTGGTGTCTTTTCCCACCAAGGACAGAGGGTGTCTGCTGACTCCCCTCTTTATAAAACAAAGATATGTATACTCAGCCTCCTCCCTTCTATGGCTAACTCCTGTTGGGACTAAGGAGGGTGTTCTCTGCATTTGGTTCTGGAGTCACTGTTAAGCCTCTGGCACTGGCCCTGAAAGTCGATTCTCAGCTTCGCAGATCTGTGAGGAATGATCGCGCCGTGGTGCTGTTGAAATACTTACCAAATACCGCATGAAATACGCTTCCTCCTCCTTGGACAGCTCTGCCCTGCCACCTCAAGTTTCTGTCTTTTTCGTCATCATTACCGTGATCACATTTCCATTATTTTTTTCAAAAATTTCATATATTAAAGGCCCTTTTGAGTGCCTCCTCCCATCACTCCCCACAGATGTGCCTGGGTGGGCCTCCCACCCTGACGTCCACTGTGCGGGTGCTGTCCTGAGACCCGCTTCCCGCTCACTGCCCCCATTCCTAGGGCCGCCTCTGTCTGGGTTACCTCCTTCGTTGTGCAGGGGAACATCCTCAAAAGTATAAGAGACAGGCTGGGTGCGGTGGCTCAAGCCTGTAATCCCAGCACTTTGGGAGGCCAAGGAGGGCAGATCACTAGAGGTCAGAAGTTCAAGATCAGCTTGGCCAACACAGGGAAACCCCATCTCTACTAAAAATACAAAGATTAGCCAGGCGTGGTGATGGCCACCTGTAATCCCAGCTACTCAGGAAGCTGAGGCAGGAGAATTACTTGAACCCAGGAGGCGAAGGTTGCAGTGAGCTGAGATTGCGCCACTGCACTCCAGCCTGGGTATCAGACCGAGACTTGGTCTCAAAAAAAAAAAAAAAAAAAAAGGTATAAGAGACACTGTGGGGAGCTGTATTCCAGAGTTGCAGAGGTCTTGGATACTCTAGGAAGGTGAATGTTCGTTTAGAATCTGCTTCCACCATGTCTGTTTCCCGCTTTGGAATGACTTCAGTCCACAGCAGGAACCCAGCAGCGCCGGCCGGCGGACCAGACCCAGCCGCGCCTTTGTTTGCGCATCAAGGTTCTCTGGCACTCAGCTCATCCAGCAGTTTGTCTCCTGCCTACGACGGCCTTCACTCTCCCAGGGTGGCGATGGGCGGTGGTGACAGTCTGCTGAGACTGGACTTCTGCAGTGTGGGCCTCTGAGCAAAGCGTGCCCGGCCTGCGATAGAGCGGACCTGCGGAACACTCTGGATGCCGCCGTGTTCTGTGTCCGTGTGGTGCGCCATGGCAGCCACTGCCCTGTGGGGTTGCTGAGCCTTCGCCTTGTGGCAAGTGCGTCTGAGGAGTGGGATTCTCAACTGCGTCTGATTTGGATGAGTTTTCATTTTAGGGTAAGCCTCACATTTGCTGGTGGCTGCCGTGTGGGACAGCTCCTGGCTGGCTGAGCCCGTGTCAGGCCTTGGGGAAGGCTGGGCCTTGGCACAGTGTAGGGGGAGGCTGGGCCGAGGATGCAGGAGCCTGGGAAGGAGGGCCCGGCCCTACCATTGCGGGCGTGTGGAGCCCAGTCACCCACCCTCGGGACTGTTCCCTTTTGGATCTGTGGAGAGCACTCAATCCTCCTCCTCGGACCACAGGTGGAGGCCGGGGGAAAGCGAGGGGCCTCCCCGAGTGCAGCACTGGCTTCTCGGTTGGCAGAGGTGGTGGCTGGTTGGGGAGCTTTCCATCTGAGGGCCCAGGAAGAGAATTCTGTCTGCCGCCTGTGGGCAGAGTGACTTTGCACACGCCACCTGTTTGATTGTCAGCGTCCACCCCGTTCAGGGTTTGGCTAGGGGTGGATACAATGCTAGATGGGCAGTGCCTGGCGCATAGCAGGTTTATAACAACTGTGGGGTTTCTGGGCTGTTCCCGGCACTCAAGCCTGGTGGGATTTCTGTTGTTGCAAAAAAAATCAAGTTTAACAGTGATGCTTGAGAAATGATAGGCCAAGAAAAACTTCAGTTCCTCAACTGCAGGATATGTGTGGCCTTTCATACTATACATGCGTCGTGAACAACTAGGCCATACTGTAGGCCCTTCCCAGCTGCCCTACAGATGGAAGGGGATGCTGCTTCTCCACACTGAGCACATCAGGAGACACGAGCAGGCACACACCCATACACTCACATGCTGACACACTCGCACTCACACATTGCACACTCACAGAGATACACACATCAACATGCTCACCCACACACACAAAACATGCTCTCACACACACAGTCTCACACACACTCTCCCTTGCTGACACACACACCACACACTCACACATACACATACACCAACATGCTCACACACACACAAAACATGCTGTCACACACATAGCCACACATGCACTCTCTCATCCTGAAACACCCCACACACACTCACTCACCCATGCTGACACTCACATGCTGACACATTCTTCACACGTACACACCACACACTCTCTCACACACGCATTCACATGTACACATACTGTGTTAGGGTTCTCTAGAGGGACAGAACTAATAGGATAGATGTATATAAAGGGAACCTCAAAAGCAGGGAAGGAGACGGTGCACTTCAGTCTGTGGCCGAAGGCCCCAGAGCCCCTGGCAAACCACTCCTTTGGCGACACCCTCACAGACACACCCAGCAACAATACTTCGCATCCTTCAATCCAATCAAGTTTACACTTAGTATTAACCATCATAGATACCAACATGCTCACAACACACTGTCTCCCACACACCACACACACTCACAGACACCACACTGTCTCCCACACACTCACACACACCAACATGCTCACATACATGCACAGCACACTGTCTGCCACACACACTCACACAAAACAGTCTCACACACACACACCACACTGTCTCATACACACAACACACTGTCTCACACATACTCACACAAACACACACCATGCTCACATACATTCACAATACACTGTCTCCCACACACACTCACACAAAACACACTCTCACACACACACCACACTGTCTCATACACACAACACACTGTCTCACACATACTTACACAAATGCACACCAACATGCTCACATACATTCACGACACACTGTCTCCCACACACACTCACACACAACACACTGTCTCCCACACACTCACACCAACATGCTCAAAACACAGTCTTCCACACACACACACACCAACATGCCCACAACACAGTCTCCCACACACACTCACACCAAGTTCAAATCACACACACACTATCTCCTACACACTTACACAAAACACACTGTCTCCCACACACTCACACACACCAACATGCTCACATACATTTATGACACGCTGTCTCACACGCACACACAAACACACTGTCTCCCACACACTTACACATACACAGCAACATGCTCATGCACACACAAAACATACTCTCACACACTGACACACACATCACACCACACATTCTCCCACACACACACTCACACAGTCACACACACACATTCTGTCACACACCACACACTCTCCCACACACTCACACATAGACACACTGTCACATGTATGCTCTCCACACACTCACACAGACACACAAAGGCATGCGAGCACACAGTTGCGGGAGTGAGCGTGCAAACCTTGTAGCCCCGTGTGATGGTGTTAGGAGAAAGGGCCTGAGGTCCTGGGGACGGAGCCCTTGTCAGTGGGCTGAGTGTCCTTAGAGGAGGCCAGAGCTTCCCTCCCCCTCCCCTCATATGAGGACACAGCCTGAAGGCGCCGTCTGTGAACCGGGAACATCAGCCCTCCCCAGACACGGAACCCGCCCTGGTCTTGGGCGTCCGGGCTGCAGAGCCGTGGGAATGCAGGCCGGGTTTTTGGATCCCACCCAGTCCGTGGCACATGGCTAGAGCAGTCGGATGGACTGAGACCCCGTCCCCCAAGATCCATACCCCGTTACCGCTCAAGGTCTCATCCAGGGGCAACACCGGCCACCCCACACTTTTCGTTCCCCTTGTCCTTTTCTGTCTCTCGGGATGATCACAAAGATGAGTGACAAGCGTTTTGCTTTTCATTTCCAAGAACTGGTGAAACGTAAACAGGCGGCACAACTGCCAAGGCGCCTGTCCCCGGTCGGTTCGTCTGTAATTAAAACTCGCTCAGTGCAGCCGCCTCCTCCCCGAAACTTTTACAAATCTCCTGCGTGCTAATGAGGATACCGGCTAATTACTTGCCAGATGATTAAGAAATCATACTGGGACAATTGATGGGTCTCTGCAGGGAGCCGTCAGTTGCTTCTCCGGCCTCTCATCCTGCTCACAGTTTCCCTTCAAGAGGATGGCACTGACATCCCCCCAGGAAGGCTCAGGACCCAGCCGCAGGGCGGGCACAGCCTCTGCTGCAGGGATGCAGTGCGAGCTTCAGTATGCACCGGGTTCATCCCCCAACGCCTGTGGAAACGCATGGGCCCCCCGCTCCTGGAGGATCCATGGTGCCTTCGCTGGACAATATCACCTTGGCTTCTCTCATTTCCAGCAAGTTCCAGAGCTGGGACGGGGCCCTGGCGATGTGCTTTAGCTCTTTCTTTGGGCCTGGCTTCCTTGATGGACAGCAGCTGGCCCGATCACTAGCTGCTGCTGTCTGGGAGACAAGGCCAGGTGGTTGGAGGGGCTGGCAGGGAACCAAGTTCAATTCACAAGGGTTGTGTGCAGGAGGCTCAGGCAATGGGATGGAGGCTCAGGGTGGAGACACTAAGAAGGAGTCAGAGAAAGAGCACAGTGCTGTGGAGGGTGGCTGTCCAGACCTGCCCAGGATGCCAGCAGGTGAGGCTGGGCTGCACCCTGAGCCACCCAGGGCAGGGGAAGGTGGCCGCAGGGGGTCCCGGCCCGGGAGGGTAGAGAGATAGAGGTCATAGACTGAAGACATTTAATGAAGTATGACCCGGCAGAGTTCACTCGGGTTTGCCCACATCAAAGAGGAGGAACGAGAGGCTCTCTCTGCTACACACTAGGTGCATTGGACCTTGCCCCCAAGCTTGATCCCTGGAGAGTCCCCATTCCCAGGCAGCACAGCTCAAATCCTGTGTCCTGGGGGTGAGCCTTCCTTATCAGGAAGGCTCTAGAAGGATGTCCTTGCTCCTTGCTCTTCTGAGCAACCCTGGAACTTGGGCTTTCCTGGACCACAATCTTTGGGAGGATGGTCCTGGCCCCAACCCACTCAGTAAGCCTGTGACTGAAGGAGTCCCATGGGCCACCCTGACTCCAGGGAAAAGCCCCAGTGGAGCTCAAACTGCACGTCAGTGGCACTCACGGGAAGCGTCATTGGAGTCTTGTGAGATGCTTGGGCTCTGGGAAAACGCAAGTGATCTTTGTAGGAAAATTAAAAGCACACACACACATGTGTACACACATGCACACACACACTTATACACACACGCACGCACCCACGCACACACACACACACACACCCATCTAATCATGGTCCCCATCTGACAAGCCCTGGCATTAGATGACTTAAAAATAATCCTGTTTGAAGCCATCACTGGACTGGGCTTTTCTTTGATTTTGCTTCTAATTATGGAAGCTCTCAGCGGCAAGGCTCCAGCTGTCCTGCTGGTCCTTCCCAGCTCTCAGAAAGGCTGTGGCTGTCACCAGCTTCCCACCCATGACTCTGCCATTCTCAGGGGCCCTGGGTGCAGAGTTGGGGGGCCTCGCCTCTGTGCTGTGGGGGCCTCTGCAGGCCCTGAGAAAAGAGTGGCATTGCCCACTTCCCTACTCTTGTCTTAACTACCAGGCACCCGTCCTTGAATTTCCTGCAGAGGCCTAGGCTTGCCCGTGAGATTCCAGTACGGCATGACATGGACCCTGCCTTCTGGGAGCTCATAGTTCAATGGGGAAAGGCATAGACATTCAGAATATCCCACCTGCCATGTATCGGGGTTTCTCTGTTTGCAAAGTAATGAACTGACACCCATTAACCCATTTGATCCCCATTATCTTCATCCTCCCTCCACAGACAGGAACTGGCAGCCAGATCTGGGCAGTACCAAGAAGCAAGAGAAGCCTGAGTTTCAGGGTCAGGCACAGGGTTCTTTCCCCACCTCTGGGCAGGCTGCAGTAATGAAGACCCCACAGGGCTCAAAAATATAGGCTCCAGAGCCTTCTTTGTTGGGGTGGAGGAGAAAGAGGACAGTCACACCATTGGGCTGGATATAAGTTGTTTGTACGGTGTCTTTTAATTTGTTCTAGAATTAACTTTTTTTTTTTTTTTTTTTGAGACGGAGTCCCACTCTGTCACCCAGGCTGGAGTATAGGAGTGTAGTGGCGCTATCTCAGCTCATGGCAACCTCCGCCTCCCGGGTTCAAGCAAGTCTCTTGCCTCAGCCTCACAAGTAGCTGCGATTACAGGCTCCCGCCATCATGCCCAGCTAATTTTTTGCATTTTTGGT
The DNA here is from genome assembly GCF_000001405.40 of Homo sapiens. NCBI lineage: Eukaryota > Metazoa > Chordata > Mammalia > Primates > Hominidae > Homo > Homo sapiens. The sequence goes on along the minus strand of NC_000008.11, from coordinate 141,897,916 downwards.
AGAGACAGGGTTTCGCCATGTTGGCCAGGCTGGTCTCCAACTCCTGACCTCAGGCGATCTGCCCGCCTTGGCCTCCCAAAGTGCTGAGATTACAGGTGTGGTGAGCCACCGCACCCAGCCTAACTTTTTAAAAACATTTTATTCTGAAGTCATTACAGATTCGCAGGAAGTGGCAAATATAGTCCAGAGAGGTCCCATGTACCGTTCACCCAGTTCCCTGCTGTGGCTGCATTCTACACAATTATACCTACAGCAAAATAAAGATACACATTTCTCTGTCAAGACCAGGGATTCGACATTGGAGCAAGATGTATTGAGCTTTGTGGCGTGTGATTACCACGCAGATTTGTGAAACCACCACTGACATGGAGACATGGAGCCGGTCCGTTGGGCTACCTTTTACGGTCACACAACCTGGCCCCACCACCGTTCCTCACCCTTGGCAACCACACTAATCTGTTTCCCATCTATGATTTTGTCATTTCGAGAATGCTATATTCATGAGTTCATAGGACCTTTTGAGGCTGGCTTATTTCTACTCAGCATGCCATTGGGATCCATCCAAGTTGCTGTGTGTATCCAAGGTTTGTTCCTTTTGATTCCTGAGTAGTAATCCATGATACGGATGGGCCACAGCTTGTTTACCCACTCACTTATGGGAGGTCATTTTTGTTGTTTCTAGTTTCTGGCTATGGCAAACAAAGCTGCTATAAATGATCGTGTCCAAGTATGCATGTGGACATAAGCTTTTATTTCTCTGGGATAAATGCCCAAGAGCACAATTGCTGGGTCATATGGTAAATGTTTGATTTGTTTTTAAAGAAACTGCCAAACTATATTCCAAAGTATCTATACTACTTTACATTCCTGCCAGACATGTCTGAGTGTTCTGATTTCTCGGCATCTTCAGCATTTGGTGTTTGCCTATACGGGATCTATTGTGTCTGTAATTGTAGCTGTTCTATTAGGTGGGCAGTGATTTCCTACTGCTGTCCTAATTAGCATTTCTCTTCTCGCAGGTGATGTCAAGCATCTCTTATGTGCTTAGTTGCCATCAGTACATCCTCTCCAGTGAATGTCTTTTCCATCTTTTTACCCATTTTCTAATTGATTTTTTGTGTGTATTTTTTAACTGTTGAATTTTGAGAGCTTTTTATATGTCCTAGATATGAGTCCTTTTTTTAGATATGTGGTTTGCAAATAATTTTGTTCCAGTCTGTAACCTGTCTTTCCATCCCCCTAACAGGGTCTTTTGCAGAACAAAAGCTTTTAATTTTGCTGAGGTCCAATTTATCTTTTTTATTTAAATTTTATAGCTCATACTTTTGGTGTCAAGTCTAAGGACAGTTCATCAAACCTTAGGTCCTGGAGATTTTTTTCCTACGTTATCTTTTAAAAGTTTTATAGTTTTACATTTAAATCTGTGGTTCATTTTTAGTTAATTTTTATATAAAGTGCAAGGTTCAGGGTTTTTTTTTCTTTTTCTTCTCTTTTTTCTTTGACCTATGGATGTCCAATTTCCTCCACTGAATTGCTTTTACATATTTGTAAGGGTCTATTTCTGGATTCTTTACTCTGTTCCATTGATCTTTCTGTCTCTCTCTCTCTAGCAATACTGCACAGTCTTGATTATTGTAGTTATATAATATATCTTGAAATCAAGTAGACTGATTTTTTCTAGTTTATTCTTTTTCAAAATTGTTGTTGCTATTCCAGTCTATTTGCATTTCCATATAAATTTTTAAATAGTCCTGTCTATATCTATTAAAAAAATCTGACAGATTGGAATGTCATTAAACCTGTATATCAGTTTGGGGAAAACCGATGTTATCAGTATTAGTCTTCTGATCTCTGAACGTGGTATGTCTCTCTATTTCTATAGAGCTTCTTTGATTTATTTCAACAGTATTGTGTAGTTTTCAGCATGCAAGTCCTATACATATTCTGTTAAATTTAAACTCACTTATTTTTTGGAGCAATTGTAAATGGTATTTTTAATTTTTGTTTCCAAATATTCATTGCTAGTGTTTAAACTGCAACCTTGCTGAACACATGCTTACTACTTGGAGTTGTGCGTGTGTGTTTTGTAGATTCCTTAACACCATTGTGTTACCTACAAATAGGTACAATTTTATTTCTTCTTTTCTGACCTGTATGCCTTTTATTTCCTTTTCTTATTTCACTTGCTTGACCTTCTAGTATCACACTGACTAGCAGCCCTGTTCCTGATATCAGAGAGACAACATTCATTTTCATTTTATCACCATGAATGCTAGCTGTAAAATTTTCATAGATTTTTTTATGAATGAAAGGTTCCCCTCTACTCTTAGTTTTCAGAGTTTTAATCATAAATGAGTGTTGGAATTTGTTAAAATGACACTCTCAGGTTGTGTTTTGAGGGAGCAGCTGATGAGAAAGTAACTGAAAAGCCTTAGGGCCCAGGAAGGCGGCTTTGAAGCAATGACCTGGACGTGAATCCGAGGGAGAAGAGAGACAGCCAGGAAAGGTCCAAAGCAGGTAGAGTATGGAGGATGAGGAGGCTGCACAGGCAGGCGGGGGCCAGACTGCCACCATCAGAGACGACAATAAGGTCTCAGTCTTTATCCCAATGCAACAAGATAAGGGTGGGAGGGCGGGTGGCAGAGACTACACCAGTTCCGAGGCCATTGCAGTAGCCAAGGTCAAAAGCAATTATGGCTCAGCTGTAGGGGTGGGTGGGGGACAGAGAGAAGTATAAGTGGTTTAAAGCAATTTAGAAGGTGAAGGGCTCAGGACTTGGTGATAAATCAATGTCGGGTTGATAGCTGGGGAGGTGTCATGAGACTGATCTTGTTAATGGGTCCCCTGTTTCCCAAGAAGTCAACATGTTAACTCAAGAGATTGCACAAGGAGTCTTCACAGGTTCCCATCATTTCCTTGGTCATAAAACCACCCCTGAGCATGGCACTTAATAGCGTAGGGGGCACTTTCAACCTTCATCATCTCTGGGAGCCCTGCTCAGGGTTCTTTAGTGCCTCCCCATCAGCACAGACCATGGCCAGTCCCAGTGGCAGGGACCCAGTAGCCAACCTCTCCCCGCCATTTGCCCTGCGCCCCCATTCTTCAGGTTGGCTGTGTCTCTCTGTGCCTTTTCGCGTGTTGTTCCCGCACCCTGGCCTGGCCCCCAGACTCTTCCTACTGCAGGGGCCTGGCCTCAGCTTCAGAGGCCCAGCAAACCCTCTCTGGATTACCTTGGAGCTTTTCCATCAGAGGTAGCAGAAAGGCACTTCTGCACTCCGTTGGACTAGGTATCCTTCATTTCATATGCATATCAGATAGATTCACGCTGTTTGTTTTTGTGCCTGTCTTTTTTTTTTTTTTTCCAAGATGGAGTACCACTCTGTCCCCCAGGCTGGAGTGCAGTGGCATGATCTTGGCTCACTACAACCTCCAACTCCTGGGTTCAAGCAATTGTCCTGCCTCAGCCTCCCGAGGCAGCTGGGATTACAGGCGCCCGCCACCACGCCCAGCTAATTATTTTTGTATTTTTAGTAGAGGCAGGGTTTCGCCATGTTGGCCAGGCTGGTCTCGAACTCTTGACCTCAGGTGATCCACCCGCCTTGGCCTCCCAAAGTGCTGGGATTACAGGCGTGAGCCACCATGCCCAGCCTGTGCCTGTCTTCATAATGGGTCTCACATTCCCGGGAGGTAAGGACTACTGGGCTCCCCTTTGTGCCCCCACCAATCTTGCTATGTTGCTATGCCCAGGTAAATACATTTTTGCTAAACTGGATTTTGTAGATATTAAAGTGTGTGGTTCTGTGAAGCATCAGGTCCAGGAGAGGCTCAGAGAAGACAGTGAGCTGAATCTGGGTTTGCAGGGAAGGTGTTGGGCTCACTGAAGCCAGGAGGGGCAGATTAAGCAAAAGTGTGGGAACTAAGTGAGAGTCTGCAGAAGAAGTTGTGGACTGGGCCTCAGCCAGGATTTGCACATAGGAATCTGAAGGGAAGCTAACCCTGGGATTGGTTGGCTGGGCATTGGCAGGTACAGACAGTGAGGTGACTCACATCACAGTCACTGCAGAAAGCAGCACAGTTCCCTAGAGCTGGGAGTGTTTACCATACCTGGGAGCTCAGAGGAGCACCCTGTGGGGCTGGTGTTGGGAATCTCCCAGGGGAGGCTCAGCTCCTGGATCTGCTGGCTCCTCTGAGGGGGTGGGGAGGAGCTGGAGGCTGAAGCCAACTGCCTGGTAAGTGCTGAGGTCTCACAGACGAGACCTGGAGCATGGCAATGAAGCACTTTCCCCCACTACTGCCCTCCTGTTTCCCACTGGCAGAAATAGAGAAGCCAGATGGTGAGGGTGGCTGGGGAATATGGTTTGCCCGAGTCCCAGCCCCAGAGCCATAGAACAGGGCATGGAAGGGCAGGCTTGGAGCCCAGAGACCCAGGGAAAACCCACTCTGGATCCACAGGAAGGGAACTGGGGGCTAACTGATGCGGCATCTTTTAAAAAATTGTTTGCAGTAAGTTGAAAACAAGCACCTATATCTACCCACCCAAATTAACGTTTTGTCATTTTTGCCTCAGATCTCTTAAGTGTAAGGGACATTAACAATTCTGATGAAGTCTCCTTTTTTTTTTTCCTCAGGGTTGGAGAAAACTTACTATCTTCATTTTAGGATGAACTTCTGGTGCTTGTCTTTGTATTTACACCAGTAAACTCACGTCAGTGAGGGATACATGGAGTTGCCTTGGTGGGGGGCGGGAGAGGCGGTTAAAAATTACGTAAGAGTGATTTACAAATCAAGACTATAAAGCTATACTAATTAACATGCTCTCCTGTTGTATATATTGCACAACTTGCTTTTTTTTAAAAAATAGAGATAATATCTTGCTTTCTTGCCCAGGCTGGTCTCGAACTCCTGGACTCAAGCAATCCACCCACCTCAGCTTGCCAAAGTGCTGGGATTACAGGCATGAGTCACTGCACCAGCCATGCCTTACTTGTTTTCACTCAAATATTGCTTTTGAAATTTATCTATATCCTTCATTACACAGAGTTCATTAAGATCTTGTAGCTATCCTCGAATTTATTCAAACAGAACCCTGCCTCTTAGATTTATTTTAAACTTTTGCTGTGAACATCCATATATGTTTATCTGTGCATCTTTCTCTTTCAGATTTCTATGATTCTATATTCCTCTAAGTTGAATTGACCAGTCAAATATTTGAACATCTGCACTTGTGTTTGCATATTTAATTTTATTTTAAATTTACATACAGTTACATTCACTCCTTGTGGTCTATAATTGAAGGGGCTTTGGCAAACCCTCAGAGTCATGTGCCCACCACCACAATTCAGAAACAGAAGAGTTTCAAACAGAAGATTGCCCAAAATTCCCTGGTCCTGACTTTTTGTGGTCAATCCTTCTCCCACCACCAACACCCAGCAACCCCTGATCTCTGCTCCATCCCTGTAGTTTTGCTTTTCCGAGAACGTCCTATAAATGGAATCGAGGAGTGTGCAGCACCCGGGGCTGCCTTCTTCATTCGGCATCACACCTTTGAGATTCATCTGTACTTTTGTGCAGCAATAGCTTCCGCCTTTATATTGCTGTGGAGTATTCCAGGGTATGGTTGGAGCATTGTGTGTTTATCCTGTCACCTGTTGGAGAATATTTGGGTGGGTTCCAGATTTTGGTGACTGCCATAAACATTTACATGCAGGTTTTAGTGTGAATATAGGTTTTCATTTCTCTTGGGAAAATACCTAGGAGTGGGATTGCTGAGCCATATGCTAAGTGCATGTTTGACTTTTTAGGGAAATGCCAAACTGTTTCTCAGAAGTTGCTGGTGTACCATTTTGCATTCCCACCAGCAGTGTGTGAGACTCCCTGTTGCTCTACATCCCTGCCAGCACTTGTTATTGTCATGTATCTAAGGGATATTTGCATCTGCTTATTTGTCACCTGTATATTTCCTTGGGTAAAGTGTCTGCTCATATCTCTTGCCCACTTTGTATTGGTTTATTTGTTTTCTTATTATTACGTTATGAGAGTTCTTTATATATTCTAGATACACATTATTTGCCAGATATGTGATGATTTGCAAATATTTTCTCCCAGATGCAAATATATTTTCCACAAAACGGTATGTATTTTTGTAAATCACAAAAAATGTTTTGATAAAATCCATCCTACCCTTGTTTTTATTTTGTGTATTGTGTTTTTGGTGTTCTGTCAAATAAAACTTTATCAAACAAAGGGGTTGGCAAACTATTTATGTAGAAAGCCAGAAAATAAATATTTTAGTTATGTGGACCACAGATGATCTCTATCTTGATTGCTTATTTTTGGATTTTGTTTTGCTGTGTGTGTGTTATAAGGCTTTAGCAACACAAAGTCCTTCTTAGCTCAGAAACCATGTACAAGCAGACCTTGGACTGGCTCTGGCCCATTGGCCATAACTTGTTAATCCTGGCCTAATCCAAAGTCAGAAAGATTTTCTCCGATGTCTTCTTCTAGAAGTTTTATACTTTTGCCTTTCACTTTTGAGCCTGTGATCCATCTGGAGTTCATTTCTGTGAGGTATTGGCCAAGGTTCAATTTTTGCATATGGGTATCCGGTTGTTTCAGCACCATTTGCTGAAAAGATGGCCTCTTCTCCATTGCACAGGCAATTGCTCTTCCATCTTAGTGAAAGTCACTTGGCTACATTTGCATGGGTCAATTTCTTGACTCTCTCTTCTGGTCCATTGTTCAATACTTTTAAGAGGTTGTTTTGATATTTCAGGTAGTTGTAGCAGAAAAGTTGATGGTAATCACAAAGCCCACCATTACCAGCAATAAAAGTGCCCTGAGTTTACTTACTTAAACACTGTTTGATATTCCATCACACGCAATTATTTCCCAAACGTTCACCATCAGAAACACTACTCTAAGCTACTGCATGTGCAGCTCCCATGCATGTGCTTGAGGGGGTCTCCTGGGGCACTGGTGCATGGTGGGTGCCGCTGTCTCTGCCATTACTACTCAAAGGAGTTGACATAGTGTGGATGCTTGTCCCCTCCAAATCTTATGCTGAAATGTGACCCCAGTGCTGGAGGTGGGGCCTGGTGGGAGGTGTTTGGGTCACGGTGGTGATCCCTCATGAACGGCTGGGTGCCCTTCTTGCAGTAAGGAGCAAGTTCTCATTCTGTGTTCATGCGAGATCTGGTTGTCTGAAAGACTTTGATGCCTCCTTTTCCCTTGCTCCCACTTTTGCCATGTGACGTTCCTGCTCCTCCTTTGCCTTCCACCATGATGGGAAGATTCCTGAGATCTCACCAGGAGCAGATACCAGCACTATGCTTCTCGTGTAGCCTGCAGAATCATGAACCAAAGAAACCTCTTTTCTTTCTAAACTACCCAGCCTCAGATATTTCTTGACAGCAATTGCAAATAGACTAAGACAGGAGCATCTGCTGCCTTCACAGTGCCTGGGACCACAGCAGTAACAATTAGGGAGGAAGGCCAGACTTGCTGGACGCCTTGCGATATGTGGGTCAGCATGCACATGAAGAATTGTCCTATGTCTCACACAACCCTCAGATGTCTCATCTGTGCATTCACATAGGTAAATATCTTCAACCACTTTGACATGTAAATAAACATATTTTTGTATGGGTTTAATACAAACTAAACATATACGCTGAATATTTTAGGAATGCAACTATCTTGTAAACAGAAGATAGATTGAACGGTGTTTTGTTCACAACTTTATCAAGAGTCATTCACTGTTTCAGATAGTCATGTCACTGAAGGGACAGTACTCATGGTATTTGAGCAATGCTGCCACATTGGTTCACCTGGGGGCTCCTTCTTTACTATAAATGTCACCCACACAGAATCACACAGCATATAACCTTCTCTTATAGGCATCAGTGCAATGCATCTCTATTAGTCTACACTCCCATCAATGATTAAGAGTGATTATACACACACACACACACGCAAGCATTTTTCTTAGTCTTATGTCAAAATGTCATGTGTAAAGCAAAGTATAGACGATATTCAGCTAAATATTTCAATGCAAACTTACTCATTGCAAAAAAAAAGAAAAATGTTTGACACTTTCATTGAGCCTTCCATTCAGGTGTGACTGAGTATTTACATATTGAATTACACATTGTTTTACTATACATGACTCCTTTTCTTTCCACTTTATGTTATAGATAGAGCATTATATTGATTTTGTTGAAATAATTTGTACTGGTTAGGTTATATTGCCTGTGGTTTTCACTTCAGGAGAGCAAAGGGGTGTCATCTAATTCTTGTAATGAGAAGAGCTTGCTAGGTGTGAAGGGATGTAAGTGGGATTTCTGGAACAGGGTATGCCCAGGTTTTCACTGTCCCTGGGCCCGCCTGGCTGCTGTCCCTGGTGCTGAAACAGTGACTTGCTTCCTGCTGTGCGGCAAGCTGCCTCCCTTTCACATCCTCATCCTCATCAGCCCTTGGTGTCCTTCCACAGGGTGGTTTTGCTCCTGTGCTGGGTGTGAAGTGGTATTTATTGCTTAACTTCATTTCCCTCATTGCTGGTGAATTTATGCACCCTTCCCCTCCTATTAGCCACTTGGGAATGCTCTTTGTGAGCTGACATTCATATCCTTTCTCCATTTTTTCTACTGTGTTACTCACTTTTTTCTTATCGATTGGTAAAACTTATTTATATATTCTGGACACTAGCACTTTGCTACATGTACTGCAAATTGCTCCTTGCCTGTGGTTGTATTTCTTTTGTCTTTATGGATTTTTTTTGTGGGAGGGGAGTACTGAAGTTTTTCATTTGTTGTAGTTACATGTATCAATCTTTTGCTTTAGGTGTTGTTCTCTTAGTGTCTTGTCTAAGAAATTATTTCTTTTTTTAGGTTATAACAAAAATATATTACAATTCCTTTGAGAAGTTTTAAAGTCTTTTTTAAAAGAAATCCTCGTTTTTGTCTTTAATCATGTGGAATTCATTACTTTGAATAGGGTGAAGGAGGGAATCTAATTAAATTATTTTCTGATAGAAAGTTCCCATATTAAGTCATCCATCTGGTCTTCCCTGATTTGTAACACCACCACTGTAATGCATTAGGTTCCCACACATACATCATTCTGTTCCAGGGCTCTTCCGTGTTCTGTTTTTGTTCCATTGATCCATTTGTTAATTCCCAGTGCCCACATAGCCCAGCTTATTTACTGTGTTTTCATGATACTTCTTTACTTTTAGTATGTAAGTCCCTCTCCTTAAACTTATTTTCTCCAAAATTATTCAATCAATTCTTGGACCTTATGACTCCGTATAAACTTTGAAATTGGCTTGTCAATTTTTACCAACAATACTATTGGGATTTTTATTGGAACACCACTGGATTTATTAATTAATTTTGAGACAAATTGTCATATTTATGACAAGTCTACTCATCCAAGAAAATCTCTCCATTTATTCAGATTTTGTATAATGTCTGTCAATAAATTTTGTAATTGCGTAATTTTTCTTCATAAAAATTCTTATGCATGTTTTTTACATTTATTCCTAGGTAACACACAGTTTTTGTTGCTGTTGTGAATGAGAATTTTTTTCTCTATTACATTTGTTATTTGCTATTTGCTGGCATATGTGAACACCATTTTTAAATGATTTTTTTATCTTCAACTACTCTGTTTTTATAAGTTGATCATTGCATTCAGGAGGTCTGCTGAATTCTCTTCCTAGCTCTAATAATTTGTTCAGATTTTTCTGAATTTTCTTAGTAGACAATTGTGTAATTTTCAAATAAACACAATTTTATCCATTTCCATTGTCTATATTTTTTCCCTTTCTTATCACATAGATAACTCCTCTGGTGAAATGTTGAATTGTTGCACTGATCATGCTCAGTCATGTCTTATTCCTAACTTAGGTGGAAACACCCCTCCAGTTTAACCATCAATTTTCTTAAATTCAGTTTCACCTGATATTAATATTGCTAGAATAGTTTTGCTATGACTAGTAATCTATGATTTTATTTATTTATATTTTATTTTATTTTATTTTATTTATTTATTTATTTAGAGACAGAGTCTGGCTCTGTTGCCCAGGCTGGAGTGCAGCAGTGTGATCTTGGCTCACTGCAACATCCACCTCCCAGGTTCAAGCGATTCTTCTGCCTCAGCCTCCCTAGTAGCTGGGATTACAGGCATGCACCACCATGCCCATCTGATTTTTGTATTTTTAGTAGAGATGTGGTTTCACTATGTTGGCCAAGCTGGTCTCAAACTCCTGACCTCAAGTGATCCACCCACCTCTGCTCCCAAAGTGCTGGGATTATAGGCGTGAACCACCGCTCCCGACCATTTTATCTTAAACTTTCTATATGCATACATATACACTCCATTTATATTCCCATTTTATCTGTTTTTTTTTTTAACACAGTTGAATTTGCTGTATTTATTACTGTTATATTGGACTTGTTTCTGTTCTTTTCTGTTGACTTTACTATCCTTTGCTTTTCTTTATTTTTTTCATCCTCTGTCTTAGTCTGCTTGGGCTGCCCTAACAAATACCACAGACTGAGAGGCTTTAAACTACAGGCCTTTATTTCTTACTGTTCCGGAGTCTCAAAGTCTCAGATGAAGCACCAGCAGATTCAGTCTTGGTGAGGGCTCTCTTCCTAGGTTGCAGATGGCCGCCCTTTGTTTGTGGCCTCACATAGCAGAGAGCAGAGAAAGGAAGAAAGCTCTCTTATGTCTGTTATTATAGGGGCAGTGATGGCACCACAAGAGCTCTGCCCACAAGACCTGATCACCTCCCAGAGACCTCACCTCCTAATACCATCATAAACAGGATTAGGCCTTCATCCTACGAATCTTGGGGGACATGGGTAACATGTGGAACATCCTGTCTCGCCGTCTGATGGATTGATACTTTTCCTTTTATACTCTGGCAGGTTTTAAAGAGATGAATTATATTCCAAATGTTTTCATGGTTACATAAAATTATAACACACATAATTAACTATTTCAGAAAAGATGAAGTGACTCGGAATTTCCATCCTCCTGGCTGACCCTGGTCAGGACTATCCCAGGCTCTGGCTAATCATGGAGCATCATTAAGCACTGCCCAGGGCTTCATTTTAACTTTTTCTTAAAAAGCATAAAAAGCTGGTGTGCTTTTAAGATAGTTAACAGTGGGTTATATTTACAAATACACTTTACCAATCAATGCACCCTTTTGTGTCCTGAATTTTACTGTCTCCTCCACCCTGGGTTTTTCTCCTTGACGAACTGCATAGCTTACTAGGGTTGGAGATAAGTAATCCCTCTCAGCCCTTCTATATCTGAAAATCTTCATTTTGTCCTCCTTGAGTGATGGTCTGGCTGGGTATAGAATTCTGGGTTAAACATGATTTTCCCTCATCAATTTGAATTTATTGCTGTATTGTCTCCCAGCAGACCTTGTCACCCATTAGAAATATGCCTGTACCTCTTCCCTCTCATAGATACCAGTTTTTCTCTTTGACATCCTGCAGTTTCATTCAGCTACGTCCTGTCATGAGTTTGTTTACATTTATCCTGCTTGGAACAAATTGTGTTTCTTTTAGCTGAGGACTTCCAGCTTTCTTTGGTTCTTGAATGTTCTGAGCCACGATTTCCATCAATATTTCATCTCTCCAGCTTACCTTGTCTCCTTCTGAAACTCATATTAGACTCTGCTGAACCTTCTCAGTCCACCTTCTAAGCTGCAACGTCTTTTTTATATATTTTGCATCTCTCTAAAAAGGTCTGTTGGTTTTAAGCTTTGCCATGTATCTGTGACTTGCAGGAAGACTTCCACGTTACCAACGTTTCACAAGTCTGGAATGAGGCGGGTGTTCATATGTTTGTTTGGTCTGCCGCCACGACGCCTCTAGATTTGTCTTCTTTGGTGCCCTGGGTTCCACCCATACCAGGTTTCCTCCCTCATCCATTCATCATTCCCCTCATCATGATGTGGTAGGCTCAGGAAATAAAAGCTTTGCAGTCCCACCTTATTTTCTCTAGGGAGTTTTCTATTTACAACCCAGCAGTACTAGGAGTAGTAGTGGTACTGCCACGATTACTACCCCTACTAGCCGTACTAGCACTACCAGTAGTAATAGGAAGAGGAGGAGTACTTCAAGTAGTGGTAATTATCACTATTCATATTCCTAGTACTCCTCTTCCTAGTACTACTGTTACCATTGCCACTGCCAGTGTAATAGCAGCAGTAACAGCAGTAGCAGTGGTGGTAGTAATAGCTTCAGTAGCAGTGGTGGTGGTAGTACTAGCCATAGGAGCAGTGGTGGTAGTGACAGCCGCGGTGGCAGTGGTGGCAGTGACAGCCGTGGTGGCAGTGGTGGCAGTGACAGCTGCAGTAGCAGTGGTGGTAGTGACAGCTGCGGTAGCTGCGGTAGCAGTGGTGGAGTGACAGCTGTGGTGGCAGTGGTGGTAGTGACAGCTGCAGTAGCAGTGGTGGCAGTGACAGCCGCGGTAGCGGTGGTGGAGTGACAGCTGTGGTGGCAGTGGTGGTAGTGACAGCCACAGTAGCAGTGGAGGTAGTAATAGCTGCAGTAGCACTGGCAGTAGCAGCTCCCTGCTGCGTGACCAGCCCCAGAATCCTGCAGGGCCCACGTCCGCATTTGCCCAATGGGTGGGTCCTTGCCTGTCACCTCGGAGAGCACTTTCTATGTGTTGTCTCACTGAGCTCTCACAGTGACCCTATGGGCTGGCACAGTTCTCTGTCCTCATCTAAGAATGATAAACCAGGCACAGATCTCAGTGAGTGACCAAAGTCACACAGACAGCAAACGGCCAAGTCGGGATTTGAAGCCACTATCTCGGAGCCCAGGACCAAAGTGCTTGGCCACAATGCGTCTGGAGCCTCTCCATAAGGCACCGAAAGGCTGGAACAGCAGCCTCTAGACTCAGGAGCGGACGAACCGAACATCTTCCTACGGCTGACGACCGGGCAGTGCAAACAGGGGCCGGCCTTTGAGAGGTTCTCGTTATCAGTGGAAGCTGATAGGAAACAGATAATCAGGGCACATTGAGAGCTTCCCGGAGCAGGTTCCAGCAGAGGCTCAGTGTCACTGAGGCCGACAGGAAGCATCCAGGCCTCAGCAAACACTCCGGCACTGCAGGAAGACAGTGTAAGGAGGTCCGGCCGTGGGCCAGGAGTGAGGCAGAGAAGAGGTGGGCGGGGGGTCTTTCTTGCCACATCAAGGATAGAACACTTGGCTCTGTAGAAAAATGGGGGTGGGAGAAGGGTTTCAAGTGTGCAGTGAGACCGCCATACCCAGCTAACAATTAGGGGAGTCTTTTTGGCAGATGTTTGGGTCACTGAGAGCCCTGAAAACAGGGATTTCAGGTTTAGAAAGGGCCATTTGTATCCCAGGTTTGAACTTGCTCCTTTCTGTAACTGGTGTATGGAAAGCCCAGAACTGCAGGAAAGGCACCTGCCCGGGGCGCGTGGTCCTTGCACCATGCACAGTGCCTCCCAGGGGAAGTGGGCAGGCCCTTTTATTTTTCAGCCCCATCTCAATTCATGGGGAGGGAGAAAAAAACAGTGCCGTCAGTAGCAGCAGCTCCATCAATGTGACAAGGAACAATGTGAATGAGGAACTTAATTTAGAAAGAGATGTGGCTGTGATTTAATTTAAGCCACCAGGTTAATGCATTTTTTTTCCCTAATTTCAACCTTGGGTGCACTGCATTCATCCGAACTGGTGCTCCTGGGTCTCAGGCAATGTTCTCAGTCACTTTCATGCGTAACGTTGTTCATCCTTAACTGAATGATGGGCTCCTGAAGGCCAGGCTGTGCCTTTTCACAGGACAGCAACCTCCAGGGTGGGGCTGCATCTCACCATCAGATCAGCAGCTACCTGAGATGGAACATGTCCATCCAGTCACCCATGCCTTGCTCAGGAGCTCTTCCCTGCATATCTGCCATGCTCCAGGCTCACACAGGGCTGGGGCCAAGCTGAACCTAACATGGCACCCACTTGGAGAGGTGTCTGCTGTGCTGAGGGGTCTGTAGTATGGTCACAGCCACAGGCGGGGCAGGACACAGGATGTGATGAGCCCAGTGGGAGGCTTGGGAGGGTCCTGAGGTGGGCAAGACATTTCCCTGGGCGGCCAGGGAGGGCTCTGGGCAGAGACAGTGGCATAGTGGGCACCTATGCCAGAGACAAGGCATAGTGGGCACCTCCCCACCCCCAAAGCGTGAGCTGCCCCTAGAAGGTGGCACTCAGCCGAGCCAGGTAGCCAGGGGCACGGCTGCTGGCTGGGCCCTAGTCCTCAGCAGAGGGCCTGCAGCCCTCATCCTGGAGAGGACAGGGACCCACTCAGGGGTTTTATCTTAGGACTCAGCGGCATCTGTTGGTGTCCCAGAGAGCAGAACTTCTCGAAAGGTAAGCTGCGTGCCAGCCATCTTTCTGCAGGTCTGGGGTGCCGCTCTAGAGCCTGCATTTCTACCCAGCTCTGAGCTCATGCTGAAGCCACCTATCAAAGAACCCCTCTGAGAGAGGGCGGCTGTAGAGAGATGCATCTGGCAACCAGTTTGAAGGGAGAAGACAGGCTGAGGGCGGCAAGGGAGCCAGCAAGGAGCTTGCTTCAGGTCTAGTTGGGACATGGACATTCCCATAGCAGGGAAGAAACAGATACCATTTCGCTTCCTCCCATTTCCCAGAGCCCCCAGGGCAGGGATGTTACAGTGGGTGCTCAGCTTCTTCCCTCCCTCCTGCTTCTTCCTTCTCTTCATTCATTACTTATTCCTTCCTTTGTTCCAAGGAAATACTAGAAAGAAGATCCACTGTTAACGAGCACTACGGCCAATTTGGACAAATAAGACTGACCAGAAAGCACACAGGGCAGAACAGAATGAGGTCCACAGGTCCCCCTCGTCCAGGAAGCCTGTTGTGCCTGTAGCAGCCCATGGCAAGCCCAATTTTCTCCCAGCCCTGACTACACTTAGTGTGCGTGGTCCAGGCTTGCTCTGGGTCAAGTGTTTTCCCACTAAAATCCTGATGTCTCTGTGAACAGAAGGCCCATTTCCTTGTTTCTTCCATGGGGCTTAACTCAGGGTTAGATCCAGTGGAAACTGTTGAGACCTTCTGATTTGAGATACAGGGTTGGGGAGGTGGTTGGACCTGTTCAGTCCACTAAGACCCTTGTTAGAGGAGGCGGGGGGTCTGGACCAGAACAGAGAAGTGACAGGACATGAGGTGAGGGCTCCCTATTTAGGGGTAGAGCCTCGTCACCATCTCCCAGCCCAGGTCCCCCAGGGAGATGGAGGGCATGCAGGGGGAGGGGACAAGAGGGTGAATGTCGTGATCCAGCCTTTTCTTTGTGGTCTGGAGAGGCAATTTCACGTCTCTTGTCTTTAAACCAAACCACAGAGCCTGGATTCCCAGGGAGGAGTCACTGGAAGGGTTAACGAGGCCCCCGTGCTTTGCCAAGACCGTTCTAACAGTTAATGATGCACAACTCAGTCATAAAGGGAGAGTCTACTAGACTCAATATGATCTGAAATTAAAGAAAAATGGAATGTATTAAAAATGTACTGCAGCCTTAATGGAAGATGTCAGCTTGACAGCCTGAACTCCACACATTATCCTACAGCTGGGAGGATCACCTCTAAGGCTGCCCACTCACCCCTGGCCTTCTCCCTGCATGGCCCAGTGGCCTCCCGATGGCAGGAGGACAAGGATGGAAAGAGCTGGGGTGGAAGCCGCTGTGGACATGGCTGGACTCTGCTCTCCCTCTTCCCCAGCCCAGCATCTGCAGGGACCACTCCCTGCACCAGGACCCTTCCCCTCCTTAGGGAGCTGTTGATCTTTACTCACGGATGCATAGTCTGCCTTCCAGTGGCCTTCTCGCTCACCTGGGGGAGCCCACCTCCTACTCTGCTCTTCCAGCACCTTGCAGGTGCCCACAATGCCCTGATCTTGGTAGCCAGGGTCTCTCCCTGCCACTTCCAGACTCATTCCAGGCAGCGCAGCAGGAGAGAGCAGCATGGCAGAGGAGACCCCACTGCAAGGTGCCCTGGGGCCCAATTGGAAGTGGGGAGCTGAGGGGCAGGACCCACGAGGAGCAGGGCCAGCGAGGGGCTTGTTGGATGCCCTACAAAGGGACAGGCACCTGTGTAAGCATGTAGGGGGCAGCAGGGGTGACAGACAGTGATCATCTGGAGCTGGTGAGCTCAGGTGGAGAGGAAAGCATGCCCACAGGGCATCAGGCCTGATCCTGCCTCTGGCCCTTGGTGGGTTTTAAATGTCTACACACTGTTTGATACTTTACCCTTCAAAGGGTGGACCCTCATTCCCCTGTCTTTGAGTGGGAGCTGGACTGAAGCGCTCATTTCTAAGACGTGGAATAAAGCAGAAGTAGGGATTGCAGTGTTAGAGCCTAGGACATAAGAAGCCCTGTGGCCTCTTCCTCTTCTTTCCCTCTCTCTTTCTTTGATTGAGGGCTCTGGGGGAAGCTGGTGGCTGTGTTGTAAGCACACTTGGGCACCTCTGTGGGGAGGCCCATGTGCTGAGAAGCTGCAGCCTCCTGCCCACAGCCACATGAATGAGCCATCTCAGAAGCAGGCAGACCCTCCAGCCCCAGTCAAGCCTTAAGATGATGGCAGCCCCAGCTGAGAGTGTACCTGCAGCCTCTTCCAGCCCCAGTCAAGCCTTTGGATGATGGCAGCCCTGGCTGAGAGTGTAACTGCAGCCTCCTCCAGCCCCAGTCGAGCCTTCAGATGATGGCAGCCCTGGCTGAGAATGTAACTGCAGCCTCCTCCAGCCCCAGTCGAGCCTTCAGATGATGGCAGCCCTGGCTGACAGTGTAACTGCAGCCTCACAAGGGGCCTTCCCTTAGTCCTAACCAGCAGAGCCACTTCTCAACTCCTGATCTCAGAAACGATGTGAGGTCAGAAATGCTTGTGGTGTTAAGCCCCAAAGGTTGGGAGAAAATGAATACTGATGCTCAACAGCTGTTCATCATCAGCCAGCCATCTGACTTAGAGTTTACAGTTCCTAAACAGTTGTGTGAAATGTAAAGACACCAGCCTCACAGCATTGCGGAAGGACCTGGGAATAAAGAAAGCCCCCCGGAGTCCTCAGCGTGGCTCCCGGCCCCTGGTCAGGGCTCAGGGAGCAGCCCATGTCTCTGTTGCTGTCATGTTGTGAGCTCAGGTCAGCAGGCAGAGTGACAGCCAGGCTGCATGAAGGCAGCTGCTTGGCCAAGCCTGATGCCATGATGCTGGAAGTCTCAGAGGCCAGTGTCCAGGGCAGCCAGCAGCACAGGAGTAGGCACAGTCTGGACCACTCATTTTTCAAAGGGAGCCAGTACAAGCGACTGCCAGGCTCCCCATCTGCTTGTGAGGATGAAGCAGGGTTCAACGTATCCACTCCATGATGCCCAGCAAGGAGGGGGAGTGGCTGTCCTGGGGGAGACGTAGAGGCATCACGGGAGCCCCGTGGGGAGCAAGGAGAAGGCCAGGCACTGATGGGTGGGGAGCACTGGGTGGAGGTCCCTGTGGCAATATCTGGGGCTGACCCCCCCACACACTGGGGGAGGGGAGAAGAGGGGCTGAGCCTGGGCAAGGGGTGGAGGCTGGGCTGCTGCCCTGGCTTAGACAGTTCTCCTCCCTGGAAGGGGGTGGGAGGGGCCTGCCACAGGTGTGGATTTTCTTTGCTGAACTGAGATTTCTTTTCCTCTCTTTTCACTTCTGACCAATTAGTATATCTCAGGCTGGTAAAAAAAACAAGAAGCAAGACAGAAAACAGTTGAGAACCAGTGCAGGTGGCCCCAGCACAGCTTCAGAGCCAGCAGGCATTTTGCCAAACAGGGCTCATTACCTCTCTTTTTCCCCTGCACCTGTAACTGCAGTGACCATGAGACCTCTCTCCGATCCAGGACATCGCAGCAGCTCTGGGAGCACAGGTGGAGAGGGGCCTGATGCCCTGCCCTGCTGATGCCCTGCCCCACAGTTATATGCAAGAGCCCTGGGCAAGTCCAGGCACCGTGCTAGGCTCAGGGACTCAGGAGAGATCCAGAGCACACCCAGAGAGGGGAGGAGACTCGCCCGAGCCACGTGGCAAGGGATGGCTGGGACCTTCCAGCTCTGTCCCCTTTCAACCTGTGATGGCCAGAAGACTGTATCTGAGACCATCCCATGGCAAGGGGACAAGAGGGACAGGAGGGACAGGAGGAGAAGGGGAGAAGAGGGATGAGAGGGACAGGAGGAGAAGGGGAGAGGCCCCTATGCGGCAGAGCCCATGTCCTACTCCTGCTGTGTGCTGGCTGGTGGCTCTTCCCTCCTGGGCCTCCATTGCTACAGTTATGAGATGGGGATGATGAGAGGCCTGGGGAATGACATCATCTGCCAGTTAGAAAGCATCTGGTTCAAAGGAAGCGTGGATTCTTGCCAGCTGTTTGCTTTCCTTCCCTCCACCTGAGGCCTGTGCTGCAGGGTTTAGAGAAGGGGTGGGGAGCCACAGCCATGTGGTTGTGGGGGCCACTGTGCAGAGAGGATGGGCAGTGTTGGGATGAGGTTGGGCTGGTCTGAGAGGCAGCTGAGGGCTCTCCCCAGTCCGGGGGCTCTCAGGCTGCACTCAGGAAAAGCTCAGGTGGCAAAGCTGAGTTTGTAGGGATAAGGACCAGCCCAGCCTGGCCCAGCACAGGTGCACGGGGCACACACCCTCCCTGGCCTCAGTACTTCCACCTCTGTGTGAAGCTTCCTCCACCCCCACATCCCTCCCTGACCTGCCCCTGCTCCAAGCCCAGCACCGTGTGGTGTCCCACAAGCGGGGTGGCAGCCTGGGCTCTAGTCCTGACCCTGCTCCTCCCAGCAGTGGGACAGCCAGCAAATCCGTCTCATAGCTCCAGGGTCATCACCCTGGTGTGCAAATGGGTTCAGGGCAGCCACCACCCTGCAGTGAGCTGAAGCCCCAGAGACACACCCACATGCCTCTGAGCAGGGTGCTGATCCTGTCCATGGCACCACAGAGTTGCCTGCACAGTCCCCATGTTCAGCCCAAGGGCAGCTGAGCCCTGGTGTCAGGAGGCTGGGTGCCTCACTTGGCCCAGCCACGGACTGATGGACTGACTGCCTCAGTCAAGCCAGTTCATCATCTGCACCTGCTTTTCCAGCAGTCAAATGCAGAGAGCAATAGCGCCCACATTGCTCTGCCAGACAGGTCTGGGCTCAAGCTCGATCAGGCAAGTCCAGGGACCTTGTTAAGATCTGCAGCCTGTTTGCCATTAACCCCCTACCGATGTTGGTTCAGCCTCACAGACACTTCTCGTTTCTCAGGCTCCGGGCTGCAGGTTTGCTGGGAAAATGCTCGGGAGTCCTCAGCCTTCCCGCTCAAGTACAGCCTTGAGTGCTCCCTCCCCTGGGCAAGTCACAGGAGAGGCACCCGGGGGATGCATTTGAAGAAGGGGCTCTTCTGCCAGGGCCCTGGATGTGGGAACAACCTCCCGGTGCCTCCAGGCTCTCCTACTGAATGAAACACTATGTGATGTTCCTCTTGTCACCGAGGCGGGACCAGACAGCGGCCTTCCTGGGCCTGATTCCCCACTCAGCCATGCTGCTTAGTAAGGACTGCAGTTGCCACTGTGCAGAGAAGGCTGAGGGAGCCTCTGCTCCCAGCCACAGCCTTTCACCGCCTGGCGGGGCAGAACTGCTGGACACACACTCCAGCTTCTGAAGACTGAGCGGGACATCGGCCTCATCTGCTTCCTGGAGAAGCAAAATATTCCTGGCCAATCTCCGGTCTCCTCAAGGTGTGCACTTTGCCATTTCTGTCCAGCGCTCTGCCCTTCCAGAGGATGATGGAGGGGCGAGCATGCTGATGGGCCATCTCTGTGTGGCTCATTGAGCCAGAGGGAGAAGGGCGTGTGGGGTGTCCTCAAGGCCATCAGAGTTTGGAGGGCTGGAGAGAAGGAGACTAGTGGGCCAAAGATGGGTCCCCCAAAGATGGGTCCCCAAAAGATAGCCACGTCAAACTCCTGGACCTGTGAATCTTACCTTATTTGGAAAAAGGTCTTTGTGATCACGTTAAGCATCTGGAGCTAGTGAGGGGAAAGGCACTGGTACAGGCAGAAGAGGCAGAGGCAATATGACCCAGAGGCAGAGACAGGCGTGATGTGGCTGCAAGCTACGGAACCCCTGGAGCCCCCAAAGCAGCAAGGGGCAAGGAAGGATTCTCTCTTGGAACCTCGGAGGGAGTGAGCCACCCTCCAGCACCTTGAATTCGGACATGTGAACTTCACAACCGTGAGGAAGGCATTTCTGGGTTTTTCTTAAGCCACTGCGTGTGTGGTAGTTTGTTTTCAACCCGAGGACACTGATGCGGAGATCAATACCACCCAAATATCTAAGTATCCGGGAAGTTCTGTTCTGTTCTGAGCACAGTTCCCATTGAGAGATTTCCCAGCCTGAGGAGCTGTCCTCCATCTACAACAAGCAGCCTTCTGAGCACTGGCCTGAGGACCCCCAAAGCAAATGACCCCGGTTCTGGCAAAGGTGACCCAAGCGTGGGTTGCAGCACCAGCAGGTCCTTCCTGGGGGAGAAAAACCCTGAGCGAGGCCCGTGGGGGGCAGGAGCCAGGCCAGTGTTTCACAGTGTCTGCACCAGACTGGGCTGGTACTCTACATTCCCTCTCCCCTGGGATTTGCTCTCTGCCTGTGCTTTCTGCTAGACAAGGAGAGCACACCCCTGTTCTTAGTGCAAAGTGTTTAGACTGAACAGAAGGAGACAGAGACAAAAATAGAAATGTTCCCATTGAACACCCTTCTCTGGCAGCCCCTCGCCCACCTAGAGAGCCCTTGCCAGCAGGGCATGGTGGCTCATGCCTGTAATCCCAGTGCTTTGGGAGGCGGAGGCGGGCAGATCACCTAAGGTCAGGAGTCCAAGACCAGCCTGGCCAACATGGTGAAACCCTGTCTCTACTAAAAATACAAAAAATTAGCCAGGCATGGTGGTGCCGGCCTGTAATCCCAGCTACTCGGGAGGCTGAGGCAGGAGAATCACTTGAACCTGGGAGGCAGAGGTTGCAGTGAGCCAAGATTGCACCACTGCACTCCAGCCTGGGCAACAGAGCGAAACTCTGTGTAAAAAAAGAAAAGAAAAGAAAGAAAGAAAGAAAGAAAGAAAGAAAGAAAGAGAGAGAGAGAGAGAGAGAGAGAGAGAGAAAGAGAGAAAGAAAGAAAGAAAGAAAGAAAGAAAGAAAGAAAGAAAGAAAGAAAGAAAGAAAGAAAGAAAGAAAGAAAGAAAGAAGAGAGAGCCCTTGCCACCTGGGGGCACCACCCAGCAGGCCTTCTGTGCTACACATGTCATTCTCACAAGCTCACGCACACGTGTAGTGGTTGTTTCTGCTAATCACTTTTAAAATGTAATATTAGGTCTTGGAGCTGTGCCATGTGAGCAGGTATAGGTCTGCCTTCTCCTTCAGCCCTCTGCCCACTACTTGAAGACGCGGGGAGCCTGGGGGTCACGTCCCTTTACTGATGAGCACTCAGATGGCTTCTGATTCTCACCAGTCCTGCTGAGCCGACCATCCTTTTGTGCCTTGCTGGGCACTCTCACGGGCACTTCTTTGGGATGGGAATTGCTGGCTGATTCCATTGGGACAGATTCTGTGAACGCCTCTCGAGAGGCTGCGCTCATTCATGTTCTCCCTGAGAGTAGGCGGTGCCCTCGCTGGACTGATTGTATCAACCTGCTATGTTTCCCACATGATTGGGTAAAATAAAATACAAACCTCCCCGTCGCTTTAACTTGCATTTCCCTGGTTACTGCTGATGTCGCGCAGCTTTAATTTCACATTGAGAGTTTGGGTTCTTCTGCCCAGAACTGACCACACCTTTGTGTAATTTCCTTTCTTCTTGTTGAATGCTCTTTATATATTATGGGTATTAACCTTTTCTATTTAATTACCCATAAAATAGATTTTCTAAACTGCTGCTGTCTTTTTACTCTTGCTTATGGTGTTTTTTGATCACATACAGAAATGTTTCTTATGGCTTCAAAGATTTAAATATTTTCCTTTAAATCTTGTAGGATTCACACCTTTCTTAGAGGATTTTCTGAGATCCAAAATTTTAAGAGTATTAACCTATATTTTCTTTTTATATCTTTATGCTTTTCCCATCCAAATATGTAGTTTTTCAATTCACCTGGAATTTATTTTTGAGTACGATGTGACATACTCATTTAAATTAATGTTTTAATGCAAATGTGTTTCTGATCATCTGAACACAGATTGAGTACCTCATCCTGTCCTTGGTAAGCTAAGATAAATTTCCTATTATAGAATAAATCCCGTGCTTACAGGAGCCTGTATTTGGACTTCTTATCTTTTCTCCTTGGTCTCTCGTCTATTTCTGCACCCACACAGCCTGCTGGTTTCTGCACTGCTTGGCGGTGACATTCCTCACACAGTCTTGCTTCTGCCCAGATCTCCTTGGATCTCCTGCCCCTTCCCCGCTCTGCCTCGTGCCAGCACCTCTGTGCGCCCCCAGGACGGCGTGTGCTGAGTGAGGCAGGTGCAGGCCCACTCCACCTCGGTGGTATCAACAGAACCTGGACGAGGATCCTTCAATGATGGGCACTTGACACCTGGGGTGAATTTGGGCATGAAAGGAGGCTGCATGGGTCAGATTGTACTCCCCCGATTTTATAATGAGGCTCAGAGAGCATAGACTGTTTGTCCTAGGTCACACGTCCTGTGAGGGGCCAGGGCTGGGACGCAGGTGTCTCCACAACAAGAACACAGCAGTGGGGGCCACCACACAGGCTCAAGCCCCCTGCAGCCACTTCCAGCCTGAAGGGTTGTTTGTGAGTAGGTTCTGTTCAATAACTCCATTTTGCAGATGGTAAAACCAAAGCTCAGAGCAGTGAAGTGGCTTGCCAAGGGTGCCAGCCAGAAAATCACAGACTCAGACTCTCAGACACTTGAGGCTGGGTCTTGACCAAAAGACAAAGCTGCTTGCTAGCAGCAGGTCAAGGCACAGAGAATCCAGGGCAGCCCCTATTCGTGACCTGGCCCAATGAGCAGGGCAAAAGCCCAGTGCTGTGTCAACAGACATGGACAGAAAACTCAGGTGGCTCAGAGGTCACCAAGCCCAGCTGCTCATTTGAGTGTACGTGAGGCCCAGGACAGGGGTGCTGGTAGGGGCTCTTGTGAAGAGGTGGAACCTATACTCCAATCCTGCTGCCTCTCCAATCCTGCTGCCTCTCCAATCCTGGTGATCAATTGAGCTCACTAGATTGATCTCGTCTTGGATCAGGTTAGCAGCCCAGCGCACCTTTGATTTTGGAGAGGGTCTGTCCAGAGTTGGTCCAAAAGGTGTCTCAGATAGGGACGTCCACGTGGGAACCAGGTAGATGCAGGGCACACCTGTAAGTGGTGACCAGAAGGGCAGCTGGCCGCGGAGGGACTGCACACCTATACACTGTGCCCATCACCTCCCTCCCCTACACACAGTTCCCATCACCACCCTCCCCTACACACAGTTCCCATCACCCTCACCTACACACTGTGCCCATCACCACCGTCCCCTACACACAGTTCCCATCACCCTCACCTATACACCCATCACTACCCTCCACTACACACAGTTCCCATCACCCTCACCAACACACTGTGCCCATCACTCTCAGCTACACACTGTGCCCATCACCTCCCTCCCCTACACACAGTTCCCATCACCCTCACCTATACACCGTGCCCGTCACCACCCTCCCCTACACACAGTTCCCATCACCCTCACCTACACACTGTGCCCATCACTCTCAGCTACACACTGTGCCCATCACCTCCCTCCCCTACACACAGTTCCCATCACCCTCACCTATACACCATGCCCGTCACCACCCTCCCCTACACACAGTTCCCATCACCCTCACCTATACACCATGCCCGTCACCACCCTCCCCTACACACAGTTCCCATCACCCTCACCTATACACCATGCCCGTCACCACCCTCCCCTACACACAGTTCCCATCACCCTCACCTATACACCCATCGCCACCCTCCCCTACACACAATTCCCATCACCCTTACCTATACACCGTGCCCACCACCACCACCCTCACCTACACACCATGCCCATCACTCTCACCTATACACCGTGCCCACCACAAGCACTCTCACCTGCCTCTGGTGCTCACCCTGATATTGTGTGACCTTGGAGGCTACAACCTGTCCATCTCTATTCCATCATCTGAGATTAGCTGCAACTTCCCCTGCCCTCCTTGTTAGTATTTTGTTGTTATCTCACATATTATTTCCCTGTGTCCATTAACAGAAACCTCTCCTCTCCTGGAGCCAGGAGCTGCAGCCTGACTCCACTGTCTGGCGCCTGCACAGGTGGGCGGGGAACACAGTCCAGGCCAGGAAGGCTGCTCTCCACCCTTCACGGCAGCACCCAGGCTCAGTGATGTCCAGAGACGACAGCCATGTGTGGTGTCTTTAGGCCAAATTCAATGCAAGCCCCATTTTCTCTCTGCCAGAGAAGATGCCTCACTCCTGCCCTGATTAAGGTGTCTGATCCTGAAATCAATTTTTTGGCTCCTGCACAGCCACAAGCAGAAGTGACAGGAGCTTTATTGAATCGTGCCCTTCACACTGAGCGGATTGGATAAGTGGGCGCCAAACACTTAGCACAGCTCTCTCCCTCTCCCCTGCACACAGGGGCTGAGGTTCAGATGACATGCAGGCTTCTCTGCAGAGGGCACAGCTGTGCCAGCAAAGCCACCTGAGCAATCTCAGAAGGCGGCATGGTCACAAATGTCATTGTGTTCAAATGTGTGTCACAGTCCTCACATCCTGAATCTGCACTGAAACCCACCACCACCTTTCCAGGCCACTGTGCACTTCACAACCCTGCTCTACCCCTAAGAACAAGACCACCACCCTCACCTGCCCCTGTGCCCATCACACCCTCACCTGCACATGGTGCCCACCACCCTCCCCTGCCCCTGTGCCCACCACCACCCTCACCTACACATGGTGCCCACCACCACCCTCACCTGCCCCTGTGCCCACCACCACCCTCACCTACACACGGTGCCCACCACCACCACCCTCACCTACACACAGTGCCCACCACCACCCTCACCTACACACGGTGCCCACTACCCTCACCTGCCCCTGTGCCCATCACACCCTCACCTACACATGGTGCCCACCACCCTCACCTGCCTCTGTGCCCATCACACCCTCACCTACACACGGTGCCCACGACCACCACCCTAGCCTACACACAGTGCCAACCACCACTCTCACCCACACACTGTGTCCACCACCACCCTCACCTGACCCTGTGCCCATCACACCCTCACTCACACACTGTGCCCACCACCCTCACCTGACCCTGTGCCCATCACACCCTCACCTACACACTGTGCCCACCACCACCCTCACCTGCCCCTGTGCCTATCACCACCCTCACCTACACATGGTGCCCACCACCACCCTCACCTGACCCTGTGCCCATCACACCCTCACCTACACACAGTGCCCACGACCACCACCCTCACCTACACACAGTGCCAACCACCACCCTCACCCACACACTGTGCCCACCACCACCACCCTCACCTGACCCTGTGCCCATCACCACCCTCACCTACACACTGTGCCCACCACCACCCTCACCTGCCCCTGTGCCCATCACACCCTCACCTACACACGGTGCCCACGACCACCACCCTCACCTACACACAGTGCCAACCACCACCCTCACCCACACACTGTGCCCACCACCCTCACTCACACACTGTGCCCACCACCACCGCCCTCACCTGACCCTATGCCCATCACACCCTCACCCACACACTGTGCCCACCACCACCACCCTCACCTGACCCTATGCCCATCACACCCTCACCTACACACTGTGCCCACCACCACCACCCTCACCTGCCCCTGTGCCCATCACCACCCTCACCTACACATGGTGCCCACCACCACCCTCACCTGACCCTGTGCCCATCACACCCTCACCTACACACGGTGCCCACGACCACCACCCTCACCTACACACAGTGCCAACCACCACCCTCACCCACACACGGTGCCCACCACCACCCTCACCTGACCCTATGCCCATCACCACCCTCACCTACACACTGTGCCCACCACCACCCTCACCTGCCCCTGTGCCCATCACACCCTCACCTACACACGGTGCCCACGACCACCACCCTCACCTACACACAGTGCCAACCACCACCCTCACCCACACACTGTGCCCACCACCCTCACCCACACACTGTGCCCACCACCACCACCCTCACCTACACACCATGCCCATCACTCTCACCTATACACCGTGCCCACCACCAGCACTCTCACCTGCTTCTGGTGCTCACCCTGATATTGTGTGACCTTGGAGGCTACAACCTGTCCATCTCTATTCCATCATCTGAGATTAGCTCCAACTTCCCCTGCCCTCCTTGTTAGTATTTTGTTGTTATCTCACATATTATTTCCCTGTGTCCATTAACCAGAAATAAGCAAAATCGAGGTATCTTCATACAACACAATGCTATGTAACAATAAAAGGAAGTTGACTATTGAAATATCCACCAACAAGAGTGAATTCCCAAAACATGTTGAATGAAAAGATCAGAGGCAAAAGAGGTATATATTTTATGATTCCGTTCCTGTGAAGCTCTAGAATCCGTGTAGAGCAGTATTTGCTTCTGGGAGTGGGAAGAAGTAAATGCCAAATGGCATGAGAAAAATTCTGGAATATTAGAAATCATCTGTGTACTATTGTCAGTTTTCACCAATCTGGACACCACATTTTGCATGTTTACTTTAGATTTATTATAACTCAATGATTATAAAAATACTAATACCTGCCACCCTAAACATCTTCTGGGCGGATGAACTTGTAGGACCACGGTGAAGCAGGTGGCACAGGGTCACCCTCTCACCACCAGCAAGCCCCCAACTCGTCAAAATGAAGGAAACTCCTCTTCCAGCAGTGGAGACAGGTAGGGTGAGAGCAAAACCCGTGAGACTGGGGAGACTTGAAAAGTGAGACGTATGATTGCTCAGCAATTTTGCCTAGCAAAAAAAACTGCAGTTTTTAAATGATGGCAGAGAGACCTGGGTTTGAGTGGAGCACAACGGTCCCTCTGAGCTCACAGGCAGAAGCTAGTGTGGGCAGTACCAGAAGCAGCTGTAATCTGTGGGGCAGGAATCAGAGAACAGGGAAGTGTGCAGAGAAGGGAGCCCAGGAATGCTGCAGCTCCGAAGGAAAGATCACTCCCTGCAGCAAGGTCTGCTGTGGCCTCACAGAGTCCACAGCCAAGCCCCTGACAAAGCTGCGCAGCAGGCCCAGTGCTGGTTGTGTCCCCTCAAGTGACAGGTTTTGTGACACCACTTGCACCTTCCTCAGATTCACACTGGACACACAGAAAGCAAACTCATGGGTTCGAGGCCATCAGCCTGAGACTGAGCTGCCTGACAAATGAGAACCAACTCTTATCAGGAAAAACAAAAGGCAAACCTAGAATCCAGAGTCTTCACTATGAACTATCCACAGTGGCTAGAATTCAATCAAAAATCACTAGACAAAACAAAGGAATTGAAAAATGTGATTCATGATCAAGAAAAATGACAGCGTCCATGGAAATCCCGCCAGAGGTGGCCCAGGGGCTGGACACAGCCAATAAAGACTTGAAAGCAATTATTATAAATTTGTAACAAAAAGATATCATCACACAATTAAAGGAAATATAGTCTTAGGAGTGAACAGAAAGGCAGCCTCAGCAGAGAAATGGAAACAATGAGTAAGACGCCAGGGAAATTATGGATTACAAACACTGAAATGAAAAATTCACTGAGTGGGCTTTACCCACGATTGAAGATGGCAAGAGCATCAGTGAACTTAAGAACAGATCGATAGAAATTATCCAATTTGGAGAACAGAGGAAAAAAAAGAATAAAGAGAAATGAACAGGCCCCAGGGACATGTGAGATGTTATCAAACAGCCTAACACATAGAAGCAGAAATAGATATCTGAAGACACAATGGCTGAAAACTTCCAAAATCTGATGAAACTATCACGAAGTGGTTTTTTTTTTTTTTTCATCACAATGGAGAGGAGGGTTTAAAAATATTTAGATGTAGATAAAAGCCTATTTATATTTCCTGGTAAATCTTAGCTTTAAGTGCCTTTAGCAAACAGTGGAAAACAAAAATGAGTTAAATGTTCAGCTCAGGAAGCTAAAAAAAGAACAATGACAGAAATTTTCAAAACGTAGCGATAGAAGAGAGCAAAAAGCAAAGATAAAGGCAGATGCTTAAAAATAGAAAACAGAGCGGTCAAACCAAGGCTTCAATTTTTGTTTTGTTTTGTTTTGGCTTTTTTGTGTGATGGATAATAAGGTAGACGGACCTCTGACAAGTTGAACGAAGAAAAGAAAGAGAAAATCCAGAAAGGAGCACATTGGAAATGCAAAAAGAAGGAATATGCGATGCCGTCTGCCAGTAAATGTGCAAGCTCAGATGAAGTGGACGATTTCACAGAAACAAAAAGGAAAAACCGTGTATGCATGTAACATGATAAGCCATGTTCTCGGTCAAGGCACTTTTAACGCATATAATTAACATATTAGTATCTATTGTATACAAAGACTATATATCTCCAAGGAAAAGACAAAATAGCCCCAAAGAAAAATATGTAAAAATATGACAATAATCATGTCACAGAAAAAAACATATACAAATGGCCAGGAAGTCACCAGGGAGTCACGGGGGACATATTTCACTCCCAACAGACCAGCAGGATCACCGCGTGTGTGCAGCACGTGTGAGTGGGGAGGCAGGGAGACGGTGCATTTCATGCACTCTGTGAAGAGGAAGTAAGACAAAATGCAATATTGGAAATGCAGATGGATAGCCCCAAACCCAGCCATTCCACGTCATTGACGGAGACTCCCCACACACTCTACACCCAGCTGCTGCACTGCCGGCACATTCGGCAGGACGGCAAGTTTATCACAGGGGGCAGGAGAAGTTAGGAGAGGGGGGAGGAGGAGGAGGAGTAAGAGGAGGAGGAGGAGGACGAGGAGTCATCGGCCAGGGTCAGAGCTCAGAACCAAATGGTGCAAACATGAAAATGTGGACTGCGGGTCCAAACATGCTCATTATTTCATTCTCTGTACTTCTTGGTACATTTAAAATATTTCTCAATAAAGTCATTTTTCCTCCCTGCAATACCATGAATGCCTCTCACAGACCGACAGGATGCAGTGAAAAAGCCAGACAGAAAAGACACATCCCGTGCGGTCCCCTTAGGTGATATTTAAAGGCAGCAGAAGTGGGAAGGGCAGCTCTTGTCCTCGGCGGGCACTGCTGGGAGGCGCCAGGGCTCTTGTCCCCGGCGGGCACTGCTGGGAGGCGCCAGGGCTCTTGTCCCCGGTGGGCACTGCTGGGAGGCACCAGGGGAACCTTGAGAGGTGGGGAACACTCTTTCTTACTCTGTGGGCCCAGGGAGTGTAAACGTCCACAGAACCCTGCATGGAGGATCTTGCTGTGTCTGTTTCACCCCAATAGAAAATGACAGAATGATGCCTGGATGGGATGTGGTGTCTTAGATGGGACACCAAGAAAAAGGACATCAGAAAAACTACGGAAATTAGAACCATGTGTCAACTCCAGTTATTGATCGATTAACAGCTAAAAGGCATCCTTTGTTCCGATCCATTAACCATGGTAAAGGCGCTGGTCCTGACATGCCTAGGGCCCCCCCTAGAGAGGCAGGGGATCCCAGAGTCGGGCACAGGGGAGAGAGGACAGGGCCTGTGAGAGGCAGGCTGGCACCCCTGTGTGCCCACCCTAGAGGAAAATGAGCCCAGGGAGCCAGCCCCGATGGCTGGTGGGGCCAGTAGGGAAGGACTCCGCGCAGTGTAGATGTGGGACACAGCCTGTTCCTTGCTGGGTGACGGACAGGTGTCAGGACTCACCGCAGCAGCCCCATGCCCCCTGCCCGAGCCATCATGCAGCTCTGACCCATTGTCAGTGTCCTCCTCTGGGGAACCTGAGGCCTGAAAGTCAGGACCCTCCTCCCCTGTGTCCTCTGTGTGAACCACTCCCCCCACCCCCGCCACCATTCATCTGGACAGCAGTGCCACCCACAAGGCTGGGGAGAGCAAACGCCATGCTGCTGGACAGAGGAGACCCTCAAGGGACCTGGCCCCTTGAAGCACCTCTACCCAGGGATGGAGGGAGAGAGGTACAGGCCAGGTCCTGTCTGCTCCCAGCCCTGCCGTTGGCCCTGACACCCTGGCCAGCAGCCCATCGCCCCTCCTGTCAGGGATGGCCAGGCACCGGAGCCTTAATTAATTCCCAACAAGACTCATTTGTATTCTTTACAAGGCCCGGAACTTTCTCCATGGAAATTTTCCCCCTCTGGGAAAGACACTTTAACTGGCTAATATTTTCATGATTAGATGTCTATGGCTGTTGAAACCAAGCTCTCTCCCCACTAGCCAGCATCATCAACAGAGGCAGGACGGGCGCCCATGCCACCCAGCAGGAGGCCTGGTGCAGCTACTTTGCCAGGGTCCTCACCACGGACTCAGCCTTCCTGGCGGTGCCTGTGGGTCCAAAACAGCCCCCAGCCTGATTCCTGGCCCCCTCTGGGCCACAACCACCCTCTGGTCCCTGGAGAGAGGCCCCAGCCTGTCTCTCAGCTGCTGTCTTTTTCTGGAAGATGGTGAGTGACATGAGCCCTGTGGAGCAGCCCTGTGGCTCCGGGTCCCCTGTTTTCCTGGCTGTGTGCCTGGTAGCAGTGGCTGCACCTCTCTGAGCCTCCACACTCTTACCTGGGAAGTGGGGACCCCCACGGGCAGACTGGCTTGGGATAACCCACTGCAGATCAGGGTACATGATCCTACTGTATCTCACTGTCCCTGCCCCAGGTCAGGCCCTGTTGGCCCTGTCCACTCCCCCCAACCACAGCCATCATCCCCCATGATCCCCACAGCCGGGCCTGCTGAGAGTCGGCCTGGAGCCTGCAGTTCCCAGCAGAGCCCACAGTGAGGTGGGCAGAGCCTTCCCACCTCCTCCACTGAGATATAGACACGTCCCTGTGTCCCTGGCCCCAGGTCCCTCCAGCCTGCTGCTCACCTGCCCCACAGACCCCCTCCCCAAAGCCTGGTTCTCTGCTGTCCTGCTGCCCTCGTGACAGATTGGGAGGACCCTCACCCATCATAAACAACAGGGAGCAGATACTGGGGTGTAAAGGGCAGGGTCCCTCCTCCCAGGGACGATCCCCCTTCCCGCTCAGGCCTCCTGCTGGTGGCCCAGGAGGCTGGGGCAGGGACAACACACAGATTGGAGAAAAATGACCAGGGGTCAGCATCGGCACTTGGTGACCTTGTGCCGCTCTCTCCCCCCTGTCTGGGCTTCACGGTGAGGAAGCAAGTGCACTGAAGCTCCTGGTGGATGAAGCAGGGGGTCTCGTTGAGCTGCCAAGCTCGCCACCCTCATGGTGCAGCCACGTGGGTCTCTAGTGCCCTCCCCCATTGCTCTCTTGCTGGAGGCAGGGCCCCGAGCCAAGGTCAAGGGAAACACAAAATTCTTCCTCTGCAGCCCTTCAGGTTCACTCAGTGAGCAGCGCTAGGACTGCTCATCGTGGCACTACCGAGCTCAGAACCGGGGCAAGACCCCACAGGTGTTCTTGGGGGGTTCCAGGGAGCCGGTGGATGTGAAGGAACTTGGCCACCAGGAAAGGCACCTGAGAACAGGGCTTACTGTTGTGTGCCCCACCCCACACTGGGGCCAGCTCCCAGGACTCACTGCAGCCCTGGGTACAGGTCTCAAATATGTCCCCCTTCTCACCAGAGCCCACCAATGCCCTGTCTGCCACCCACATCCCCTTCCCCACATATGTAGGCATGTACACACGTACATGCACACATGCACACACAGACATACACACACGTGTGCAGGCACCCGCTTGCAGGATTGTTGCTGCCTGTGGCTCTGCCGTTAATTCAGGTCTAGAGGACATATTCATGGAGAACAGGCCGTCCGGGTAGAGTTGCATCCCTGGCCCAGTTTTTCACCCTTCCCTGTGTCCACGCCCTTCGTAGTGAAGTTTTGTTTGTCCTCCCCTGTGTGTGTGTGCCTGTGGGGGTGGGAAATACATTCTGACTCAGCCTTGGTCATGTGACTCACTGAAATGGAATAAGGCCCTGTGAAGCGCACCGGTGCATGCCACGGCCTGGGGGGCTTTGCCTGCCTCTGCTTGGCCCCTTGCCCTCGGCCCCCAGCTGAGATCAACCGAGATCAGCCACTGTTGTCAAGGCTTGTGAGGCTTAATGCAAATGATTGTGGCTTAAGCCCTCATGTGATGGCTAATTTCATAGTGTCAACTGGACTGGGCCACGGGGTGCCCTGGTATTTGGTTGAACATCGTTCTGTGCATGTAAGTGCTTCCACCTGAGACTGCCATGGAATTTGGTGGACTGAGTAAACAGACCACCCTCTCCCATGTGCGGTGAAGTCCTGAGTGGATAAAAGCCGGGGTGGAAAAGAACTCTCCCTCCTTTCCTGGCTGCCTCCAAGCTGGGACGCTGGTCTCCTCCAGTCTCAGGCTCGGACTTGGGCTCCAGCTGCCATCGGCTCTCCCAGTTCTCCAATTCACCAACTGCAGATCTTGGACTTCCCAGCCTCTTTAATGTATGAGCCAGCTCCTTTCAGGAAATCTCTGTCTGTCTGTCTGTCTATTCTGTTTTTCTGGAGAGCCCAGGCTAATCCACCCGCCCGGGTTTTCCATGGCTCTTTACACAGCCTCAGTGGACGTATTCACCTAAATACCATCCATGTTTCCTTTCCTTTCTTTCTTTCCTCTGAAGCAATTTTAGAGAACACTGGCTTCCCCTTAAATCGCATCTTCTGGACTCATCTTTGACGCTGTGACCTCCGTTTGGCACTGTGACCCTTGATTGCCATGGAGAAACCTGAAGAATCTGCAACGGAGCCTCACCCTGTGCTTATGCAGAGGTCTGTCTAGGTGCCCCCAGGCTACACAACATGGTGGCATCTTCAGGACCCCGGTGCTTTTGCTTTGCGGCCCCATTCAGCTGGAAAACGCCATTTACCCCTGAGCAGCCAGCACCTGTGAATGTCGGGGTCCTCTCTCCCCCTGCATCACCCCTTGCTCTGACTGCTGAGAGTCCGGGAGCCTGGAAGCTGCAGATCCTGGGAAACCAAGCTCACATGCCTTCGTGTGGGAATGTTTTCAGTGTGCTTCGACTTGATTCGCACCCTTTCCCCTCCACTGTTTGGTGGTCATTAGAGCTGCTCATGTGGCTGTGTCCCTCCAGGGACCCTGAGACCACACACCCCACGCTGTTGAACACGGGCACGGCCCGTGAGTTGTGTGCCAAGGTGACCTGTCACTTCTTGGAGGGACCTTCACCGGCCAGGGTTTGCTTGCCACCCTGTCTTTTCCCTCTCACGTGGTGACCAGCAACATTCGAGATGGGAGATGTGTCATCAGCCTGGGTTCCTGAGTGACAGCCGTGGGCAGGGCACCTGCTGAGCTGGGGAGGGCATGGTCAGGTGAGCGGGAGGCGCCTCTGCTGTGTCAGTCACTGAGACACGGGGGCTGTCTGTTGCTGCAGCGTGAGCGGACCTCTTCCGTAGGATGCTCTGGGACGTTGTTACCCAGTCTCTTGATTCTTCTGTTACCTGCAGGTACGTGGGGGTCACACATTATGTAAGTAAGCAGAAGTGTGAACACAGAGCCCTGAGTGAGTGCAGGACACTCCCCTGTCAGTGCTGGTCCCTTCTCACCATCTGCCAGCCTGGGAAGGAGTGCCCTTCCCTGACTAATTCCCAAGTCCTCTGCCACTTGTGGGGCCCAACTCCCCTCCAGAGGTCTTCCTGGACCACCCCACAGCAAAGAGCTCTCTCCCTCCTCCGGCCCCATGACTGTGAATCCTGACACTTGGAGTCCGCTTTCTCTCTGTCTGTGTTCATGTCCACTCCCCCTGTGAGCAGTTACTGTGTGCATTCAGAACAGTGCAGAGAGCTCATGACGCTGAGGGGCCAGCCTGCGGGGCCAGGGGACAGGGCTGGGCATGGGAGCAGGGGCATTCCAAGGAGGAGCTGTAGGCCCACTTTGCAGTGAGCAGGCAATTGCGGCTGCCTTCCTGGAGGAGGCTGCATGCATATCACCAAGTGGACTGGTCTGGACTTGGACTTGGACTCGAGCTTAAGTCTCTCAGACCCCACCCAGAGCCCTTCCTCCCCTCTCAGGATGTGGCACCATCCTGCAGTCCCAGAGAGAAAGGGGGGGCTGAGGATGTAGGAGCTTTAGCCTTGTTTGGAGTCATGCTCCTGCCAGGCTGTGAGAAGCTTCAGGTGGATGCCCCCTGGAGTCTGGGTGCTCCCCTCCGCTGGGGAGTCCTGAGCCTGTCGCCCAGCTGCTGCTGCTCTCAGGAAGAGAAAATCCTGCCCACTGGGCCTTCTGGGCAACCACCTATTGTCGTCCTCCACGTCCAGCCCAGTGTCCAGAATATCCCAGGTGCTTCCAGCAGTGGTGAGGGCAGCCAACCTGCTGCTGAGAGGTTAGTTCTCCAATTACTGCGGCTCCGCGGCAAATAATGGCCCGTGCAGTCATTAACAAGGCACTTAGTGAGAGGAAGCAGGCAATCCGGGCCCTGCGTTGTGGGGGTGGTGGCAGCCCCCGGCGGCTGCTCTCTCCTTATGGTGGCTGTGTCCACACCTGTCCACCCAGGTGTCTCCTCGGGGTCCACCCAGCATCCTGCCAGACGGAAAGCCAGCAGCTGCGACTTCGGGCCCTGCTGCCCTAAGTGGAGCGAAAGGCCCTGGTGGAGTCCTGGCTGCTCCAGTGGGCTCGAGGGTTCCAAGGGGAGATCAGCCCAACTGGGCCTCAGCTGGCTCACCCGTCAAGGGCAGGGTTGCTCCCGACGGCAGGGAGGGCCGAGATCTGGTGCGGGCGAAGCCCAGAAACGTGATCAACGTCAGTCCTCTAGAGGAGAAATTTTAGCTCATTTTCACCTCCCACTGGGAAGGCCGCTGACTTTCATCCACCCCTGCTGGTCAAAGCTCCCCCTCTCCCCAATGGGTTCAGGGCCCCAGCCCTGCCCCACAGCCCTGCTTCGCTGCACCCACACAGAGCCTGGGCCCCCCAGCCTGACACCGTCTACTCACAGCTCAGCAAAAAGCAGCTGAGTGCCTACTGCGTGACAGTCCCCGGGTGAAACATCCCCTCTTTCAGGACCTGTTCTCATGCAGAGAGGCACAGCCAGTGTTCTAGGAAGTATCTGGAAGGGGTCACATTGGACTCAAGCCCAGCTGAAGGCCAGGAGCAGGCTCTCCAGGCAGGGGAGCCAGACAGGAGGCAAAGGCCAGACAGGAGGCCAGCCCTGATGGGGAGGGATGGGGTGCTTCTACCCTGTCCCTGGCAGAGAAGTGCATGTTGCTCCTGGAGCCACTCTGTTTGGGGAGGGGAAGCGGTGCCCTCAGCCGGGTGCAGGAGACTAGCCTGCAGCAGCCCATGCGTCCTCTGTGCCCCAGCACAGGGCACACAGAGCAGCCGACGGCTGGGAGGGCCCCTGCGGAAGGCAACCAGGGAAATCCCACAGGACACACAGAGCAAGGGGTCGGAGGTGAAGTAGGGCCACCTTCATGCCACCCCATGGGTCCCACCATCCTCCAAGCTCCACACACACAGCCTGAGGCTGCTGCATCAAAATAGACAGCCCAGCACCCTCCATGAACAGGAAGCCAGGACTACAGAGGGGCAGGGGCCAGTCCTGGTCACTCGGTGGGAACTAAGGGGGCCAGGGCCAAATCCTGGGCAGGTTATTAGGAGGCTGCCCGTGCCAGGGCACCCCGGAGAAGGAAGATACCCAGCCAGGGAGATGTGTTCATCAGGCCCCCAGCAAGCCCCTCACCTGCCTTGTACGGGGCTGGGAAACCTGTAGCTTCCAGGGCAAAACCTCCCTGGCTTCGCTCAGCACACAGCTTTGAGAATGTGCTGGATCCACCGATGGGCCCCGAGGACTTTCTTTCCCCAAGAACACAGCCTGAAAACAGAGGTTCTGGACCCAGGCAGCCCCAGGCCTCCCTGGTGAGGTCGGAGACCTCGGGTAACGACTCAGCCCCACCAAGCCTCAGTGTCCATGTCCGCGAAGTAAGGCCCCTAACCCCGCCCCTCCCCTGCAGGCAGCAGCTTGCCTGGCACCCTGAGCAGTGCGGTCCCTCAAGGGGGCTTCGGAGACCATGAGGAGCTGGCATTCAAGGAGGGACAGACTCTCCGGGGGCTGACCTGGCTCCGCCTCCAGCCCCGAGCCGCCCTCTTGAGTCATTGAACCACTGTGACCCTCAGGGTCCTCATGCCCTAGCCGAGCACAAACACCCTCGCTATGCCAGGCTGCACCAGGGGCTGTGAACTAACACCAGCCAAGGCGAGGGCCCCACACGGGCTGTACTCCACGGGCGCCACGCTCACTCCCTGCCCTCATTCCTCCGTGCTGGAGCTGGGCTCCCACGGTGGGTCCTGTCTGGGGACTGAATTGCTCAGGGAAAGGGTCATTCCTGATAGAGGGGCAGCCTGGGTGACAGCCAGCAGTTAGGAAGGGCAGGGATGGTAGCAGCCAGCCTGCCCAGCACCCCATGGGCAGGTGTCCACTCCCCAGGGCCACCCCACCTGCGCCTGTGGCTGCCACACAAAACCAAACCCATAAACCGCGGGCGGCATGGAGGTCACCAGGGGGATGGATAACCTGCCGCCTCCTCTAACAGCATCCGAGTAGAAAGATCGCGCTTCCCCGACGGGCCCAATTTTTCTTCCTGCCCCTCCCCCTGGCGGCAGCCTCCCTGAGATAATGACCACAGAGCGGCCGCATTCTTCAGCCCTGGCCAGGGCCTCTGTGTGGCTGCCGCACTGCTATCTGCTCTGTCGGCTCTGAGGCCTAAATTACCCAGCAAAGGGAGATGGATGGCCGGGCCTTCCCAGGCTCAAATTGATTCTCCACTCAGTGCTGGCGGCGTCTCCTCTCCCCGGTGATCATTGAAAAACACTTTTTTCTCAGCATAATGGCCCAGTTCAGGAGCTTCTTGATAGGAAGCAAAGATGTATATCTAATC
This sequence comes from Homo sapiens, assembly GCF_000001405.40. Lineage (NCBI taxonomy): Eukaryota > Metazoa > Chordata > Mammalia > Primates > Hominidae > Homo > Homo sapiens. The sequence continues at coordinate 141,860,763 of NC_000008.11, read as the reverse complement.
ACTGACTAATGGGGGTGCAGGGGGAGGAGGCAGACAGCGGCAGGGTCACCCCAAGGCACAGGTGTTGGGAGGGGACAGGGAGCGTACAGCGGCCCTGCCACTGGGCTCTATCTCCTGCCCCTGCAGCCCTGATGGCTCTGCTCAGGGTGGGAGGGTCCACAGAGGTCAGACCCCTGGGCCAGGCAGAGAGTCAGGGCTGGAGCTCCTCTCAGGGTCATCGGGGGCCCGAAGTCATGGACTTCCGGCCCTCACTGCTTTGTCAAGAAGACAGGCAGAGCCTGCACAGAGAGGGCATCCTGATGCAGGAGGGATGGCCGGTGGACATGCTGGGCACCAACTCCATGCTGGTTGCGTGCAACGTCCAGACGCGAAATGAGAGAGGTCGAGAGCCTGCCCAAGGTCACAGAGCCAACAAATGGCAGAGGGGGACGAGGCTCCCAGGCCTCCAGCAGCCCCCATCTCCACACCTCTCAGCAACTCCAGGGATGCTCATGCTGAGCACTGGATGGTCTTGATGGACATGGTGCACAGGCTGTTTACTGAAAGAGTTCTAGGCAACAAAACCTACGTCCTAGGCTTTCTTTGCTACGACACTGCTCCTTGTATCATTGAGCCCCTTCCACCTGAGCTAGCAGGGCGGCCTTCCACTGGCCCCCACCTCTCTCCATCTCCGCATTACAGTGTCACATGACTCTGGGTGAGCTACCTCCCCTTTCCAAGTCTGAATTCCCTCAATGGTAGGACGATGCTACCTCCAGGTGGGCTGTTTCAAGAATAAATGAATCAACCTCTTGAAAGGTCCCTGGCAGAGTATGTGCTCAATAAATGCTTGTTCAAACTGCAAGACAGGGACCTAGAGATGGCAAATGTTAGCAGGCAGGGCTTCTCTCAAAGGAAGCCCACAGATAAGTGATTCGTGCTTGGTGCAGGGGAGAGGAAAGGTGGCTGGGATGCCCCGGACGGAGGGCAAAGGGAGAGCTGGGCTCAGGCAGTGGTGATCATGGCAAGATTTGCAGAGGAAACAGTTGATACATCCCTGAAACCCAGACATCCAGCAGAGCTTCAGAGCAGACTTCAGTGATGACCAGGTGGTTGTGGTTGAGGGGTGGGACCTGGCCAGCAGGTGGAAGGGAGGCCGACAGGAAGGAGCAGCTTGCTCTCAGGTGGTCCACATCTTCTCTGCACCCCCAAGATGTGTAGGTGGCAGAAAGGTCACCTCCAGGAGGGGGTGATCTGACTCTGATGTGACCGAGTTTATCTTCCAAATTTTTTAGGCCAGCTTCCCACTTCCTTGAGCCCACTTTCCCCATTGTCCGAGGCACAAGCTGGGAGCTTTCCCACCTCCAGCCAATGTCTTGGTCTGACCTAGACTCCATGAATGGCCCTGCCTTTTCCAAACTTCTCTAGCATCCTTCCACCCAACTCAAGGACCACCTCCCCCAGGGCATCCCCACAGGGCTCCCCATTCTGCCCTCCATCTTACCCAGAATCCTGGGGTGTCACAACTCAGGACCTCTCCCCACACAGCCCTCATGATGCGCTGCCCTAAGGATGAGGGTCACTGCCCCTCTGCCTCCTCTCACCACATCACACCTCCCTCTCCATGTGTGTCCTCACACAGGGTGGGAATGCCTGGTGCTGATGACTGTCTTTCTTGCTTCACTGTGAGCACTGAAAGTGTGAGATCCCCCCAACATATCCCCAGCATGGGACACAAAGACTGCGTGCAGTAAGTACACAAATGTGTGTAAGGAGTGAATGAATAAATGACTTTGGAGGGCTTGTCTGCTTATCTCCTGATTTTACTTATGGGGATATAGAGCTACAAATAAGAGAGTTCACACAATAGGTGGGGCGTGGCATGGTGAGCCACCTTTGACTTTCACAACTAATGCCACACTAAAGCTCCATCACCCTGAACAAGTCATGTAGCTCCTCTAGTTCTCTTTTTCCTCATCATAGAGCGGTCTAAAATGCAACTTGTCCCTGTGTGCAGTTCATTCGAGAACACCTACCTAAGGATCTTCTAACTCCCAGTCTTAAAAAAAAACAACAGCAACAATAATAGTAAGAAGTAGTGATGGTGATGGTGGTAATCATGATGGTTATGATGATCTAGAAGTTGTATCAATGGTGATAATGATGATGGTAGTGTTGATGGTGATAGTGAGGATGATGATAGCAATGCTATTGATAGTGATAGTGATGGGGATGATGATGACAATAGTAATAGCAACAATGACAAGGATGATGATGATAATAATAGTGTTGTTGATGATGATAGTAATGGTGTTGATGGTAATGGTGATGATGATGGTAGTAATTGTGTTCATGGTGATGGTGATGATAATTATGACAGTAATGGTATTAGAGATGGTGATAGTGCTGATGATGATGATGACAGTAACAGTGTTCATGATGACGGTGATGGTGATGATGAGTATGACAGTAGTAATGTTGATGGTAGTGATGATGGTGATAATGACAAGCAAGAATAATGATGATAGTAATGGTGATCATGATAGTTATGATAATGATGACGATGATAGTAATGGTCTTGGTGGTGATGGCGATGATGATAAGAGTGATGATCATAGTAATTAATGGTAATGCTGATGATGGTAATGGTAATGATGATTATAGTAACAGCATTTGTGGTGACAGTCATAATGATGATGATAGAAATGGTTTTGATGGTGATGGTAATGGAAATGATGATGATAGTAATGGCATTCATAATGATGGTGATGATTATAATGTAATGGTGATGATGGTGTTGGTGATGAGGTTGATGATGATGATGATAGTAATGGTGTTCATGGTGACAGTGATGGTGATGATGATGACGGGAATGGCGATGATGGTGATGGTAACAATGATGATGACAGTAACGGCATTGATGTTGATGGTAATAGCTATGATGATGACGATGATGATGATGATAGTACTGGTGATGATGACAAGGATGGGGATGACGATGGTGGTGCTAATACTGACAACAGCACTGACCGAGCACTGGGTTAGGTGGTGTGCCGGGTGCTTACTATTGTCCAACTCATTTAATCCTCACAACTACCCTTTGAGGCAGGCACCACTAATATAGTCATTTTATAGATAAAGAAAGCAAACCCACTGAGTTGCATGGCCAAGGACACAGGCTGGAGCCAGGATTCATACCCTTCTGTCTAACTCCATAGCCTGGGCTTCCCACTTGCAGAATGCTGTCAGTCCTCGAACTAGCTCCCTTGCAAGCTGACTCCTAATCTTGGTGGTGTTTTAGTGCCTTTCATTGGAATCCCCAGCAGCCAGTGCTGTACATCTGCTAATTACATGTTTTATTGTCTCGTTTGCTGTTAAATATCGTCTGTACCTATCATTAAGCAAATTTGCCTCCTTCATGGATTTATCCTCCCCTGAACTCCTGCACATGGCCCCTTAGGGTTTGCAGTCAACCTGTCAGCCAGGGGCTCACCCCTTGGAGCCAACCCTGCCTGTCCTTCTGATCACAGCCCTTGGCAGCCCCTACCCCCATCACAATGCCATTCTCACTATGCTGGCCCATCTTCTCACCCATCATCCAGCAATCTTCCTTTAACAGGAGGCTGCTAGCTAGCATCACCCTCCTATAAAGCATCTTCAGTTTTTCTTGCCCTTGCTCCTGGGGGTGACATCTCAAGCCCAGGATTTCTGTCAGCATGACCCAGGTCCCCTGCAAGACCAGTGGCTTGCCTGTGAAAATCCTCATCCTTGATGCCTCTGGGGCCAAAGGCCAGGCCCACACAGAAGCTCTCAGCCCCAGAGCTGCAAGCCTCCCATCACTGTCCCATGCAGGAGCCCTGAGAGCCCAGCCCCTTTCTCCCCAGGGCCCTCATTGTCACGCTGTGCTCTGTCTCCCTCCCCACTGCGCCTGTTCCCCAAACTTTCCCCTGCTACCCCTGCAACTCCCCAGGGTAAAGAAATTGGTGGGATCTTCAAACCCCCACCTCTTGTCCTCAGTCTGCCCCTCCCACACTGCCCCCACCAGCGGTCATCCAGTGTAACTGCAGTGTTTAACCAGGATGGTCTTTGCTCCCTGCCTCCGCAATTCCAGTCGCCCTCACCAGCTCTGAAACCTCACAAGGCAGAATGTTGCCCTCTGCCTGTCCTCCTGCCCTTCCAGCCCACAGGCTCTGCCCCTCCCAAGGCACCAGGTCTTGGCCTCCCACTGCCTCCAGGTCCAGCAGCCTCTGGGTTTGCTTTCCCTGCCTGTGGTGGACCACACTCTCCCCTATAACCCGACCTTGGTCATTGCCTCCCTGCCTCCTGGCCTCCCATGGCGCCTACTAGGAAAACCCAAACTCAGTTCCCACCAGAGGCCTCCTTCTCCACGCCTCCCAAAAAGGAAAATGCTCACAGCAGAGTGGGCTTTGCTCTCATGGGGTGATGGCTTCTGTCCCCCATGGAGCCCTGCGTCCTCCCAGACACTCTTTCTGTCCCCCTACCTCGCTTACCTGTCTAGCGTGGCAATTTAAAATATCTATGTAATGCCAAGTTTCCAGAAATCTTCTTGAGCCTTGCAGCCAATAACATTTGCTCCTCTTCCCAGAGAAAACATCTGGGCTCCAGGCTCAGATGCTAGCCATGGTTTTTTAAAAATCTGAGTGTTTACTTTAAAACAGAAATACTGCTCAGTACAATAAACAGCACTACCCGTGATGCATCAGGAGAAAGCTAGCGCCCCCAGCTCCCCAGCCCACCCTCCCATGGGGACCCAGCCAGTGGCCCAGCTTGGGGCTCACGCCTTGGCCCTGCCACAGCCCCCAGGTGTCCTTTCACAGAGGCAGGGTTGCACCGCAGGCCACACTTGCTGCCCTCCCCTCTCTCGAATGGCAGCCTCAGCCCGGGTGGAAGGCAGAGCCGCCAGGTCACTGCAGGCAGCTAAGAGAACTGGGAACCAGGAAGGCAGGGCAGCTCGGCCCCGCCCTCCTCCTGCTGTTGGCTCCTCTCCACTTGGAGGCCCCTCGGCAAGGGCAGTGGTGGCCTGGGGTTGCCATCCCAGCAGTCTCCTTGCAGGCCCGACCCCTGCACTGGCTCCAGGCTGTGAGCACCCAGATCCCCCGGGTGCCGTGCCCTGGCTTTCTTGGACGTGAGCATCTCTCCGTCTGTTTTGCACAAACCTTCCTCTACCGCTGGCCACCCACTCAGCTTGACACACAGTACCGTGTCCCCAGGATCCTGTCCTCTGTCCCACTCTGCTCTCCTGCCCTCCTGCCCCTGTCACCCTCACCCTCCGGTACCGCATGCAGCCTGCTCCAGGCCAGCCTGCTTTTCCTGCCCCTGCACCCCTGGAGCTCCATTCCCAGCCCGCGTTATCGAAAGCCTCACACTTGGCCTCTCTGCTGCACTCCTGGGCTCTGGTGGCTTCCCCTCATCCAGGGCCACTGCAGATGCCCCTAGGTGCTCGGCCCTCCTCCCCTCTCCCATTCCCCCGTCACCATCCTCAAGGTGAGGCTTACAAACCCCAGTGCTGTTCTGAGCATATGACGAATGTTCATTAACTTAACCCTCAACCACCCTCTGACTTGGGGACAATTTTTATCCCCATTTTTACTGATGAGGAAGTGAGACATAGAGAGGTTAAGGGACTTGCCCAAGCTCACTCAGCTGGTAAGGAAGGAGCAGAGACTTTTCTACCTTCCCCAGGAGACTCAGGGTGCAGGCTCTGCCAGCCCAAGGTGGTATCCTACTGCAGAGATGCCACTTTCCGGACTCCACCGCCAGCCCCACTCCACCTTTTGTGGCAGGAGCTGAGGTCCCTTGGCCTTGGCCATGCTCAGGTGCCTCCACTCCCTGCTCCTTCCCTCCTTCCCTGTGCAGGACAAGCCTTCTCCAGACAACACCTTCCTCCCCACCGTTCTTTCCCCAGGACACCTCCCCCAGCCCCTCACTGTTCAGGTCTAACGTCTGCTCATCTGGGGAGCACCCCCACACCCCCAGGTCCTGCAAGAGGTGCCAAGTGCCCTCCAGCTCTGGCTGCTCCATGCCACGGGCACTGGTGTGACACCTGACTGCTACAGCCCCCAGAGGAGCAGGTGTTGGGAGCCCCCTGGACACGTGGGAACGCCCGTAGAGGCAGAGGCTTCTGGCCACTCACACCTGAGCAGCCCGGCAAGGCGGCCCAGCTAGCAACTCCAACTTCCTCTAGGCCTCCCTGTTCCAAAGCCACGGGGTGCCCACCTCTGCCTCTGTACACCCCAGTGTGTGTGTGTGTGTGGGGGGGGGGGGCTGTGGGAGAGTGTGTATGTACATCTGGGTGTGCAAATCTATATGTGCACATTGTAACTTGTGACAGTGTCTGTGTGTACAGCTCTGTGTGTGCATATGTGTGGGGAGCTACATTGTACAAGACTGTGTGAGTGTGTGCCTGTGTGTGTAAGGCTCTGTGTGTGTTTGTGTTAGGCTCCGCATGAGCATGTGTGTGCTCACATGTACTTGACCTGGGAGCCTGAGTGATCAGGCGTGAGTATGTGTGTGTATGCCTGTGCATGCATGCCTGGTCCTGGGTGCCTGGGTGCCAGTGTGAGTGTGTGTGTGTGTGTGTGTGTGTGCAGGCACTGCCTCTCTCCGCCCCCTGGGTGCCTGGATGCCTGTGTGAGCATGTGTGAGTGTGTGTGTTTGTGCAGGCACTGCCTCTCTTCTCTCTCTGGGTGCCAGTGTGTGTGTGTGTGTGTTTGTGTGTGTGTACAGGCACTGCCTCTCTCCTCCCCCCGGGTGCCTGGGTGCCAGTGTGAGCATGTGTGTGTGTGTGTGCATGCACTGCCTTGCTCCTCTCCCTGGGTGCCTGGGTGCCAGTGTGAGCGTGTATGTGTATGTGTGACAAGGCACTGCCTCTCTCCTCTCCCTGGGTGCCTGGGTGCCAGTGTGACCATGTGTATGTGTGTGTGTATGTGCATGTATGTGTGTATGTGTGTTTGCATGTGTGTGTCTGTATGTGTATCTGTGTGTATGTGTGTTTTGTGTGTATGTTTGTGTGTGTATGTGTGTGTTTGTGTGTATGTGTGTGTGTTTATGTGTATGTGTGTGTGTTTGTGTATGTGTGTGCATGCACTGCCTCACTCCTCTCCCTGGGTGCCTGGGTGCCAGTGTGAGCGTGTGTGTGTATGTCTGTGTGTGTGTGTGTGCAAAGGCACTGCCTCTCTCCTCTCCCTGGGTGCCAGTGTGACATGTGTATGTGTGTGTGTCTGTGTGTGTGTACATGTGTGTATGTGTCTGTGTGTGTGTCTGTGTATGTGTGTGTATGTGTGTATATATGTATGTGTGTATGTGTGTGCTTGTGTGTGTTTGTGTGTATGTGTGTGTAGGTGTGTATGTGTGTGTAGGTGTGTATGTGTGTGTGTTTGAGTGTGTATGTTTGTGTTTGTGTGTGTATTTGTGTGTATGTGTGTGTTTGCGTGTGTGTGTGTGTGCGTGCGTGTGTCTGTGTTTGTGTGTGCCCATGCATGCAGGCACTGCCTGGCCCTGGGCACAGGATGCACTCCCTGGCATGTTTGTCCCTGGGTCACTCACAGGATGTGAGGCAGCACACACGGTTCTCACCTCCTCCAGGGTGCTGGGGTGGGCCTGTGTCTCTCTACCTCTAGGGTCCCCGTGTGCCGCACAGCCTGGGCACAGGAGCGCTCCCAGCTGCTGGGCATATGGTCAGGTCAGCGGCTCCTTCAGTTCTGTCCTCCGGGGTCCACACCCCTGGTGGACAGGTGGAGTGAAACCTGCCCCAACTCAGGGAGGCCCAGACGGCAAGCCCTGGCAAAGTAGGAAGAAGGGGCCTGTGTGAGTTGCTTTTATCTTTTTCATAAAACATTTTTTAAAATTACAAAGTCAATATTTGTTCAATGCAGAATACTCCAGAAACAAACAATGGAAAGGAAGCAATCAGCCATCTTCATGCAGCAGGAAGATAAACACCCTCACGTGTGGGGTGTGCGTTCCTCTCCCTCCCGCCCGCTTCCTGGCTTCCTTCTCCTCTCACACGGATCAAAAGCAGGACCCTTCTGTGCACACACGCACAGTTGTTCATCTTGTCGGCCTGCATTGGCAAGGACCATGGGCATTTTCCTGTTAACAGATACACTGCTCACCGCATTTCCAAGCTCTGCCGCAGGCTGTCTTGTTCATTGTGTGGGTCTCCACCCACTCCCTGGGTCCAGGCTGTCCTCGCCTCCTGCCTCCTAACAGCACAGCCTCCTGTCTCCTGCTTCCACGGGGCCCCTCTGCAGCCCATCTCCACCCAGAGGGGATGCAATCTCACCTCCCTCGGGGCCTCCCAGGGCTCGCACCATGGACGCTGCTGTCCTGTGCATGAGGTGCACTTTCAAGGTCTCCCTGGTCACACCTGTGGCCTCCCTTCGAAGACAGGCCTCCCGGGGCACCAGGCAGCCTCCCAGACACGAGCAGCCCACTCTGCTGATTGGCACAGCTCACTCCAGGGGCCCTTCCCTTGCTCCCACCACCCCCACAGATGTCCTTGCCACGACTCTGTACTCACCTGGGGGATGACCGGTTTAGTGCCCATCAGCTCCACTGGGCCCAGGCCCTGCGGGACAGAGCTGTGTGGCGTTTGCCCATCACTTTACCTCTGTTCTCAGCACACAGCTGGGGCTGTCTCTGTATTTCCTGAGTAAATGAAGGAAGGAGACACAGCCGTGTAATGCACGTTGTTGAACACACATTATCCTACACAGCCGTGACTACGTCTCCAGGATAAGCTCCTCAAAGGCACCGTGGGATGAAGCATGAGAACAATTTTTGGCAGGGTTGTCACCCATCATCCCGTCCCCTGCAGGGTTGTCACCCATTGTCCCGCCCCCTGCAGGGATGCTGATGTAACGCCCATCCCTGCCATTGGCAGGCCGGTCAGGTGGTCCACACGCTCAACACTGGGCAACAAAGTGTTTTTGCCTAGGGAAGTGGCTGCTGGGTGGAGACATTTACCTTCTTGCTCGGATTTGCAGCTATTCCTTTATTAACGAAGTTAAATCGCTTTTCACTTGCGCCCTGACCATTTGCGCAGCTTTTTTGGCACTCTCTTGCTCATACCTTAGGACGGCCTATGCTCGGCAGACCTTTTATTGTTTATTTATGATACTATTTTAATGTCGTTAGCTCATCAACCTTTTGTCTAAACATATGTTGCGAAATATTTCCCCAGTGTCTTGTTTGCCTTTAATTGTGCCTAAGTTATCATTTGAGATTTGAATTTTAATGCAGTCACCTCCACAGGTCCTTTGTGCGTCTTGGTGGGTCTTACATTTAGCAAGTCCAAGGTGGACATGAGCCTGGGATGAGACCAACACTCTCAGTGGTGGAATAATGGCAGGGCCAAGCTGGCCCACTCAACAGATGCTGGCAGTGAGGCTGGGTCCATTTCCAACCTGGCCAGCCTTTGGAAATTCTGAGTTTAATATCTATCTTCACAATGTCTCCCCAGTCATACACTTTCTCTTCTAATTTTAGCTCAGTTGTTTTCTTGCCCTCGGGAAAAGCCAGCAGACATTTTCAATTCATTAACCCTCCTACCTGTGTTTTGCATTTCATTTTCAAGATAAAATCCCAAAGGCAACACACAAATCAGAGCACACGTTCACTAAAGTGCACTGTCCTGCCCACTCCCTTCTCCAGCTTCCCAGCCTGGTCCATTTCCCCAGCCCTGGAGATTTCTGGGATCTGTTCATTCCCCGAGCTACATGCATTCACCTGCTGGGGCTGCCATCATCAAGCACCACAGGCTGAAGGCTTAGACACCAGGATTCATTTCCTCTCCACTCTGGAGGCTGGAAGTTGGCCCTTAGGGCATCAGCAAGACTGATTCCTCCCAAGGCCTCTCTCCTTGGTGGGTAGACCCCATCTTCTCCCTGGGTCTTCACGTGATTGTCCCCTGTGCATGTCTGTGTTCAAATCTCCTCCTCTTCTATAAGGACACCAGTCATATAGTGACTACATTGTACCTCTAATCACATTCTGAAAAGCCCCATTACCAAACATAGTCACTGGGGCGAGGACTTAAACCTGGGAATTTTGGGGAACACGATTCAGCCCAGCACATGGCACAATGGGCATTTCTAAACTGGAGAATTACCCCCATCACTCTACGATAGCACCTGAGAATTCTTCAGCTATATGTAAATATCAACCTGGAAAGGGGCAGGTTTTGGCTTTCTTTTTAAGCAACCCCAAATCATTGATTCAATTGTCCCTCCCTAGTCTACACTGCAGGCTCCAGGGCAGGGCAGGAGAGGGAGCTTTCAAGACTGCAGGGATTTGTCCTGTAACTTGAGGGAACTTGCCCTGTCTTTGGGGCCTTAGTTCCCATACCTGTGAAGTGGGGGTGAGAATAACTCGCCCAGCAGGGCTGTGGTTGCACCCTGAGCGGAGGCTCCTGAAACTTCTCTTGGCCCATCTGTGCCCTTCCTTGTAAAGCCCAGTTTTAACAAGAACCCTGCTAAGTCAGTTTATCAAGAACCCCTCACCCTTGGTGTCTGATCCTTCCTAAATATCTGATCAGGGTCCTCATCCCCCACCACCCCCCAGGGAAGGCCTGGTCCCCTGGCCTGCCTTCAGCAAGCATCCTGTTAGCGAGGGCTTAGCCAGAACCCCCTCACCCCAATGCTTCCTCCTGGTCATTTTCCATCCCCCGATCCCACCTGCTCCTCGGCTGTAATCCCCACTTGCCAGGCTGTGTTGGGAGTTGAGCCATCTCTCTTCCACTGCAGAATCCCATTGCCGTGATCCCTGTGCCTATCACAATGGGCCTGAATAAAGTCTTCCTCAGGGTACCCTGACAAGCACCACTGAATCACTGTTTTCTCTAACAATGGCCATGCAACTCTCTTTGCCAGTGGAGTATGAGGGGTAAAGGCTGGTGTGTGCCTCTTCCAGTCCTGGCCCATCACACCCACTGTGGGAGGCATCACTCTTCATTACCCACTCTCTGTGAATAAAGAGGGCTGGGAGGACCTGGGGCAGGGAGGATCTACAAGAGGGAGGGAGCCTGGGCCTGCCATGTGGGACGTCACTCACTGAACCAACGAACTGTTCATGTCAATAAGAAATAAATGTAAAGCACACAGACACTTGGATTTTCCTTGTGTTTGTTTTTGTGTTTGGTCCAGCAGTTAACCTGCACTGACCACCGTGCCCGATGGTGCTTCCCACCACATTCTGTTCTGTGTTCCTTTTCCTTACATACTTGTGACTTTCCACAGTGGCAAACACAGCTTACATCATGTATAAAAAATAATGGCTTCAGAACATGTGTGTCCATTGCAGCTAACAAAAGACCCATCTCACAATGGCTAAAGCATGGGTTTCATCTCATACGTTAGGAGATGGACTCATCCCAGAGTGAGTTAAGTCGATGCTTCAGACATGTGACTGAGGACACAAGTTTTCTCATCTTTCCAAACAGCCATCTCCTGATCGTTGGCTTTTGTCCTTGGGTTTGTTCCCTCATGGTCGCAAGGTGGCTGCAGGAGATCTAAGTGTCATATTTACACACAACAACATCATATCCAATGGCAGGTATGTTACATTTGTTATGTCCAAGGTGCAAAGATGCTTTAGCAATGGAAAGCTAACGTTCATCAACAGGAGAAAATGTGAATCAACTCTGAAATGTTCATGGGTGGAATACTGTTCTTAGTGAAATGCATGAGCCTCCGTGACACAGAACATCATGGATGAATCTCGTAATGTTGAATAAGAAAGCAAATCTCTGCAGAACCCTTATAATCTGATATTGCATGTTGGCATTTCTACGAAGCTCAAACACACGATGTGCTGAAGAGTATTCCATGTATTCCGTGTATTTTATATGACCATAGAAAATAAAGAAAGGGAATGATAAACTCACAGTTCAAGGGAGAGATTGCATCTGTGATAAACTCATAGTTCAGGAGAGAGATTGCATCTATGATAAACTCATAGTTCAGGAGACAGATCACCTCTGGAGGGGCCAGAGGATGGGGCATGGAGTTGCCGTGGAGGCATAGAACGAGCAGATGTTTGCCTGCCTGTGACCCCATATTGCTGCACACAAGCCTGGGCCACATTTCCCAGCCTCCCTTGCAGCTTGGTGGCCACATGCCTGAGTGTGGCTCATTAAAGGCAAATGCAGTGCTGTGTCCCACTTCCAGGCGTGGCCCCTACATAATTACCCCATCATCCTCTATGTTCTTTCTCTACTCCATCACCTGCTGCAGGAGCTCCAGGGAGGACTCCAAGGCACTAGAAAACAGCAGGGCCACAACAGAGAAAGAGCCTGGGTCCTGAAGAACTCTGTTCTCCACCCCCATTTGCCCTGGACAGTAAAGTGAGCATAGAATAAACTTTTCTCATTCTCAGCCTCTGAGATTGGGGGTGGTTGTTTTAGCAATTGAACAGTGCTGACTAACACAGAATGTGCTAGTTGTGAAGCTGAGTAATAAGTTCACAGGCTCTCCTTTTGTTATTATGAACTCACTTCAATAGGTCTTTCTGAGTTAATCAAATATAGTCCACCCTCTGTTTCCGTGGGTTCCACATCATGGATTCAACCAACAGCAGATTACAAATATTTGAAGGCAAGGTATTATTCTTCTGTTTTCAAATATTTTAAAAATAATATTGTAAATGATTATTTTAAAAATAATAAAATATACAAATAGTGCATATTTTATTATTTGCATAATAAAAATTTTATTATTATATACTAAAATATACAAATAAAAAACTTACGGTGCAACAACTATACAGGATTTACATTTTATTAGGTATTATATGTAATCTAGAGATAATTTAAAGTATACAGAAAGATGTGTGTAGGTTATATACAAATACTGCACCATGCTGTTTAAGGAACTTGAGAATCTGTGGATTTGGGTATCTGTGGAGGGTCCTGGGATCAATCCTTCCAAAGACCAAGGAATGATTGCAACATATAATTAAAATACTTTAAAGCATCCATCTGGTCCCCTCCCAAAACTTTCTGACCCCCAATCCTACTTCTAGAGGAACTCTCTCTTAAAGGTTTATGCTTTTATTTCTTTCGTTACTTACATCATTAATTAGAAAATAAAAATATCAATTTCTTACTGGTTAACTTTAAATAATATCACTGCCTTTATTGAAATGAATAAATAATTAATGTATTAAATAATTAATTAAATAAAAGCAAGAGGATTAATTCAATGCACTATTTCCTCTTTCTCCTCTTCTCCCTCCTGATATTGGATACTCCTCTGAGTGTGCTCGGTACTCTTCCTTGCTGGATGTGGAACTGTAAGTCCCTTACAACCCCTTCTTTCTTACCCCTCCACTTTCAGCAGCTTCTCCTGGCTCCTCACTTGTTAAAGATCCACCCGTCTTCTCTTCACTTTCCTTCCTGTTTCTCATCTCACATTCAGAGCTTCATCATCTCACTTTCACATTATCAAGGTTCTTAACATTTGCATTCTGTTCTGTCACCCAAACAAAGCCTCGTATGCTCTGTTGACTGATTGAATTTAAGCACTGAGAACCAAAGAACCAGCTATCTGTCATTATGACCAAATAAACACTACCAGGAGGAAGAGGGCCAACTCTCCACTAGGATGCACAGCAAGACTCCTCCTGTGAGTGCATGTCCCCTCCTCCTGAGCCTCTCGAAGAGACACTCGTCACCGAGGACCTGTTGCCTCTCACTCCACTGCACAGAGGTCTGCCTGTTTTGGGGTGACGACCTTCACTTACGCTCGTTCTGTGTGGTTTTCATAGACCCATAATCGCTTCTGTTTTGTCTTGTACTTCTTGCCTCTATCAGAGCCTGAGTTCTCCCTTCAAACTCTCAATCACAACAATGCACAGCACCAGGTTGCCTTCTCCTGGGGCCTCCAGCCTCTGGTACCAGTAGGAACTGGCCTCTCTCTTCACTCCCTCCTGGTCAGTTGCCTGTCCTCTTCTTCTGGATGATTCCATCTCCTTCTTTTTTTTAATTTTACTTCCTCATTTTCCTGGAGGATATCCTCAAGTCACCTTTTTTTTTTTTTAAGCCTTGTCACCCGTGCTGGAGTACAATGGTGTGATCTCAGCTCACTGCAGTGCTATGGTGCAATCTAAGCTCACTTCAACCTCCACCTCCTGGGTTTAAGTGATTCTCCTGCCTCGGCCTCCCAAGTAGCTGGGATTACAGGCACACGCCACCAAGCCCAGCTAATTTTTGTATTTTTAGTAGAGACGGGGTTTTGCCATGTTGGCCAGGCTGGTCTCGAACTCCTGATCTCAGGTGATCCACCTGCCTCAGCCTCCCAAAGTGCTGGGATTACAGGTGTGAGCCACCACACCCAGACTCAAGTCACTTTTTAAGAGTAGCCAAATGAAAGACTGACTTTGAAAGTGTGAAAATGGCTTCATTCCACCCTCACACGTGATTACTAGTTTGGCCGTGAATAGAATTCCATCTGAATGTCAAAAGCATGGGTACATGTTTTTTTCCAGCCATTGCTGATAGGAGGGGAGATGTCAGTTGATTTTTTATGTCTTTGTAGATGACCTTTTTCCCTTCTCTGAAAGGTTTTGGGATTTTTGGTGGTGGTGATGTTTTTAATCTTAGGTGTTATGCAATTTTATGATAATTAGACTTCCTGCGAATTCTTCTTTTATTCATCCTGCTTGGAACTTGGAGGAGGTCCTTTCAGTTTTGAGGTCTGTGTTTTGCTTTAGTGCTCAGAAGTGCTCTTGCATAATTTATTGGATCATTTCCCCACCCCCTCCCTCTGTTGTGTTGCTGATGTTGGCCTCCTGGAGTCTGCCTCTCATGTTCCTTATCTCTTTGCTTCTAAGTTCAATCCGTTTGTCTTTTTGTTCTGTGTTTTGGAGATTTAGTAAACTCTATTTCTCCTCCTCCTGGTGTTTTATCGGGGGTGCAGTCATCTTTTAGAATCTAAGTGCTTATTTTGGTTGCCTGTGTTCCCGTTTCAAAGCCTGCTGGTTTTTATTTTATGGATATAATAGCCTCCTAAATATCTCTGAGTGTGTTAATTGGAGTATTTTTAGAGTGTTTTTCACCTAATTTGCTCTGTTTCCTCTGGTCTTAGTTTTCTTCAGTGTGCTTATCTTCGTTTCTCTCTTCTACACTGCCAGCTTTCCCCATGTGCCTGGTGGTCGCTGGCTGTCTATTGATAGAATAAATCTAAAGATGCAGGTGTGGGGTGCTTCTTCTGTGGCTGGTCGCTCAGCCCTCCCCGGGGAATAACTCTGCCTTTGGGCTTCCTCAGGGGTGGGGTGGGGGAGAAATGGGGCTGCTGCAGGATTCTCTGTAGAGGGAGGGAGAGCGTGGCCTCCCAGTTCAAAATGAGAGGGTTTCACTCTGAGGTTTGACCCAGCTTTGGCCTTCCCTGAGGAGCTGATCCCATGGCTTCAGTGACAAGCCACCAGGAATGTACCCACAGGCTGGCACCTCCGCCTGCAACCTGATCACATGGCTGGGGGAGGCCAGGGCTGCCTGGTGAGGTTGTGCTGGGTGAAAATCAGCAAAGAGTTCTGTTTCCACCGGGCTCCTCACCCCCGGCTGTCCCGCTGGCTTCCTCTGTGCCCTGAGCCTCCCCAGGATCCCGTGGGTGGGATCCTGGTCGTGGCTGCTGCCAGGAACCTGACTACAGCTTCTTCCTGCTTTATAGGTCAGCTCATACTCCCCTGCTTGCTGTCTCCTGGAAATTTATTAAAATCTCTTAGTCATTGTTGTGAGGATTAAAATGCAATTATGTATGCAAAGCACATCTTACAGTACCTGGCACATAAGGAGTGCTGGATAAATGTTAGCAATTATTATCACAGTCAGTTAAGTGATTTCCCCAAGATGAGAAGACCTCTTCCCTGAAGGAGGCCATGGTTCAGCCAGACAAAGACACAACTACCCCCCAATAATAGCAGCCTCTCCACACCCCAGCACTGGACTAGTCACACAGGATTCTATGCATGTGGGCTCAGTCCTTCCTCACGAGACCTCACCTCACCGCTCACTGCTGGGGCCAAAATACTTGACCTTGCTTCCATGGCAGGGTCAAAGGAAAGGCCCACAGTACCAGCCACAGTCATTCCTGGAAGGGAGACCTTTCCAGTTGAGGAGGCTCGTAGATGGACTCTGGTGATGATGGAATAGAGGAAGGACAAGCCTTAGACAGGCTTGTGGGCAAGTGGCTCTCAACTGAGGGCATCTCCCAGGTGTTCCAGTAGCTAAGGACACTGCCAGCATTTGAGGGAGCAGGTTTCAAGAAGACCCTGTGATCCCTGCGCCATGGTGCTCCCCCTGGGGACACTGCCCTCTCCAGGAGTGTGAGGCAGAAATGGAGATTTGCTTCTCCCATACCATGTAGCAAAGGTGATGATAGCACATCTGCACTCATGTTACCCTCTATGACACTCAACTTGCCCACCCCTCCCGGGCCTGAGGAAGTGGGCAGCCTTGTGGGAAAGCTCACATGGCAAGGAGCTATCTGCATCTTCTAAAATTACAGCTGAGCTTTAGGAGAAACTGTGCAGGAATAAATCCTGCCCACATCCTGAACAAGCCCGGAAGTGCATCCTTCCCCAGTCCAGCCTCTGAATGAGAACATAGCCCAGCCAGTAGCTTGGCCGCAACCTTGTGAGACCCTGAGCAGAGGCCCCCACTAGGCTGCACATGGACTCCTTCCTGAGCCCCAGAAACTGTTATAATAGGCATGTGTTGCTTTAAGCTGCTGAATGTGTGGTCATTTGTCACACAGCAATAGACATGGGACATGCTGTGTTCCCGTGGTGTGCTAGACACTCCCTCACACAGAAGGACTGCTCTGCCCAGAAGGCCAGCAGTGCCACCCTGAGACCCTAACCTCAGAAGCATGGCTTGCACATCGAGGGCTAAATGTGCTGTGCAGTGATGCAGGTGCCAGTCAGGCAGAGGCCTCCTGCCATCACAAGGACTCAGAGGTCTCCTCTGTGACTGGTGAGCCCTGCTTTCCAATGGGCAGTCAGCTTGCAGCAGCCCTGGCAAAGATGGAGCAAGAGAAAGGGGCATCCAATTGCTGTGCTCTTCAGAACCCCACCCTGCTGCCTTGCTTGAGTTCAAGTCATTAACAGGGGACCATGCTTTCAGGGGGACCCCATTTTCCACCCAGGTGGAAAGGGCCCAGGGGTCACTGGAGCGGAGGCAGCTGAGCTCAGAGATAAATGACTTTACTCTGCTCGCTCACTCTCATGGCCCATACAGCAGG
This sequence comes from Homo sapiens, assembly GCF_000001405.40. NCBI lineage: Eukaryota > Metazoa > Chordata > Mammalia > Primates > Hominidae > Homo > Homo sapiens. Next base: position 141,843,526 of record NC_000008.11, on the reverse strand, counting down.
CCCTGCTCCTGCTGCTCATTCAGCCCAAGTCCAGCTGGAAGAACCACAGACGCCAACCCCCTACAGAGGGGCTCCTGTGTGCTCGTCACTGAGAACTACATACATTGTGGGTCTAAGTTTCATAGGAACCTTATGAGCAGGAATCCTGGCAGCTGCATTTTACTGATGGAGAGACAAAGCATGGGAAAGTGTCATAACCTGCCCAAGGTCACACAGGTAGAAATAGTGGGGCCAGGGTCGGAACCCCAGCTCCAGAGTCTGGAAGCTCAACCACTGCCCTGTACTGCGCCTCCCAGGCTGGGGGGTCACCCGGACCTGAGTCTATACTGGCTGTGTGACTTTAAGTAAGTTCCTAATCACTATGAACCTGTCTTCTTGTCTGAAAAGTGGGTTCTGTATGAATCACACCTACCTCATGTGGTTATTGCAAAACTTAAAATGGCACCTGGGGGGAATTCAGTAAGTGTGAGCCCCCACTCACAGCAGCCCGTCTGGGTGTGAGACGGAGCTGGATGGAATGCCATGTGCTCCAGAAAACATCTTCCTGCCCACAGGGATGGCAGACAGCTGGCTCCTCCAGGGGAAGATCTCAGGCATGGAAGAGCAAGGTTATGCAGACTTGGCTTTGATGCCCAATGGCTCTGACCTTGAGAAAGTCATTTAGACTCTGACCTGCCATTGATTCCTTCCTAAAATGGCAATGCCATAATCAACTGCTCATGTTCCTAAGATCGCTTATGTAAGACAATATTTCTGGGGCACTTAAAGAAAGGTCTGGCCCCAGTAAAGGTCATTCTCCGCGGCAGCTATGGCTCTTAAACCTCTGTGTCCTGAGGAGGAGGCATGGGCCTCCGGGAACCCTGAGTGACCTTGGCGCTGCCTTCTAATTCTCTGAAAAAGAGTTGTCTGGGCAACTCATGTCACCAGATTTGTCTGTGCTCTTATTATGTTTCAGGCCAGTTCTACAGTTTGCCAGGAAAAGAAATAATGGAGACAGCATGTTATTCTTCCTATGCCCGAGGAGCTTAGAGTGTAAGGGGGAAGGGCTGGGAAGGAAGGGAGTGAACACTCATGTGCACCTGCTGTGTGTTGGGGTACTTCCCACTATGCTGACTGGCACTTTCCTTCATTTTACACACAACAGTGTGTGTAAAATGGACTGTATTTTGCAGAAGGAGAACTTGAAGTTCAAGGAACTTAAGGAAGTTGCCCAAGGTCACACAGACTAAGGATTGTCTCCTTACAGACGTGCATTCAAGGAACCATAAATCAGGGAGAAAATGATAAGTATCAAAGCTATTTAAATGAGACAAGTCACTTGGCCTTCTGAGTCTTTTATCTTTATTGGCTAAATGCCTAGAGTAAAACCTTCTTCTTGGAGTTTTTGTGCAGATTCGATGATCCATCAAACATGAACACCCATAGCATGCTTAGGGCCACGTAGTAGGGGCTTAGTAAATGTTTGTAAATCAAAATCTAAATGAGGACTGATATTCAAAAAAACGTTGAGGATATTAAAGAGGAATATGATCATCTTAACTGAGGAGCAGGGATTAGGAATTTATAGAGCAGAAAACTTCTGAAATAGGCCTTACAGGAGTAGAATTTAAGCAGGCTCTGTAGGCATGAAAGAGCTAAATATTTCTAGGATAAGAGATTCTCTGAATGGAGAGTGTGGAGAACAGGGAAGGGTGCCCCCAAGATGTGCCTTGGATGCCCTGCCACAGTGAAGTTCACAAGCTAAAGAAGCCACAGAGGGGTTTCAAGCCCGGGATGGTGATGGGATCACTGAAAGTTGGGGTCCCACATCTATGCTGGAACCCTCTTATTTCCAGTGTCTAGCTCTCTGTAGTTCAGTGGGCTCAGGCAGCTTTCTAATGATCACAAGTGACAGAGTAAACTTCTTCACACACTTTGTAAGAGCCAGCCTGCACAGGCACCGTGGTTTAATCCAATTGATCTCAACAGAACAGTGGCTGGTGCAGGCACAAAATCTGAGACCCTCACACCCATGCCTGACCAGCATGGATTGGTTCACATAGGGCAGGTACCACTCACTAGTAAGAACTCAGAATGTGATGGCCATTTAGGTCCTCAAAGGGCAAATAAAAGATCAATGATTAAGAACCAAACTGCTTGTATTAGTCAATTTTCACACTGCTATAAAGATACTACCTGAGACTGGATAATTTATAAACAAAGGAGGTTTACTTGCCTCACAGTTCCACATGGCTGGGGAGGCCCCAGGAAACTTACAAGCATGGCGGAAGAGAAAGGGGAAGCAAGGCGGCACCTTCTTCACAAGGTGGCGGGAGAGAGAGAGTGCAAGCAGGGGAAATGCCAGACGCTTATCAAATAACCAGATCTCCTGAGAACTGACTATCAAGAGAACAGCATGGGACAAACCACCTCCATGATCCAATCACCTCCCACCAGATCCCTCCCTCAACATGTGGAATTACAATTCGAGGTGAGATGTGGATGGGGGTCACAGAGGCAAACTATATCACTCCCCTTTCCACTTCCAGTCATGAGGGAATAGCAAGGTATGGCACCACCCTCCCATCATTAAAAAAAATAAACTGGAAATCAGCACAAGTAAAACGATTCTTTGTAGATACTGAGCATTGGGCAGGGCAGGGCTGACCCCAGAGGGAAGGGAAATAGACAAAGGGAGGCCTATCATCATCTAGGACTCTTCCTAAAGATATCTGGGGACAGCCCCAAAGGAATCAGGAACCCAAACAGATCTAGACATGTTGCTAAGTTGAGTAGACAGAGATCAGAGTTCCGGAATGCCAAGGCAGCTAGTGTTTGTAGGGCAGAGTTATAGAGAGGAGACAGCTATGCAGGGGAAAAATTCTAAAAATTGCATGGGGTCCCCTAGAGTCTGACTAAATACCTGTATGCACATGTGTGGGACAGAGAGGTGCAAGTTAAACAGTGCACAGAATTCACACAGAGCATGGAGTTCCCTTCAGCCATAATGGAGAGACTTCATTGAATACATGTGACATTTAGGATGGTGCCCAGAAGGATCTGGGTCTTAGGAGTGGGGCTGAATTAACACTAACTTTATTAAAGGCTATTTTTTTTTTTTTTTGAGAGACAGGTTCTCACTCTGTTGCCCAGGCTGGAATGCAGTGGCGCCATCTCAGCTCACTGCAACTGCCTCCTGGGCTCAAACAATCCTTTCACTTCAGCCTCCTGAGTGGCTGGGACTATAGGTTTGCACCACTATGGCTTGTTAATTTTTGTACTTTTTGTAAAGATGAGGTTTCACCATGTTAGCCAGGTTGGTCTGGAATTCCTAGGCTCAAGTGATCTGCCTGCCTCGGCCTCCCAAAATTCTGGGATTACAGGTGTAATTACAGTAACCCAGAAGACATAGCAATACATTCTATTTGAAGTAAGCAGAGACAAAAAGTACAAAATAAATAAACTGTTTCAGTGGCTGGTGAGATATCAAGTGGTCTGACATCTGGTAATTTCAATTCTAGAACATAGGGTATGGGAGTGGGGAAGACAGAAAACATAGTTGAAGAAATAATGGCAGCAATTTTTTCAAATTTCATTTTAAAAAATTTCTGTCAATTCTAAGCATCTTATTAAACTGAAAGGAGAATAAACACACACCACCACCACCATCATGACCACCAACATCATCACCACTAAACTGAAAGGAGAATAAACACACACCACCACTATCATCATCACCACCAACATCATTGCCACCATCATCATCACAACCATCACCACCATTATTCGTTATCACCATCACCACCATCATCACCATCACTATCACCATAACCACCATCACCACCACCAACACCATCACCACCAACAGCATCACCACCACCACCATCGCCACCATCATTATCCATTATCACCTTCACTATCACCATCACCACAGCCATCATTACCAGTACCACCACCATCACCACCACCATTATCACTATCACCACCATCATCACCGTTACATAAAGAGAACATTTAAAAATCAGCTAGAGAAAAAGATTTAATGTAACACGGAGCAAAGATAAGAATAATCACAAACTTCATGTCATAATTTATGCAAGCTAGAAAACAACAGAATTATATTTTTCAAGTGTGAAAAAAGAAAAAAATTACTTGTCAGTTTGGAACTCTATATGCAGTAAAAGTATCCTTCAAAAACAAAGTCAACATAAAACTCTTCAGATAAACAAAAGCTGAGAGAATGCATTGCCAGCAGACCGGCACTGTTAAAGTTACTAAAGGAAATCCTTCAGATAGGAAGAAAATGACACCAGATGGAAACTTCAATCTGCAAAGAAAAAAAAGTGCTAGAAATTATAAATATGTGGGTAAATAAAAAGTTCTTGTTTCTAGTTTTTAAATTTATTTTAAACAAGCTACTATTTAAAGTGAAAGTAATAATGAAATGTGGGGTCATAACATATGTTGAAGAAAGAGATGACAATAATAAATTAAAGGGGAATCTGCAGAAATAAAATTTTTGAGGTTTTTTAATGGTGCATGAACTGGCACAATGTTATTTGAAGGCAGATTTTGGTAACCATATATATGGTAAACACTAGATCAAACACAGAAAGCAAAAAAACAAATAGAGCTAATGGGCCAACTCTAGAGATAAAATTGATTCCTAAAACTTCCCAGTATAAGAGAAGGCTGGAAAAGAAGAAAGAGGGACAAGAAAACAGATGGAACAAACATAAAACAAAGAGCAACATAATACATTTAAATCCAGATATGCAGATAATTACATTAAATGTAAAGGATAAAAACCTTCCAGCTTAAAAAGAAATTGCAAGACAAGATTAAAGAACACGATTTGGCTATCTGCTACCTACAAGAAACCAACTTTTAATATAAAAACACATATAATTAAAAACAGAAACATCTACAGCATCCAGACTCTAATCAAAAGAAATCTGGAGTAGCTTTATTAATATCAGAAAAGTAGGCTGCAGAAAAAAATATTATCAGGGGAAAATGGGCATGTGATAATAACATAGGTTCATCAAGATGGTGTCATAATCCTCAATGGGTATGCACCAAACAGCAGTGCTTCAACATAAAGGGAGAAAAAAATGGATAGAACTTAAAGGAAAAACGGAATAATCCACAAATATGTTTAAACATTTCAACACTCATCCTCAGCAATTTATAAAACAAATAGAAAGTTAGTAAAGATATAGCAAACTTAGAGAATACTATCAACCAGCTTGACCCAGTTAACTCTACCCACCCAGAGAAAAAGAGATGTTCTCTTCAAGTGTACAGGGAACATCTACCAAGATTCACCCTGCACTTGGCCATAAAGCAAGGCAACAAGCCTCAACAAATTTTTTTTTTTTTTTTTTTGCTGAACTCATGCGGAGTATGTTCTCTGGCCACAATAGAAGTACATTAAAAACAAAGTAACAACTAGATATCTAGAAAAGACACAAATATTTGAAAAGCTAAAATGACACTTCTAATGGAGAAATCATAATAGGGCTTAAAAGAGTGTTTTAAATTGAACGAAAACTAAAATAACCATATTACAAAATTTATGGACACAACAAAATCAGTGCTCAGAGGAAAGTATATTGCATTAAATACTTATTTTAGTAAGATGAAACATCTTAAATCAATAACTTAAGTTTCCTTAATAAGAAACTCGGGGGAAAAGGACAAGATAAATCTTAAATAAGCCAAGGGAATAGGAAAATATAAGAAAAGGGAAATTAAATGAAAGAGAAAGCAGAATAACAGAAAACTCAAAGAAACAAAATCTGCTAGAAGAGATCAATCACATTTAAAGACGACTAGGGTACAGACAACCTCCAGTACCAGCCTGGAGCTGAGTAGACTCACTGAGTGGCTAGACCCAGAAGAAAGACAACAATCACTGCAGTCCGGCTCACAGGGAGCCACATCCATAGGAAAAGGGTGAGAGTGTTACATCAAGGGAACACCCCGTGGGACAAAAGAATCTGAACAACAGCCTTCAGCCCTAGACCTTCCCTCAGACAGAGCCTACCCAAAGGAGAAGAAACCAGAAAACCAGCCCTGGTAATATGACAAAACAAGGCTCCTCAACACCTTCCCCAAATCACACTAGTTCACCAGCAATGGTTCCAAACCAAGAAGAAATCCCTGATTTACCTGAAAAAGAATTCAGGAGGTTAATTATTAAGCTAATCAGGGAGGGACCAGAGAAAGGTGAAGCCCAATGCAAGGAAATCCAAAAAATAATACAAGAAGTGAAGGGAGAAATATTCAAGGAAATAGATAGCTCAAAGAAAAAACCATCAAAAATTCAGGAAACTTTGGAAGCACTTTTAGAAATGTGAAACGCTCTGGAAAGTCTCGGCAATAGACTTGAACAAGTAGAATAAAGAAATTCAGAGCTCAAAGACAAGGTCTTTGAATTAACCCAATCCAACAAAGACAAAGAAAAAAGAATAAGAAAATAAGAACAAAGCTTCTAAGAAGTCTAGGATTATGTTAAACAACCAAACCTAAGAAAAATTGGTGTTCCTGAGGAAGAAGAGAATTGTAAAAGCTTGGAAAACATATTCAGGGAAATAATCGAGGAAAACTTCCCCGGCCTTGCTAGAGACCTAGACATTCAAATACAAGAAGCACAAAGAACACCTGGAAAACTCATTGCAAAAAGATCTTAACCTAGGCACATTGTCATCAAGTTATCCAAAGTTAAGGTGAAGGAAAGAATCTTAAGAGCTGTGAGACAGGAGAAAACCCATCAGATTAATAGCAGATTTCTCAACAGAAACTCTACAAGCTAGGAGGAATTGGGGCCCTATCTTCAGCCTCCTCAAACAAAACAATTATCAGCCAGGAAATTTGTATTCAGTGAAACTAAGCATCATATATGAAGGAAAGATACAGTCGTTTTCAGAAAAACAAATGCTGAGAGAATTCACCATTACCAAGCTACCCCTACAACAACTGCTGAAAGGAGCTCTAAATCTTTTAACAAATCCTGGAAACACATCAAAGCAGAACCTCTTCAAAGCATACATCACACAGGCCCTAGAAAACAAAAATACATGCTAAAAAGCAAAAACAAAAACCAAAAAAAAAACAAAGTACACAGGCAACAAAGAGCATGATGAATGCAAAGATACCTCACGTTTCAATACTAACATTGAATGTAAATGGCCTAAATGTTCCACTGAAAAGATACAGAATTGCAGAATGGGTAAGAACTCATCAACCAACTATCCGTTGCCTACAGGACCTAACACATAAGGACTCCCATAAACTTAAAGTAAAGGGGTGGAAAAAGGCATTTCATGCAAATGGACACCAAAAGTGAGCAGCAGGGATAGCTATTCTTATAACAGACAAAACAAAGTTTAAAGCAACAGCAGTTAAAAGAAACAAAGAGGGGCATTATATAATGGTAAAAGGCCTTGTCCAACAGGAAAATACGACAGTCCTAAACATATATGAACCTAACACTGGAGCTCTCAAATTTATAAAACAATTACTAATAGACCTAATAAATGAGATAACAGCAACACTATAATAGTGGAGAACTTCAGTACTCCACTGACAGCACTAGATAGTCCATCAAGACAGAAAGTCAACAAAGAAACAATAGATTTAAACTATACCTTGGAACAAAAGGACTTAACAGATTATACAGAATATTTCATCCAAAAACCGCAGAATACACATTCTATTCAACATCGCATGGAACTTTCTCCAAGATAGACCAGATGATAGGCCATAAAACGAGCCTCAGTGAATTTAAGAAAATTGAAATTATATCAAGCACTCTCTCAGACCACAGTGAAATAAAACTGGAAATCAATTCCAAAAGGAACCTTCGGAACCATGCAAATACAAGGAAATTAAATAAACTGCTCCTGAATGAGCATTAGGTCAAAAACCAAATCAAGATGAAAATTAAAGAAATTCTGCAAACTGAATGCCAATAATGACACAACGTATCAAAACCTCTGGGATACAGCAAAGGCAATGCTAAGAGGAAAGTTCATGGCCCTGAACGCCTACATCAAAGAGACTGAAAGAGCACAAACTGACCTTCCAAGGTCACACCTCAAGGAACTAGAGAAACAAGAACAAACCAAACCCAAAGCCAGCAGAAGGAAGGAAAGTACCAAGATCAGAACAGAACTAGGTGAAATTGAAACAAAAAAAAATACAAAATATAAATGACACAAAAAGTTGGTTCTTTGACACGATAAATAAAATGGATAGACCGTTAGTAAGATCAACCAAGAAAAGAAGAGAGAAAATCCAAATAACCTCACTAAGAAATGAAACAGGAGATATTACAACTGACACCACTGAAATACAAAAGATCATTCCAGGTTACTATGAACACCTTTATGCACATAAACTAGAAAACTTAGAAGAGACCAAGAAATTCCTGGTACAACCCTCCTAGCTTAAATCAGGAAGAATTAGATACCCTGAACAGGCCAATAACAAGCAGCAAGATTGAAATGGTAATTTAAAAATTACCAATATCCTTGATGAACATTGATGCTAAAATTCTTAACAAAATATTAGCTTACCAAATCCAACAATATATCAAAAAAGATAATCCACCATGATCGAGTGGGTTTCATACCAGGTATGCAGGGATCGTTTAACATACGCAAGTCAATAAATGTGATACACCACATAAACATAATTAAAAACAATAATCACTTGATCATCTCAACAGATACAGAAAAAGCATTCAACAAAGTCCAGCATCCCTTTATGATTAAAACTATCAGCAAAATCGGCATACAAGGGACATACCTTAAAGTAATAAAAGCCATCTGTGACAAACTCACAGCCAACATAATACTCAATGGGGAAAAGTAGAAAGCATTCCCTCTGAGAACTGGGACAAGACAAGGATGCTCACTCTCACCACTTTGCCTCCTCCAGGAATGTACGTTTGAGTTAACATACAAAAAGGTTAATGTAAGAAAATTACTTAATGTAATTATCTTAGAATTATAAGAATAAAAAATAAAAATACAATTTTATTTGTAGATACAGAAAAAGCATTTGATGAAGTTAAGCATCAGTTTATGAGAGAAAATCTGAACAGACTAGAAACAGAAGTCAATTTCCTGGATCTGAGGAAAGGTATGAGTGCAAACCCTGCAGCTGATGTCATCTTCTGAGATTGGTAATGAATGCCCACTCCCATCATTTCCATTCAATTTTGTACTGGAAGTCCCAGCTAGCTTAAGAAGGCAAGAGACAGGAATAAAACTGTACAGATTAGGAGGGAAGAAATAAACTGCTTTTATTTGCAAATGACATGATTGTGAACAGAAACAATCCAAAAGAATCCATTAAGAATTTTCTAAAACTAGTTAACGACCTTAGCAAAACCACAGGATAGAAAAGCACTACACAAAAACCAGCTGTATTTCTACATGCTGACAATAAATCGTTAATTAAAGTATTAAAACATTTTAAAAACAATGTCAATTAAAATAGCATTAAAACCATCACTTATATGGGAATAAAATTAACAATATATGTTCCAGACATATACACTGAAAATAACAAAACATTACTAAGGGAAATTTAAAAAGTCCTCAATAAATGGAGAATTATGTGATGCTTAAGAACTGGAAGACTCAGTATTGTTAGGTCAGCAATTTTCCCGAAGTTCATCTATAGATTCAATTCAATCTTAATAAAAATATTCTTTTTTTATAAAAATTACCAAGCTGATTCTAAAATTTACATGAAAGTTTAGTGAACTTAGATTACTTCAGACAATTTTGAAAAAAAATTCATACCACCTTGTATGAATAAAACGAAATCAAGAGAGTATGGTGTTGGTGTAAGAATCGATATTTAGATTGAACACAGTGGAAAATCTAAAAATAGACCCACACATGTATGTTCAATTGATTCTTACAAGGATGCCAAGGTAATTCGATGGAAAAAGAATAATCATCAACAAGTGGTATTGGAAAAATTGGCAATGTATATAGATAGGAAAAAATAAACCTTGACCCCAACCTCAGGCCATTAACAAAAATATACTTGAAATGGGTCATAGGCTGGGCTCGGTGGCTCACACCACCAAGTGCTGTGGATCACAAATCTAAATCTCTAAAACTTCCAAACAAAATCATAAGATGAAATCTTTACCAACTGGAGATAAGCAAAGATTTCTTAAGTAGGGTCTAAATACATACAAACTATAAAAGAAAATGTGGTCAAATTAGATTTCAATTTGTGCAGAAACTAAAACCTGTTGTACTTTGAAAGACATTGTTAAGAAAATGAAGAAGGAAGACAGAGAAGAGGAGAAAATATTTATAATAAGCATATCTAGCAAAGCTCTTGTAATCAGAGTATGTAATGCTCTTTATTTTTATTTATTTATTTATGAGACAGGGTCTGGCTCTGTTGCCCAGGCCGGAGTGCAGCGGCACAACATTGGCTCACTGCAACCTCTGCATCCAGGCTCAAGCAATCTTCCCGCCTCAGTCTCCTGAGTAGCTGGAACTACAGGCACGCACCACCACGTCTGGCTATGTTTTGTAGCTTTTGTAGAGACGGGATTTTGCCATGTTGCCCAGGCTGTTCTCTATAATGCTTTTTAAGCTTAAGAAGGTAAGCAGCCCAAGAAAAAATGGCCCAAATAATTGAATAAACACTTGGCAAAGAAAAAGAGAAGAAGATGATGACATACAAATGGCCGCTAAGCCTATGAAAAGATGTTCAACATCACTATCCATTAGAAAAATGCGAATTAAAACCAAAACGGGAAACCAGTGTATACTCAGTCGAATGGCCAACGTGAAAGAGGCTGACGATATGAAGTGTCAGTGAGGATGTGGAACAACTGGGCCTCTCACATTATTGGTGAGAATGTAAAATTCTATAACCATTTTGGAAAAAAAAAATAGAAACTTCTTAAAAGTTAAACTACACTTATCAAACAATCCAGAACTTTCAATCCTAGATATCCACCAAAGATAAATGCACACATTATGTCCACATAAAAACCCATACTTTACAAGAGGATCACTTGAGCCCAAGAGTTGGAGGCTGCAGTGAACTATGATTGCACCACTGCACTCCAGCCTGGGTGACACAGCAAGACCCTGTCTCTAAATAAAACCAAACCAAACCAAACAAAAAACTCCCCATACTTCAATGTTCATAGCAGCCTTATCCATAACAGCCCCAAACTGGAAACAATGCAAATTATTTATCAAAGGTGAATGAATGCAAGTGACCATAGGAAATAATAGCTAAGTTGAAGTTCATCAAAATTCTAAACTTCCGTGCATATACATATATGCAGAATGCGAGAAAATTTTGCAAATCATGGATCTGTTAGGGTTTAGTAACCAGAATATACGAAAACTCTTACAATTCAACAAAAAAAGACAAATAAAGCAATTTAAAAATGAACAAAATATTTGAGTAGACATTTCCTCAGAGGTGATCTACAAATGGCCAGTAAGCACATGGAAAGAAACTCCGTGTCACCAGGCACCAGGGAAACACAAACCAAAACCGCGAGAAGGCACTGCACACCCACCAGGACGGCTAGAATCCAAAGACGGCAGAAACCAGCCGTGCTCGTGGAGAAACCGGCCCCGCAACCACTGCTAGTGGGAACATAAAATGACGCAGCATCTTGGAAAACGGTTCTGCAGTTCCTCAAAAAGCAAAACACAGGGTTATTTGACCCAAGCATTCTAATGCTAGGTAGAGAGTCAGGATAATCTTTAAAATATGTTCGCATGAAAACTTGTACACATATGTTCACAGCAGCACTATTCATAAAAGCCAAAAAGGAGAAAAAACCGAAATGTCCATCAACTGATGAATGGAGAAAAAAAATGTGGTAAATCCACACAACAAAATACGTTTTATCCTTAAAAAGATATGAAGTACCAACCTGTGCTACAAAATAGATGAACCCTGAAAACACTATGCTAAGTGAAATACGCCAGGCACGAAATACCACATACTGTAAAATTTCTGTCATACAAACTCCCCAGAATGGGCCAATTCGCAGAGACAGAAAGTAGATTAGGGTTGCCAGGGCATGTGGGGAGGGGAGATGGAGATTACTGCTCATGGGTGTGGGGTTTCTGTTGGGAGTGATGAACATTTTCTAAAATTGGATAGTGGTTTGGTTGCAGAACTCTGTGAATATACTAAAACCATTGAATTGTACATTTTAAATGAGTAAATTTTATGGTATGTGAATTATGTCTCAATAAAGCTCTCATTAAAATGGAAAAACAATCAATGGATAAACAAATTGTAGTATATTCATACTGTGGCAGTACTACTCAACAATAAAAACGAGGTAACTACGGATATATATACACACACACATACATGTATACAGAAAGCATGGATAAATCTCAAAAATATTATACTGAGCTTGAGAATCCAGACACAAAAGAGTGTGTCCTTTAGGATTCAAATATTGCAAGTCTCTAAAAGCACAAATCTGATCTATAGCGAGAGAGCGGAGCCGCAGTGGTTTTGCCTGCGGCTGGGGGAGGGGAAAATGGGCTGGGACAGCAGGAGGGAATTTTCTGGGCTCATGGGAATGGTCTTCATCACGATGCCAGTGTTGGTCACACAGGTGTATACACTTGTCAAAAAATCATGCAAATGGATGCTCAAAATGGGTGCGTTGTGCTGCATGTAACCTATGCATACTTTAATCCAGCAGACTTCACAAAAGAACAGAATTTTTTCAACATGTGAATAACTATATGCAGTTTATTAACAATTAGCCTAAGAAGCATGTAAGCGTGTATTTAAAATATCTATGACAACTAACATTCTGTGCAGTTCTCGTTCAAGGTCTAATTTCAGGCAAGTTGTCATGTGGACTTCGTTGCTGGCCTTGCACTGGGCACGAGGAAGAAGGAGGTAAGCAGAGTCCCTGAGTTCATGACACTTGCATTCTAGGATGGAGCCAGAGAGATGAACAATATTTGAATAAATAACTGTACAATGACATTTGAAAAAGCGTCTGCAAAATTAAAGAAGACCTGCTACTGACTCAGGTGATGGACAGAGTCCCTGTGTATCAGGCAGGCAGCCTCAGGGAGGAATTCTCGAAGACACTACATCAAAATAGTGACCTGAAGGCTGAAGGAGTCAGATGCTAAGCTACAGTAAGAGAGTCTGGCAGAGTGATTACATTTTTCTGATATAAATGGGATCCTCTGCCCAGATAATGTCTTCATTTCTTCACCCATGTCCTTGAGGCTATGTGTATTAATCAGGGAAAGCTAGGCTGTGCTGCAGTAACAAATAAACCTCCACATCTTAATGATTCACACCATTTATCACTCTGCACAGGCCAGAGCAGGAAGTGGTTCTTCTCCATAGCTCTCCCCTAAGCTGTATCCCCTTCCAACATATAACTCCGGCACCTGGAGCTCCAGGCTCCCTGGTCACTGAGGGCTGAGTCATGATGAGAGGTATTTTAGCCACACCCAGAGGCATCTTCCATTTCTGCTGCCCACGGTCCCTTGGAATCTGTTATATGGTGCCAACCTAGCTGCAAGGGAGGCTGGGAAGTGCAGTCTTCCCATATGCTCATGCAGAGGAGATGGAGTGATGGATGCAGAGCCCTGACTCTGCCCATCCATGGTTCATGAATGTTGGAAAATTCTTACCCTTCCTCATCTCACCTATGGTGGTTATGTTGCTGGGCATCCTCCTAAGTTCATTCCCACAGTAAGCCCCATACAACATACTGCTGCAGCCAGTTGCCTCGCCTTCGCACAGAGCTGGCCATGAGGGTTATTTTTTGTTTTTGTTTTTGAGACAGAGTTTAACTCTTGTTGCCCATGCTGGAGTGAAATGGGTGCAATCTTGGCTCACCACAACCTCTGCCTCCCAGGTTCAAGTAATTCTCCTGCCTCAGCCTCCCAAGTAGCTGGGATTACAGGCACCTGTCACCATGACTGGCTAATTGTTTTGTATTTAGTAGAGATCAGGTTTTACCATGTTGGTCAGGTTAGTCTCAAACTCCTGACCTCAGGTGATCTGCTCACCTTGGCCTCCGAAAGTGCTGGGATTACAGGTATGAGCCACCGTGCTTGGCCCATGAGGGTTATTTTTTAAAGATGATGAAGATGCTTCCAGATATGCAGGTTTGTCGTCTGCAATGCTTAGATTCTACAGCCCGTGATGGAGCAGTCAATGTGGCGTGGGAAATTGGGGAGGATGTGGGATTGGAAACAAAGGCTTCTAACCCTCCTCCTCCTGCTCATTCACCTTAAGACATGATTGCACCATTTAACCTTTATGACACTCAAGGTCACATTCCTGTGGAGGTGGTGGGACTCAACCCAGATGTTGGGATTCCAAATCTAGCTCCCTTCCCGTCTCCTCTCGCTCTGTTACAGACTGAATGTTTGTGTCTTTCTAAAATGTATACATTGAAATCCTAACCCCTGATTTGATGATATTAGGAGGTGAGGCCTTTGGGGGGTGATTAGATCATGAGGGTGAAGCCCTCACGAATGGGATTAGGACCCTTCCCAAAAATTCCATGCAGGGGTCCCTTGCCACTTCCACCATGGAGGACACAATAAGAAAACGGTCATCTGCAACCCAGAGGAGGGCCCTCCCCAGAGTCCTACCCTGATGGCGCCTCAATCTTGGATTTCTCAGAGCCTCGAGAGCTGTGAGAAGTAAATTTCTGTTTTTGACAGCCACCCAGTCTGTGGCAGGTTGTTACAGCAGCCAACATGGACTGAGACACTATCCTTCCCTTGTAGGGTAGAACTACATATCCCATATCCTTACTAGGCCTTGACGAGTACCCAATTAGATAACAGCATCACAAGGCTTTAAAATGTTAAGGGGCAATGTTAGTATTGCTTTGATGACTGTGATCATTGCTATTATTATTACCATTGTTATTTTTCAGGCTGCCCTTCTGGAGGGAGGTCATGCCTTTCTCTGGCCCCTGAACAGTTCTTAAATTTCCTTTGGCCATTCACTTTGAACACATACTTCCCTCCTCTCCTCTTAATGAGGAAAATATAAGTTAATGAGCTTGTAAATGAGCCTCGGGGCCATTTCTGGGGGTGAGACACCAGTGCAGTGTGTGCAGAGGGTTGTGAAGATGGGTGTTTAATAAGGGAGATGTAAAGGAAATTGTATAACCCTGAGTGCTCAGCTATCACCAAAGCCATAAAGCTATAAACTGGGATTGTCTTTAAGATTGAACTTTTTCCCCCTCTCCAGTGGCTATTAAATATCTCCAAGGAAATTACTGTGGAGGAATGGCATTTAGCTGGGTTTTCTTTTGGAGTGCACTGGCTTTCCAGAGGCCATTGCTCCTGCAAAGAGCCTGCAGGAGTCCTGGGAAGACTGGGCCCTCACGCCCAGCTTTAATTGTTCCCGTTGTCACTTCTGGTAAGAAGCGTGGTATTTCTGGGGTATTCACCTCTTGTAGAATGGGGATAACAGGAAGAGAAGTGTTGTTTATGGTGTTCCTTGTATGCGCAGAGCCTGGTTACATACATTTTTTTAATCCTCAAAAATCACTCACAAGGTAAGCATTATGCTCATTTTGCAGGTGAGAAAACCAAAATTCATAAATTAACAATTAGGGGCCGGGTGCGGTGGCTCACGCCTGTAATCCCAACACTTTGGGAGGCTGAGGTGGGTGGATCACTTGAGGCCAGGAGTGCAAGACCAACCTGGCCAACGTGATGAAACCCTGTCTCTACAAAAGTTAGCCAGATATGGTGGCGGGCACCTATAATCCCAGCTACTTGGGAGGTTGAGGCAGGAGAACCACTTGAACCCAGGAGGCAGAGGCTGCATGAGCAAAGATCAAACCACTACACTCCAGCCTGAGAGACAGAGGGAGGTTCCATCTCAAAAAAAAAAAACAAAAAACAAAAAACAAAAAAAAAAACAGGCCAAGATGAAACTCCAGAGTCATGATCATTGCTATATACCTTGCTGTCCCCAAAAGGAAAAAAAAATGGTGCAATGATGTGGATCCCAGGACCAGGGGACAGACAGTGAAATTGTTTTTGTCTATCTTATGTGGCTTTGGGGCTCTATGTCCAAACAGCTTGTAAGGTGTAATTAGGATTTACTTCAATTTAACAAATGACACCTTGCCAAGTACTAAGGGAAATAGGAGATGGAATGAGAGGTGTGAACTTAGCCTCAAGCTTGTGATTTAATCTGGGAGGCGTGGGACAGACCTTCCTTGATAAACATTTACAGTGGGTCAGATATTGATGGGGCTGTCATACCTGGCGGAGGAACTTTTGTTAAACCTGGCAGTTTGAACCCATGAGCCTACCTCAGCTCTCTCAGAGAGTCCTATTAAAATAACAGGAAAGGGAGAAGAACACATAATCACAAGCACAAAGAAACCGTCAAGAGCAAAACAGCCAAATGTTGGCACAGCTGCCAAAGGTGGAAAACAGGTGGACAGGGTAGCCCAGCCAGCCAACCAGAGGTGGGAACGGGAGCAGGTGGGGAAAGGAAAAGTAGACAGACCCATTCCTTATGGGCATCAGGGAGCCAGGGACCCCAAACAACTCCTAGGGGCCAGTGAGAGTGAAGGTGGAGTTGAAAAGGGAAAGTGTTTTCAAAGTCTTTATAATGAGAAGATGGACTGCCCCCTTCCCTCTCATCTCCGAGCCTCCAGGCAACAATGCATCTCCACATCTAGCAGGAGCCTTGAGACTTACTTCTTGGAGATTGTGACCTAAATGGGTTCTAGACTGGACACCAGAGAAGAGCTGAGGGCAGAGTCTCACCGATGACATGGGGGCCACCTGGAATGGCATATGTTAACCAGTGTGGCCTCAGAACCCTCCCACACCCAGCCCTTAGGCTTCTGGAAGCCAGGCTCATGCCCCCCAAACAGAATAGAGGGATGTGCCCCAGGGTACTCACTGGCTGAAGAGGAAGGATCCACGGACACTGAAAGCCAAAGCCACTGCCACCTTGTCAGGCTGTGCTGGGTCCCCTGCAGGCCAAGCACGGAGTGGCCAATTAACATTTTGTGAATGACTCACAAAAATGAGTAGTCTTCCAAGGCTACTCAATGTTGAGGAGAACTTCTTTACATTCTTCTGAAGTGAAAGAGAGAAATCAAAACCAACCAAAAGGAATAAACCAAGACATCCTAGATGAACCAGAGACAACAACGCATGGAGGGAAAAAAGTGACCACAGAAACAACACGTCATTCAAAAGTCCAGCGAAATAACAGAAGGCTCTTCCTTCCTTTCAATACCAGGATGCTACAAGAAAGAATAACTGGGAACACAAAACTCCCACAAATGAAAAATTAGAGAACTAGAGAACTAAAATTTTTAACTCAATAGAATGTATATATACATATTTTTTTTGAGATGGAGTTTCGCTCTTGTTGCCCAGGCTGGAGTGCAATGGCGTTGACTTGGCTCACTGCGACCTCCACCTCCCAGGTTCAAGCGATTCTCCTGCCTAAGCCCCCAGCTAGCTGGGAGTACAGGTGCACGCCACCACACCCGGCTAATTTTGTATTTTTAGTAAAGACAGAGTTTCACCGTGTTGGCCAGGCTGTTTTCGAACCCCGACCTCAGGTGATCCACCTGCCTCAGCCTCCCAAAGTGCTAGGATTACAGACGTGAGCTACCATGCCCAGCCAGAATATTTTAAAGATAAAGAAATTTTCTAGAAAGTAGAACAAAATAACCAAAAGATAAGAAAATAAGAAAAGTTAGGCTGGGCACAGTGGCTCATGCCTGTAATTCCAGCACTTTGGGAGGCTGAGGTGGGTGGATCACTTGAGGTCAGGAGTTTGTCACCAGCCTGGTCAACGTGGCAAAACCCCATCTCTACTAAAAAAAAAATACAAAAATTAGGTGGGCATTGTGTTGGGTGCCTGTAATCCCAGCTACTTGGGAGGCTGAGGCAGGAGAATTGCTTGAACCCAGGAGGCAGAGGTTGCAGTGAGCTGAGGTCTCGCCACTGCACTCCAACCTGGTGACAGAGCAAGACTCTGTCTCAAAAAAATAAAAAATAAAAAATAAAAATAAAAATAAGAGAGAGAGAGAGAGAGAGAAGTTATGAAGCTAATGATTCACTCCAGAGGACCAATGTCCAAATGATGACACTTCCAGAAAAAAGAAAGCAGAAAATGGAGGGAAGAGAAAGTTGGCCAAGAAATAAGTTAAGAAAATTGGCTTCTAGTTGAATGGGTCCCTCTGAGTGTGATATTCAACATATTGGGAATAAGGAGAAGACCTTCACGGGTTTGAGGAAGAAAAAAGGTGAAAAACCAATATCAGGCATAATAATGCATTGGTCTTCACAAAAGCAGCACTAGAAGCTAGAAGACAGAACATTTCTGAATATTCTAAAGAAAAATTCATTTTCAATGAGAGTTGTAGAACCAGCCAAACTAGAAATAATTTGAATGATGGACCAAAGACTTCAAGGTGTCGAATTCTTTTTTCCTTGCACCCATTCTTGGGTAGCAGCTCCTGAAGAACATATTCCACATGAATGATAAAAGAGGAGGACATAGAATCCAGGTCACAGGGGATCCCATATAGAAAACAGATGAAGGGTGATGGAGTGGCAAGAATTCAGGATGGCCGGCCGCAGAGCGGTCCTCCCACGGGGAGGCAGGAGGATGGAAGGCTTGAGAAGGAATGGCTCCAAGAAAGAAAGTAAACTGATGGATGAGCCAGCGTGGCTGCAACACACTGAGAAAATCCCATCTCTGCCAGAATGTCTAGCTGAGCTAATATAGGCACATAAGCAAATTAAACAGTTTGGTGATTATTAACTCCAGGAAAAACAAAAGTGCCCAAGAGCAGAAATACAATCATTGCCTGCCATTTGACTCAGCCGCTGCAGTCACGACGGTGTAAACCGTGAATGCTGATGAACTATCCTGGAAGGATGGAGAGGGGAAGTGTGTGGAGTATGGGAGTCAGGAGAGCTGCATCCTTAACTGTGACTGTTGAAAGTCAATAGGTTTTCTCTCAACCTAAAAAATCAGGGAAGAGCCGTGTAGACATGCAACTTAGAAGTAAGGAGTTAAGTGCCAGAAGAAACAACATAAGTGAGAAGAGGGGTTTCTTGGGGAAAGCAAAAGTGGTTAAGCCTTTTAAGGGAGGCCAATAAACCATGACCCTCTTCTGCAGTCGAGTTCTCTATCAGCTGAGGAATATGAAAAAGGAGTCAGCAGACAGAAAACAAATTCCCTTTTTAACCAATAAAAGCTAAGACAGAGTGAGTTGCTTGGTGTAAGAGCTGACATGCTTCTGCTGACCTTCTTTTTACTGACCTGTCCCACCAGCCTAGACCTTGGAGCAATCTCTCCAGAGAGTGAGTTTGAGTCTGCAGGGAAAGACCCTCACCAGGTCCCTCTGTCCCACTGGTCCAAGAGGAGAAGGGAGCGTATAAGACTGAATCCTTCATACTCCTTAACTGTATAGACCTTCAATGGAGTGATCCAATCCATTCAACAGAATAGACCAACAGCTGCTGCCACTAATCAGGGACCACATTTCAGCTTCATGGGGCAGGAGTGTTTGGGGAAGAATCTTTCTCCTGGAAGCTAGCAAAGTGGGAAGCGATTATCCCCTCTATCAAGAGCTGGGAGCCAGGAGGATTAGAACAAGGGGCTCCTGTTTTCATTATAAGCTTTGTGAAACTATGTGCATGTATTATTTTAATAAGAATAAAATGAATGCTGAAGGTTGGTTCGGAGAAAAGCATTGAAAATAGAGTAAAAATGTAAGCTGATTCTAGGGATGAGAAGGAATTCTTCAAGGCAAGATGTAGAGAAAATGCGCTCCCTCTTCTTTGAAGAGCCTGTCTCAAGGCAGGGAGCTGTGAGAGTGTATGATCCATTCACCATAGCACCTGAGGAAGGGCACTGTGACTGGACTGTGTGGTTCTTGGAAGAGGGGAGAGACTCAAGATGAGGCCGTAAGGAGCTGGAACTGGGCCAGGAAGGACTGTGTTTGCAGGATGTGTTGAAGAGCTTGGCTTCTATCTTCTTCATAACATACGTGTGCTTAGCAAGCAGGGAGTGGAGATGGAGCATGGCCAGATCTGGATTTTAGAAAGTTTATTCTTGTGGTTTACAGGTAGAAGGCAGGAAGACAGATGGGGAGGGCATGGAATCCTCCAGGTGAGAGGATAATTTGTTCATAGCAGCAGCAGCAGCAGGCTCAGTCAATGACCACAGCTGCTAGAGTCTGCTAATTGCAGAATGCAGTTGACCATCCCAAGCAGCATATGCTAAAGGCAAGTTCGTGCCAAGGAGTAGATTTCTCCCCTGGCAAGCTGGCAATCATGGGAAATGGCTTTACACCTGGTCTATACAGTGCAGGTTGTTCCAGATATGGGACTCACGGCATGTCATGGTGGGTGTGGCAGGATACCAGCTAACTGCTCTTGCTGGAAGGTTTTCTCTTGGAGTCAGACTTTTGGGGCTGTCATGGGTACCTATGTTGCCAGGAAAGGTTCTCTGGAGAGAGTGTGGTGATTGAT
The DNA here is from genome assembly GCF_000001405.40 of Homo sapiens. NCBI lineage: Eukaryota > Metazoa > Chordata > Mammalia > Primates > Hominidae > Homo > Homo sapiens. The sequence continues at coordinate 141,822,989 of NC_000008.11, read as the reverse complement.
ATGGGAATATCTATAAAGACTTTGAGGGGAAGTTAGTTTTGGAGGATGAGCTTGGAGCATCACAGGTCCAAGAATGCATGTGTTAAGACAAGTGGTGGAAAGTTAGTGTGGAAAAAGACAAGTAACGAGGTTCCTGGAATATGTAACCCAAGGAATAGGGTGGAAATAAGCTACTCATATAAAAGAGGACTGGGACAAATCATATGGCCCTTGAATGTCAGGATGAAGAGCTACAGGTTCATTCTTAGGCAATAAGGCAATAAGGAGGTGTTGTGAGATTTGAAGCAATGCAAGGAGATGGCCAGATTTTCATTTTATAAATGAATGCCTAGGCAGTAGTGTGGAGTATGAATGAGAGAAAAGAGAGCTGGGGCAGATGGCAACCATCTGGGAGGCTTTCAGCAGTCCAGGTGAGCAATGATACTGGCCTAAATCCTGGCAGTAGTCATGCTGGGAAAGAGGAAGTTTGGCAGTGGGAATGGAAAACCAAGAATCGGACAGAAATAGGGTTTTATCAGGACAAAACCTGGAGGGTAAGTGGGGAATTACTGGGGCATTTGAGAGTAGGGAAGGCTGAGAAAGAGAGTGGTCCAAGACAACAAAAGTAAGCTGCTCAAGGTCAAACCCAGAATTATGGCAAGACCTAATTTACAAGGCCTTGGCAGCTGAGCCTGCATCAAGAGATTTTTTCATTTCTCCATAGCTAGGCAAGGAACCAAACTATCTGTTTCATTGTGTCCCAGCAGCATTGGAATGATTAGTGTTGGTTAGGTGCTGGAAGCCGTATTTCATTACTGTTTGACATCTTTAAAGGACAGAAACTCCAGCCCAGACAACAGCCTGGGCTTATAAATTAGTCAATTTACTTCTATTCCAGCTGGACAAGGTGGATTTTCTCAGCCTTGCATCCTCTCCAAAGTTGGAGAAGTAAGAAGAATCACTCTCTCAGCCTGGAAGAAACCACTAGCCAGAAGAAACTGAACCATGCTCAAGGTTCAATGTACCCTGCCATGGTTCTGTGTGTAGGCAAAGCGATGAGCTCCCCACACTGTGTTATTTCTGAGATTAGAAAAAGGTACCCATGACCAGGCATTTACTCTAAAGAAATCAATTCTTCTCGGGAAAAAAATGTGAAAGGACAAGGGGAACATGCAAGCATGTGTTACCGAAATTAATACATTAACTGAGATTGTGCTGAGCTCATTAACTTGGAAGGGGGAGACAAAGGCAAGCATTTCTTGTGTGCCCATCGTAAGCCAGGCACCAGAGAAGATGGTTTACACACAGTGTCTCATCTGCATCCAAGGACGTGGATATCAGTGTCCTCATTTTACCAAAGAGGAAGTTGAGCTACAGAAAGTTTAAATGATTTGCTCAATGTCAAAACTACTGATCTGCAAAGCTGGAATCCACCCCAGGCATGCTTTTGAGATAGAAGCCTCAGGAAAGACGTGTCCTGAAGATGCAGAACAAGGAAGAAAAGTCTTAGTGAGAGGAGGGTGGAACAGGAAAGATTTTCAGAACACAGATATGTTTCATATTGTAATCAAGGTTCAGGCACCATTTGGGGGTGACTGGAGTTCTGCAAAGGAATCAGGATTATAAAATCAAAGACTCTCAGTGATTGAAAGGGATTGTGGTGATCATCCAGTGCAGGCTCCATTTATATCCAATACCTCATCATCATATAGTCAAAGCCAAAGCCAGCTCCCCCCCCTCCTCCTTGTGCACTGGTTCTTGGAGATTCTGGGCAGCAGCTGCAGCCATTGAAACAGTGTTCATTTCCTTCCTTTGTGAGCACAGCAATGAAAAAAGTACAGAGTGAGGGAGAGTGGGGGTGGGTCTGATAAGTGATTCACTGGGAAAGCAAGTTCATAAATGGATTGGAATTAGGATAAGATGCTCAAAGCCCTCCTACTCGCTCATGGTTGATGCTGAAGTGCACCAGGTCCTCAGCTTTATTCACTCTGCTCTGATGACTACGTTTATGGATTGTAAATCTGCTGTAGAAAATCGAGTTTGGGGCGACAGATGGCTATAACATTTTCTCTAGTTCATGTGCTCAGAAATGGAGTGTCCCTGCCATTTGGGCTCACAGCACATGCTTGAATGTGTAGGGGGAAGGCGGTGAGGGGTCAGCACCATGGACAGAGTCCTCGCCCACCAGGGAGCCCCTGGAGGCAGACCTGCAGGCCTACCCTGGGTGTGGAAGATCAGGACTTGAGTTGTTGGCTTGGAAGATCTGCCACGATGAACTTGTGTAATAACAGGAGTTGGGGGTGGAAGTGCTGCTCTGGGGATCAAAGGAGGCTGGGGTAGATGATCATTGAGCTCCATTCCTGTCCAGAATTAGTATGCCCAGCTCAAACACCCATTTGCCTTTTCCCTGACAGAGGGCTCTGTTTTCATTAAATAAAAATAATCTCTTTGCATCTATAAAGACAGTTACAATTAAAAAAATACTATCCACATTTTGTTTGTTGTCAGTTCCTAACCATGGCACTGTGAGATGGGTAGAGCCTGCACTGATTTTAGAGATGAGGAACTTGAGGCCCAGGTGCTTGTCCAAGGTCACTCAGAGAATCAGGAGCAGGACTAGAATCAAGTTCAGGTCTTATCTGAAGGCATCCTCTCCTAAAACAATGAGAGGACGGAGGCGGGGTTGGCAGCAAAGCTGGTTTAAGACATAACTGTCTTCTAAGCTTCCAGAATGGGGAGTTTCACATCAGTAATGGAAAGCTGCTGCCAGAGGTGTCTTTCTAATACACAGATTTCATCATGTCACTCCTCTGCTTTAAAGCCTTTTAAGGGCTCCCCCGTGGCCTGCAGGATAAAGTAAAAAGTCATAGTAAGATGTTCAAAGCCCTTCATAGTCTGACCCCAACCTCTCTCTCCAGCTAAAACACCCAACACTCCGTCTCAGCAGCCTTGCTTCCAGTCCTGGGAAAGCAGTTATTGCTCCGCACAGATCTCTTCGGTGGCTCGGGGCTGCTGCATGCACTGTCCTTACTGCCTAGAAGGCTCTCCCACCCCTCCCTGCCTTGGGTAGATGATGAGGGAGCTATGGCTCATCATGAAAATTCACTGCCAAAGTGACACCCCCTTTGCCGCTCTTGCCTGTCTGCCAGGCAGTTTCGCATTCTGCTCTGTGTTTCCACAAGGCTTTGTTCTTAGCTCAATTATCACATTGATCACACTGTACTCTAATTATTTGGGCACATTACTTTCTTCCAAACTAAGCTGTGAGCACCTCCAGGGCAGGGGCTCCAGCTGATTCATCTCCATTTACCCTGCCTGTGCTGAGATGCAAATGTTCACAGGGAAGACTGTGGAATGAGAGTGTGGGACCAGGAAAGTGAGCTTACAAAGTTAAAATTGTGACAGAGGACCCTAGTCGTTAATGAGGTGGTTGTGGAACGCTTGGAGGAATCTGGAATCTGTGGGGCCAATGGGAGAAGCTCCTAATGCCAGCGGAGACCATCAGCTCTCAGAACCGTCGAACTTGGGACTGGCCCCAAGACTCAGGGCCTGAGCTTCCCAAGTTAGGAACTGTGACCCCAGTGGTGCATTCCATCTTCCAGTCCTCAGAATGTCTCTATCTGTCGGGGTGGGATTTATTGCATCCCTCATCCCATTGCGTGTTTTCTTGCCATGACATCTCAACATTTGTGGCAATCTTAGGGTTGGATAAGATTCATCCAATAACTTAACAACCTTTACTGAACACACTTGCTGAGCCAGGAGTGGGGAGTTCTGAGATGAACAAACAAGCCACAGCTTGCTCCTTGACAGAGAACACCCCAGGGTGAGGAACATGAATGCTGACAGCCCACGTGAAAGAGGCAGGCTGGGCGGACGATGAGCACGCGAGACCAGGGCAAGTTTAGGGGAGTTAGGAAAAGCCCCCATGGGGAATGACATGTATCTGAGGCTCAGGGCCCACGGGGGCCAGGACAGGGAGCTGTGTGACACTCATGCAGCAGCTCTCGTCCCCCAGGACGGTTTATTCTTTGCGGCCTTCCAGGCTTCTTTAAGGATGCAGTGACGCTCCCATCATCTATGGCTCTAACCAGACAGTAAGCCGTTGAAGTCGCCTCTTCCTTTAAGGAAGTTCTAAAAAGCACACTTGGCTGAGGGTGGGGGCAAGCAGGGGAGCTGGGTTCCAACCAGCTTGTTAAACAGCCTCCACTGCCTCTGCGGCCTGATTCCCATCACTTTATAAACGTCACGCCTTAACGCCTTCACCATGACAAGACTGGCTGCTAATGGGTGTGTAATTGGGGGGATAATATAAAATCTGTTAGGAATTCAGGCTCTGGGTGTGCTACCAGCTGGAAGAGTGTGCTGCCCCTGGTGCTCTGCTGCCCTGAAGACCTGCAACCCCTGCCCGCAAAGACTATAATCACCACCTGCATGTGTAGGGTCGGGTGGAGTTGATCCCATTGTATATGTGTGCATATTTTAATGTTTCCCAAAGTGCTTCATGTGTAATTTTTCCAGATCTGATCCTCACAGTCTTTTAGGTGAGTAGGTCATGTGTTATTATTTCCATTTCATGAATAATGGAACTGAAGCTTGGAAAGATATGGGAACTTGGCCAGAAAGAGGGGCCTGAGCGGGTTTCTCTCCTGCTGACAATTTCCATCACTATCCTCTGCATCAAGCTATGACTGTGCAGCGTGACCTGGGCCTGGAGTCCAGACTTCCCTGGAGGTGAGACTGAGCCTCTAGGAACTTGCTTACCTAACGATTCCTTTGGAAGTGAGGCCGCACGTCAAGGGTGGGGACTCTGCTCCTGGGGTTGAGCTTGGCACTCCCAGGACACAGCTTAGAGTTCAGCAGGGGCTCCAGGAGTCTCTGCAGATCAACGGCACCCCAAGGAATGGGAGATCCAGATTCCTCCCAGTCCCAGAGCTCCCCTGACCGACCTGTGGGCCTCAGTTCCTCCATCGGTAGAATAGAGATGTTGGACTGGGAGACCCAAGAGAGTTCCCACCACTTCAGAAAGACATGAGTTCACATGCCGGCTCCTCCAGGAATTGTCGGGCAGCCTCAGGAAGGTTACTTAATATCCTGAGCCTCAGCTTCCCCCCTCCAAATGATGGAGGGCACGGAATGTTCCCCCTTTGCAGCTGAGAGATTTTGATAACATGGTACACGGTATAGAAATTGTTTAACACAAGGCCTGATGCCCTGAAAGTGTTTGGCAATTTTCAACTACTTTTAGCCTAAAGCAACCACACAGGAAGGCACGCCACACCCTATCTTAGAGAAACTCTCAACTCCAGGATCCAGCCTGTCCATTCCTGCCCACTGCCTCTGTGCTGGCACTCTGAGGGACATGCGGATAAATGACGTCTCAGGCAACCACAGCCTCCGTGGGAGATAAGTTGCATCCACAGGTAACCTCACCATCCCCCCACCCGGCTCCCTCAACAGCTCGCCGGGGCTGGAAAGGGAAACATAGAGATGAAGGAGAAAGGGTGGGGAGGGAGATGTGAGGCCATAACCATTTTGCAAAAGAAGATGATTCGAGTAGAATGCGGTACTAATTTAAATCCCGAAATGACTGATGGATTTTCCGTGGTGTTTTATTAATCAGCCTCAGATAGAGCACAATTTGCAAATTTCATGTGGCAGCTATTAAACATTTTCTCCTACGTAAGTAAATGAAAGGGATTTACTAATTCCAGCAGACGCTTCATGAATTGGTAATGGAAGCAAGCCCCCAAACACCGGCAGACATATTGAAGTTGCTCAAAATGCAATGCCGCGCTCAGATTGCCGCTAAATTGATTGAATCCCCAGCACGCATTCTGAGCCGCCGAAGAATTGATAAATATTGATACAGCAGTGGAGGGCAGTGACTGTTGCGAGACGAGTCCGGTTAGTGTTTACGGCGTCCCTCCTCCTGGAGGGAGACACGTGGGTAGCTCTCCCCTTGGGCAGAAGATGTTCGTGCCTCTGGAGTCTTCTTTCTTTTCTGTCCTCTCATCATTTCCAGGCCAATCTTCTGCAAAAGTCCCACTCTTGGGGTTATCTTCTTGTGCTGATAATTATGCCTCCCACCTCACGCCTCACAACGAAGGTTTACTGATGGCAATTCAGCCAGGTCCATGGGTGAAGATCATCATCCCCACATGCCGAGGGAGGAACTGGAAACCTGAGGGAGTAAAGTGCTGTGTCTAGGCCATCGGGCTAGGGCAGAAGTGCAAAAGAGGCAAGGGACAAGAGTGCAAAAACTGCAAGAGACAGACCCACCCACACACCTGCAGAGAGACCCCTGTGAGCCTCAAACCTTTGGGATAATGGAGAACACTTACCTGGTGTCCAGGAGGCCACACTGTATAACCAACTGCCTGCTCATACTCCTCTCTGGGCTTCTGTTTACACACTTATAAAATGAGACCCTTGGAATGAGGCCCACCCCAGCAGAAAGGGCTTAAGCACATGCATTTCTCTCCCTAGAGGAAGACTTTGGTAGAAAGGATGTGCAGGAATAAGTGGATGAGGCATGGATGGATGAGCCTGGGGGGAGCTGCTTGTAGTTTTTCAGTAAGGGGAGCCGTGCACTCCTGGCAGAATCTTCCCAATGCCATGGAGGCCACACTGTGGGACCTGACATGGATTTCCTGTGCTCTCTTTCATTCCTTAGCCTCGATTGGTTTCAATCCCATCGAATCCATGTCTACCCTTTTCCTTCATTTCTTTAGCACTTGCCGTGTGCCGGTTCTGAGGACGCCATGCGGAATGGAACAGGCTGTTCTCCAGAGTCAACAAGGGGGGAAGCTTGTCACAGATAACACAGGAAGACACAGCTTCCACCCCATGCAACTCCAGCTTGTCCCAGTTCTCATGATTCAGATCACAATTTCCTGTCAAGTTTAGCCACTTTCAATATAATGCTTATACGCCATCTTTTCCTTCCTGAACAACTCCTGCAGAACCATCAACGCCTCATTCAAGGGCTGCCTGCACTGTAAAACCTGTGCCACCTCCTCCACTCCACTCCACCCATTTTTACTTCCAGCCCCCAATGCACCTCCCAGGGTCTCCCTGGTGCATGGTGACAGGACATGGCTTGGTCATCACCACAGAGTCCCCAGGCACTGAGCACTTCCTGGCCACAGTGAGTGGATGTTTGCTGACTGAATACTTTTTCTTATAAGGTCTGACAGGAGAAAAGACTAAGAAAAGAAAGCAATATCCACCCAGCCTCTGGCCCCTGTAGTTACAGCAAACACGAAACTTAGCCCAGCTCCTTAGCCAGATCAGTGTAAATCCTGTTTACCTCTGTTCCTGTTATCTAATACGCTAGGCAAGGCTTCCCACAAAACATGACAAAGCACTGAAAAAAATACAAACTGAAGTGACAGTCATTAGAACCAGACTCAGATATGACACAGACGTTAGAATTATCAGATGGGGAATTTAAAATAACTATAATGAATATGTTAAAGTTTCCAATGGAAAAAGTAGACCACATGAAAGAGCAGATGACTAGTGTAAGCCAAGAGATGGAAACTGTAAGAACAAAACAATAGGAAACACCAGAGATTGAAAACATGGTGGCCGGGCTTGCTGGCTCACACCTGTAATCCCAGCACTTCAGGAGGCCGAGGAGGGTGGATCACCTGAGGTCAGGAGTTTGAGACTAGACAGGGTCTACTAAAAATACAAAAAATTAGCTGGGCATGGTGGTGGGCACTTGTGATCCCCGCTACTCAGGAGGTTGATGCAGGAGAATCGCTTGAACCCGGGAGGCAGAGTTGCAGTGAGCCAAGATTGCGCCATTGCACTCCATCCTGGGAGACCAGAGAGAGATTCTGTCTTGGGGAAACAAAAAAGCATGGCAACAGGAACAGAGCATGCCCTCCACAGACTCAGAGACCGGGAGACTTGAGAATTAGTGAGATTAGCTCCATAGAAATCACAGAGAAAAAAGAAAAAAAAAACATACACACGATTTACCGAAAACAGAACAGAACATCCGAGAACGGTGGGACATGGCCAGAAGCTATAGAAGGTGTAATACGTGTGATTAGAATACCAAGAGAAGGGAGAACACAGCAGAAGAAATATTTGAGGTGACAATGACCAAGAGTTTTCACAAACTAGTGGTAGACACAGAACTACAGATCCAAGAAGATCAGAGAACAGCTGGCAGGATAGATGCCCACCCAAAACAGTCACAGGCGCCGGGGAGAGACCAGGGCAGTGTGGACTCCCAGCACCAGGGCCAAGCTCTCCCTCACCTGCACAACCACCTCGTGGCCATAACTTGCAGGCCACTGGAGTGGTCTCCTCGGAGCTACTGAGCTCAGACTCCGTCCGGTGGGCCCAGTGACTGGGCACGTTGCTGGCGACCCGGCCACTGGAGGAATGCCCAAGGGTGTGCCATCTGCTGGGATGCCTGGTGGTGGCAAACAGACGCTGTGCTGGTCGGGAGTTTGGTCTGCATGGCACGGCTGGCTCATGCAGCAAAGGGGAATTTATCGCGCAGATTTGGGGCAGCTCAGGAGTCCCCAGGAAGGCCGAGACACAGGAGTTAAGGGAGCGGTGCGGCCAGACCCGTCACTCAGATCCCCGCACCAGGCCAGTGAAGAGGAGCCCCGCTGTCCCACCCCTGACCACAGACTCCCCACGTGGCTCTGCAGCTCCCCTCGGGCCATCACGGTGTGCCCACACAGTGAAGAGGTCTCTCCTCCCCTGCCCCTGGGGCATCTGAGGTTCCATGTTCCGGTCCCATCATCCAGGTCAGCAGGGAAGGCAGCGCTGGGGTCTTATCAGCTTTGTTATTGGAAAGCAGTGTCTGCCAACCAGGCCCATCAGTTGAGGAACGCCCCAAATATCCGGAGGTGGCTCCATGCTGGGCGGCCCACGATGGCATCAGCCTCCATGGTTCCCAGGAGAGAGGAAGGAACTGTGTTCACGCCGCCTCCCCAGCTCCCCTTTAAAGCAGCTGTGGAGGTGGCGAAATGAATAACCTGCACAAAAGTGCAAAAAAGAGCCTCAGATCTAAAGTTTGAAGTGAAGGATTGCACCGTCCCTTTTCCAGAACTGCTGGAGGATGACCATGCATTTTGCAGTAGCCCAAATAGGACACAGTCCCGCAGATTCCCTCGTTGGTCCTCACAATCACCCTGGGGATCACCCACACATCTGCATCTCACAGATGAGGGTCTTGGGGGTCAGGGATGAGGGTGCTGGGGGTCAGATGAGGGTGCTGGGGGTCAGGGGATGAGGGTGCTGGGGGTCAGGGGATGAGGGTGCTGGGGGTCGGGGGTGAGGGTGCTGGGGGTCAGGGGATGAGGGTGCTGGGGGTCAGGGAGATGAGGGTGCTGGGGGTCAGGGGATGAGGGTGCTGGGGGTCAGGGGATGAGGGTGCTGGGGGTCAGGGTGTGAGGGTGCTGGGGGTCAGGGGATGAGGGTGCTGGGGGTCAGATGAGGGTGCTGGGGGTCAGGGGATGAGGGTGCTGGGGGTCAGGGGATGAGGGTGCTGGGGGTCGGGGGTGAGGGTGCTGGGGGTCAGGGGATGAGGGTGCTGGGGGTCAGGGAGATGAGGGTGCTGGGGGTCAGGGAGATGAGGGTGCTGGAGGTCAGGGGATGAGGGTGCTGGGGGTCAGATGAGGGTGCTGGGGGTCAGGGGATGAGGGTGCTGGGGGTCAGGGGATGAGGGTGCTGGGGGTCGGGGGTGAGGGTGCTGGAGGTCAGGGGATGAGGGTGCTGGGGGTCAGGGAGATGAGGGTGCTGGGGGTCAGGGGATGAGGGTGCTGGAGGTCAGGGGATGAGGGTGCTGGGGGTCAGGGAGATGAGGGTGCTGGGGGTCAGGGATGAGGGTGCTGGGGGTCAGGGTATGAGGGTGCTGGGGGTCAGCGGATGAGGGTGCTGGGGGTCAGGGGATGAGGGTGCTGGGGGTCAGGGAGTGAGGGTGCTGGGGGTCAGGGGATGAGGGTGCTGGGGGTCAGGGAGATGAGGGTGCTGGGGGTCAGGGAGATGAGGGTGCTGGGGGTCAGGGATGAGGGTGCTGGGGGTCAGGGGTGGGTGTGCTGGGGGTCAGGGGTGAGGGTGCTGGGGGTCAGGGTATGAGGGTGCTGGGGGTCAGCGGATGAGGGTGCTGGGGGTCAGGGTATGAGGGTGCTGGGGGTCAGGGAGTGAGGGTGCAGGGGGTCAGGAGATGAGGGTGCTGGGGGTCAGGGGTGGGGGTGCTGGGGGTCAGGGGTGAGGGTTCTGGGGGTCAGGAGATGAGGGTGCTGGGGGTCAGGGAGATGGATATGGTGGCAGGCTCTGCCCAGGGAGTCTGCTTGGGGCTGCGACCGGGTATGTGTCCTGTTTGCGTTGTCCCTGGCCTTTGAGACACCAACTTTCTGGAGCAATTGGACTGGGCTGGGAAGGGTGGGGATGGCTGCAGAGATGGGGCCTCTGTTCCCCCAAGAGGCAGCTCTGTGTTCTATTAAACTTTGTTGGCTGTAACATTTTGCACTGAGAGAGCTCTCTCCGCCAAACATCACCCAGACTCATGCATTATTTACCAGCTAATATCACAAGAGCGATGTATACAGACCAGCCCTCCCCGCCCTCCCCGCCCTCCCCGCCCTGGAGGCACCGTGAGCCCTGCCAGCTCCACTTGTACTACACGCCTGGGTCAGCCACGCCACCTCTGGCACCACCGACGCGCTTATGCCTGACTTCTGTGGCCAAAACAGGGAGTAACTGGCAGAACAAAGACTCAGTTCTTCCCAGCTTGTCCAGCTAAGATGAAGAATGGAGAAGGAGCCTTGTTATTCACTAAATTAAATCCCAGGGCTCCCTCTGCCCTTCAAAGCCTCTCTCCCCTGAGTCAAACCCCAAATTTGATTGCATCTTCCCTGTCAAGCACTCTCCGTTTCTGGGAAGGATAAGCCGATTTGCTCAGTGTTCTGGCACATGCTCCGCTCAATTCCGCACCCTTTTTATCCTCACACTTCCTCCTGCCATCTCCTTTCTCTTCCACCTATTAGCTCTAGCCGTCCTTAAATACTGTCCACATCCACTTGTGCTTGTCCCTCATTCAGGAACCTCTTCTAGGGGAGGAAATCTCGGAAGGGGTTGCTGGGGCTCATCTGCTGTCAGTGAGGAGCGGCCAGGGCACTGGTGTGGGAGGTACTGAAGAGGCAGCTCAAAGGGCATGCAGAGTAGCTGTGGACAGAGGGAACAGACACCCGGAATGTCGGTCTGGGAGAAAGGTTGTGTTGCACCACTTATGGAACTAAGGCAACTGTTGTGCATGAATGTATTCAATATTGACAAGGTTAGGAAGCCGATGGATGTTGTACTGAAGGGCCTGTGGCTCATGGGAGCACCCGTGAGAAACACCTGCGTCAAGGATAGGTGAGAAGGAGCCATGTTTGTATGGAAAGCTTGGGGCCAGGAGAAGGGATGAGGTCTTCAAAATAGACCTTATAACGGGGGAAGAGAAGGCCAACCAAATAACTGCCTCCTCCTCCCCAACATGCCGACGATGTGAGAATAAATAGGACACACTACAGGAGTCTGGAAGAGTAGGAACATCCCCAGATGACAAACTCTTGAAGTCACTGGAAGCCACTGTTCTCATTTTCAGGATGGAGATAAGAATGGCTGCATTGCCTTCGGGCAGAGCCATTGTGGGCGTGCTCTCTGACAGAGGGGAGGAAAACTCATCCACGCAGCCTTGGAGGTTGGGTGGTGTTATTCACAAAACTCGTTTCCATTGGCCTCCCTTCAAGACTCTGTCCCTGAAAGCATGTGTGGGTTGACCCTGTTTACAGGAATATGTTCTCTACCTGAGGGCAGCAGGTACCGCCGCTGCACAGACCTGGCCTTCTGGCTCTGTGTCCCTGTCACTTTTCTAACACTGCCGAGGGCCAGCTCAATTCTCTGCTTCCTCCAGCCCCTCTGCCCTCCCTATGGGATCATCATTGATCACCGGGGCTTGAAACGCTTCCCTCCTTTGTCCTCCAGCAATCTTCTCTCCAATTCCACCTCCCACCAGAGCTTTACCTCCTTTGCCTGCCCTCTCCGCTGATGACATTCCACAGCTCTGGCCCGGGGCTCTCTGCTCAGCCCCTTCAGCTCCCCACCGAGGGTCTCAGCCACTGCTGTGTCTCTCATGTCATGACCACCTCTGCATCCAAGAACATTCAAGCTTCTGCATCCATGCCTGGCCTCCTTTTGTGCTCTCATCTTTCTCCATGCAGGTGCTCTTCAGAGTAATTAAAATAATGAGCATCGGCTGGGAGCGGTGACTCATGCCTATAATCCCAGCACTTTGGGATGCCGAGGCGGGCAGATCACCTGAGGTCAAGAGTTCAAGACCAGCCTGGCCAACATGGTGAAACCCCGTCTCTACTAAAAATACAAAAATTAGCTGGGCGTGGTGGCAGACACCTGTAATTCCAGTTACTCTTGAGGCTAGGGCAGAAGAATCGCTTGAACCCGGGAGGCGGAGGTTGCAGTGAGCCGAGATTACACCATTGCACTCCAGCCTGGGCAACAAGAGCAAAACTCCATCTCAAAAAAAAAAGTGTATATATATATATATACGCATCATGTTCTCTTTCAAGCTAACACTGCTGCAGGATTATGTGAGAAAGGTGCCATCTGGTTTCCAGTCGCCAGTCTCTAAAGCCTGCAATTGCCCTTGACTCTGCCTTCTCCCACTCTGGAAAACCCCACTGAGTGTGTAAGACCCCCGCCTTGCCTCCACCACCACTGGCTGGCTTCTTGCTCTGAGCCTGATACCGTGCCTGGCTCTGGGAATGGAAATCTGAAAGAGACACAGTCCTTGTTCCGAAGCAGAGCTCCCAACAGCAGTGCTGGAGTGGGGATGACTCCATTTCCTACTAGACTAACCACCTAACTTGGGCTGGTCGACTCTGGTTGAGAACAATGTGGAATGTTGACAACATGCTGGACAGTTATTATTTCATGATGTGCTGAGTCCTGAACCATGTTGGGGAGGTGCTGCCCTACCGGAGCTTGGGTCCATTTGAAAGAGAAAAGCATAAACTTGAAAAGTCTAAATTCTGTGCTGCCTTTTCTATTTTCAGTTCCAGCTCCCTGGACCAGAATTCTGCCAGGTCACACCCGAGTCTCTTCTGCAGTCTCCTGGTTGTCCTTCCTACATTCAGTCTTTGGTACCCCATTGTGTCCTCAATCTGGTGTGTGGCAAACAAGTCTGGGCAAGGTGTCCTGAGCATTGTCATCTCAGCTGTGCCCCAGGACCTCAAGGGCTTGAATAAGTGGATTCCCAACTCAAGTATGTGCCCGATATGCCCTCCATCTCTCCCTGACTTTCTGGTCTCTTCCTACTCTGCTCATCTGGAAGCCCCGCTGACTACCTGAATGTGGTTCTCACTGCTTGCTCACAAGGCTTGGACTTTCCTGCCTTGGCCCCTTCTTGTGCAGTTCTATTCATGAGGAAACCTGTGCCTCCCTTATTTCTGTCCCCAAAGCCCTTTTGGTCTCTCAATAGCTACCCCACAAGGCTAAGAAGTTTTTATGCAGATGGCACCTTAAGTGACTTCTCAAAATATCCCAGATTTCCTGAGGTGTGATGATTTACATATTGTGACCCCCATCTTTTTTTTTGAGATGGAATCTCGCTCTGTCACCCAGGCTGGAGTGCAGTGGTACTATCTCAGCTCACTGCAACCTCTGCCTCCCAGGTTCAAGTGATTCTCCTGCCTCAGCCTCCTGACTAGCTGGGGTTACAGGCACACGGCACCACGCCTGGCTAATTTCTGTATTTTTAGTAGAGACGGGGTTTCACCATATTGGTCAGGCTGGTCTCAAACTCCTGACCTCGTGATCTGACCTCCTCGGCATCCCAAAGTGCTGGGATTACAAGGGGAAGCCACTGCACCCGGCCCCTTTTTACAACATGTTTTGGATAGTGTCAGTGAAAAGCATCACAGTAGTGATGATGGTATTGATGATGGTGTTGATAATGGTGATGATGATGGTGATGATGGCAGTGATGATGGTGATAATGATGATGGTAATGGCAATAATGGCAGTGATGATGGTGATGATGGTGATGATAGTGGTGATGATGGTGATGATAGTAATGATGATGGTTATGATGGTCATGATGTTGGTAATGATGGCAGTGATGATGGTGATGATGATGATGATAGTAATGATGATGGTGATGATGGTTATGATGGTCATGATGTTGGTAATGATGGCAGTGATGATGGCGATAATGGTGATGATAGTAATGATGGTGGTGATGATGGTTATGATGGTCATGATGTTGGTAATGATGGCAGTGATTAAGGTGATGATGATGGTAATGCTGATAATGGCAGTGATGATGGTGTTGATGATGGTGATGATGATGGTGATGATGGTAATGATGATGGTGATGATGGTAGTGATGATGGTGATGATGATGGTGATGATGGTAATGATGATGGTGATGATGGTAGTGATGATGGTGATGATGGCAGTGATGATGGTTATGATGGTCATGATGTTGGTAATGATGGCAGTGATGATGGTGATGATGATGATGGTAATGGAGATAATGGCAGTGATGATGGTGATGATGATGGTGATGATAGTGGTGATGATGAAGGCGGTGATAGTAAGAGGCAGCAGCTGCTGTGTCTGCAGTTCCAGACCTTGCCCGCCCCTCTGGAAAGCCCATATGTTAACGTTCTTGGAGACCTCCTGAAGGAGTAAGAGCACATCAGGGGATTAATAGCCACAAATAAGCTAAATGCTTCTCCTCAAATGGCATCTAATTATCTCATTAAGAGAGGACCAAGATGGAGGGTTAACTAATTGTAAACAGATTTTCCATTCTCTCCTCTCTTCCCCACACTTCCTCCCCAACACACACAAACACACATGCACACACACTCTGCCTTCTTTCCACTCTAGCCACAAGCAAATGATAATGACTTGTTGGAAATTACCAAGCTGTTAAGGCAGTGCTCCTGGAATTAAGGGGGATGAGGCAAGGGCCCAGCTGGAGGCTGCACAGAGGAGTCTCCAGTGTCTGCTCCGCACATCTGGGTGCTTGTTGCAGGCTCCCTCTCTGCCTCCTGAGGCTGAAGATGGCACTGGGATTTCTTCAATGTGAAGATGAGCATTCTGAGCGGCAATGTTGGAGGCCTGGGGCTCCCATGGCACCCTCTGCAGGACGCCCACCCTACGAGTACTGAAACAATGCTCAGTGAAGTGATGCAGAGTCCTCCTTAGAGGTCATCTATGAATCCCCGGGGCCCTCTGTGCTTCTTATGGCCCTGCAGAGGTCACCTACAGCGAGAGGTTTCCCTGGACTCATAGGGACTGTTTGCTGTTAGCAGCATCCTGTGGTGATGGTTTATGGAGAACAGTATGGCCTGGGGCTGCTGCTGTTGGTACAGAGGGGACTGCCCTGCCTGCCATGGGCCTGGCCTTGTGTCTTCCCAACTCTCACTCCAGCCGCAGCAGAGGCTCCACGAGGGCCAGCTTCCCGGCACTTTGCCTGTCCTGCTGTGAATGTCTCATGTCTTCTGTCCTGGCATTATGGGTGGACATGTGTGCTCCCAAAATTCATATCTGGACATCCTAATCCCCAATACCTCAGAAAGTAACCCTATTTAAAAATAGAGTCTTTGAAGATGTAATTAATTAATTCAAGATGGAGTCATTGGGGTGACCAATGTGACTGTGTCCTTATGAAAAGGGAGACTTGGAAACAGGCGCACACCTGGGGAGAGCGCTGCATGAAGGTGAGGACTGTCCTCTGCAAGCCAAGGAGGCAGGCCTGGAATGGATCCTTCCCTCTGGCCCTCAGAAGGACCCAACCCGCCAACGCCTTGATGCTGACTTCCAGAGCCAAGAGGCTGCCCAGCGTGGGGCACTCTGTTTCAGCAACCCTGAGACCTCAGACACCTGCCAGACTGGCGGGGATGCATGAGCTGGAGGAGTGCGGGCATGAACACCCCACAGGGCAACCCGTGCCCCTGGGGACAGAGAACCAGTGTGCACATGTGCCCCCCACCCCTCGGTGGACGACTCTGAGGCACGCTGGGGGGGCTCCTCCCAGGCCCCAGCTGGATGGAACCCCACTGTCCACACCAGCACCCAGCTCTGCAGCACCCCTCAACTTGGCCCACCTCGTTTCCCTGCTCCTGGCTCCAGGCCACCCACTCCTGCTCCTGAGAAAGCTGCCTCAGAAAACTCTGCATTCAAGCCACGGTCTCAGGCCCTGCTTTCTAGAGTGATACAGGCTGAGACGTGCGGTGCCGAACAACTGACTCAGAAAAGGGAGCCCTGTCTTGTGATTTTGTCAGCTCAAGGAGGTGAGGGAGGGATCTTTGATTGCAAGCTGCCATGGGGTTGCGTGGCCCCAGGCACGCAGCTGTGTTTCTGTTGCTCGTGCTGGCGATGGCAAGTTCTTTTCTGTCCTGATTGCGGCGAGGTACTTTGGAAATATGGGCCAAGCAGGAACCAGGGAGGATCTGTATTCATATGGCCTTGCAGCCACGCCCTGGATGGGTCTCCCTGCAGAGGATACCAAAGAAATACACTGTTTCAGTCCGATGCCTCAGTGAGACCCTTTCCTGGGGCCCTGCACAGGACATGGAAAGGAAGGAGGGAGGGTGCTCTGATATGCTTTGGGGGTAACTTTGACTTGCAGGTGGGAGAAGATTTGCTGCATTAAATTTTTTAAACAAATTTGGTGTATTCTTATATTGCTGAAAATATATTGTTTTGACTCTTATATTTGCCAGATTGCAAGATACACCATTGATTTCATAACAGCTTGTTGAAGGCAAAAGAGAAACACTCAGTTTAACACACACATAATGTCTTTCCCTATGAGAGTCTACATCCAACCTCACTGCTTCTCTTTAATAGCAAAGTTGGAGTCCGTGTTTTTTTTCACAGCCAGAATCTAGGGCATCTTCTCACATTCTCCTGGCCTGGCCAATGGCAGTTATTCACAGAATTAAGGAGGCTGCTTTTCATACGGACTTGACTTTTTTTGGCACATTTAGACATGATGCGTAATTTGATGACTATGAAAGATGGCTAGGGTTTCTCCTAAACCTCACGTTTGGTTAAACCTAAGTCCCCTTTCCCCTCCACTGAAAAATAGGTGCCACATGGAAACACACAATGACCCAGCAGCAGACCTTTAGGGCAGAGCAGCTGGAGGGTCTGAGGCTTCCTGTATTGAGGGTCTCTTGCAGTGTGACAGATGACCACGAACAGGGTGGCTTAGAGCAACACGGATTTATTATTTCCTGGTTTACACGGATCAGAGATCTATGCAGAGGGTAGGCGGGTGTCCCGCCCGGGTCTCACAGGCTGCAGTCCTGCTGTCTGTCAGACTGTGCTCCCATCTGGACTCCAGGTCCATGTTCAGGCTCACTCATGGTGTTGGTGGAATTCAGTGACTGAGGTCCCCCGGGACACCTCCAAAGACAATTCGCAACCAGGCTCCTTCCTTCCCTCCATGCTGGCCAGGAAGGCTCCCTCTGTGCACCAGAGTGGAGTCTTCAGTAACGTTGCATAGTCATGGGAGTGGCTCCCACACCGTTTGCCACATAACAGAATCTATCCATCATTCACACTCGAGGGAAAGGATTATACTGGACAGACACACAGATAGGGGAGGGGATCTTGGAGGTCATCCTGAAATTCTGCCAACCACACTTCCCTTCTGCACTGCCAGGCTCTCCGGGGTGGACACGGGCTTGGAGTGGGGTGGTCTTGTACTGTGTTTTTCTGCTGTTTGCACCCTGAGAGTCTGCACGGTGGAAGCCCAGGCACAGGCTGGCCTACAGAGAGTAAGGGACCCAGGCCATCCTCCTTCCCCTAGGATACACGCTGCACGTCGCCAGCCCTTGATCATGTGGCAGCCATTGGCTAGTGTCCTCTAAAGGCGGAAGGTGGGGATGGTTTCTGTAATTCTAAATGAAGATCTCAACTGTGGGCCATGCAATCGCTCCATGCCCTCTTCTTCTCCCACCAAATCTCAGCGTGAGTGCTGTGGCCATAAACTTCTCTGACCAAGGGCCTGAGAGCTGATTCTCTCCCCTTCAGAGACACAATTTACTGTGGCTACACAGAACCACCCCCTTTTCTCCTGTTCACGCATGTGAACAAGTGAGAGAAAAGGGGGTGGTTCTGTGCAGCCACAGCGAAACATAGTGTGGAAACTTCTTACAAAGCTAGACATGGTCTTACCATATTATCCAGCAATCATGCCCATGGCTATTTACCCAACTGATGTGAAAATTTATATCCACACAAAAAACTGCATGCGGATGTTGATAGCAGCTTTATTTACTCTCACCCAAAACTGGAAGCAACCAAAGTGTCCTTTAATAGGTGAGTGGATAAAGAAACGAACACTTCCATGCAATGGAATATGATTCAGCAATAAAAGGAATAGTTATCAAGCTGTGCAATGACATGCATAAATCCTACACGCGTATTGCTAAGTGAAAGAAGTCACTGAAAAGGAACTGCACATGAGTACTGTTCTCCAGTTGAAAAGTTGCCTCTCACAGGAATGTGGTTTAACAAATATGAAGCCCCTATTTGTGTATTCTGGGATTGCACAGCTAAGTGAGTGGATGCTGGGCGGTGGGAGCCTTTTTCTCAGTGCCAGAGAGGTAGTTCACAGATAAACAAGAGGAAGAGGCTAGAAGGATCCGTGTGGGCACGGGTTAGTGGAGGAGACATCAGTATGAGCTCGTGCCTGGTTTAATACAAATAAAGATGGATACACATAGAGATGTTTACATGTATACATACACAACTTCTTTGATACACAGCTATTTCCTTGCTCTGTTGGCTGAGAGGACCTAGAAGCAATGACACCCCAGTAGCAGTGAGCACACCTAGTGCCTTGATCTTGGTTTCTGCCATTCTCCAATTAAAAGATCCAGGGCTCCTGGGAGAAATGGCTCCTGGGGAGAAATGCCCCACTAGGTCTGGGGCAGGAAATAGACAAGATGAGGCTGGAGCATCTCACTGTGCCAGAAAGTAAGGAAGTGCTCCAACAAAACCCGATGACAGGGTGTGTCCCAGGGACACGGAAGCCAACGGAAAGCTCCCTGTGGCCAAAGTGGAACCATTTGAGCAAAGTGTAATAAATAATGTCGTAGCGGATTATAACCCAAAGTACAAAATCAATATGCGTGAGTCCACATCGATATAAATAAACTGTTGAATAAATGAGGAACAATAGTCAAAGCTCCTATGCCCCCAAATTCTAGATAATTTTCTAGATATGCTGCCTCAAGGAAATGGAGTATAACCCCCAACTCCTCGAGTGTGGGTTGTACATGGTGATTTCATTCCAAGGAATGTAGAATGGGAATGGGGTGTGGGGATGACAGGCAGAAACAACACAACATGCCCTCAGCCCAAGGACCAAGGTCAACATCCATCAGCCATCAATCACGTGGATAGCTTGTACCTGCCGTGGTCCGATGTTTGTGGCCTTCCCAAAATTCACAGATGCAGCTGTAACCCCCCAGGTGCTGGTTTAGGAGGCAGGACCTTTGGAAGGTGATTCCGTACTGAGGGTGGAGCCCTTGGGAGTGGGATGAGGATGAGTGGTCTTGGAAAAAGACCCCAGTGGGCTCCCTTACCCCTTCCATCATGTGAGGATGCAGCTGGACGGCACCATCTGAGAGAGCTTGTCCTGGATCTTGAACTTCCAGCCTCCGGCCTCCAGAACTCTGAGGAATATATTTCAGTGGTTTTGAGCCTCCCAGGCCGTGGCATTTTGTTCCAGCAGCCCAAGCTGACTAAGACGTGGTCGCCCTTGGTATGATGTGATGAGAGGGGCATTTGCCTCTGTGGTCTTCCTCCCAAAACCCATAGCCCCAAACACATTCCAATCAAGGAAAACTACGAAATACCTGATCAGTACTCCTCAAACTGTCAAGGTTCTCAAAACCAAGGAAAGTCTGAGACACTGCCAGAGCCAAGAGGGTCCTGAAAAGACATGGAGGCTAAATGTGATGTGGTGTCCGGGTGGGATTCCGGAACACAAGAAGACATGAGGTCAAAAACAAGGGAAAGTTTAATAAAGCAGGGACTTCAATTCATAAGAGTGTATCAGCATTAGTTCATTAACTGTGACAAATACGTGATGCGAATGAAGATGTTAGTAACAGCAAGAGCCAAGAGTAGAGAGCATATGGGAACTCAGTAATATTCTCCCAACTTTTCTGTAAATCGGGTGGTATTCTAATCGTAAAGTTTTAGTTATGCATACACACACACACACACAAACACACGTGCACACACTGCTCCAAGACAGAGACAGAGCTGTGTTCGCCACCAGGCTGGCATTTCCCTTAGTTGGTAATGACCCAGCCTCGCAGGGGAAACTCCAGGAGCAGCAAGCAGGCAGGGATAAAGTGACTCACACACCTTCCCATGGCCCAGCAAGCTTGCCCACAGGTCACACCTGAGAGAACAGGGGCCTGGAGGAGACGTCAGTATGAACTCATGTCTAGTCTGATACATGTTAATACGTGTCTAGTTAAATACAGTTTAATACATGGCCGTGCAAAACACACAGGCAGAGATGTTCAGTGGAGCTTTATTCTCCCTCCCTCCCCCCACACCCCGCCAGCACCCTCGGGTCCAGGTGGCATTTCACCGCGAGATGTCTACTTGCTCCTGTGAGGCAGGCCCCTCAGTGAGCCCACCCCCACAAGCAGCAGGCCCTGCGTGTGCCAGCCACCGTCTGCCAAACTGCTTGGCGTCAGCTGGATGAGAGGCGCAGTGCACAGGAATCTTGGGCCTGCTTCTGCCCAGCCTAACTCCCCGGGGAAGCAGGCACAGAGTGTCCGGCTGCAGCACCGCTGGCCAGGGCACCGCTACCAATCCCTGCATGTCCCTTTGTCACGAAAAATGCTAACTTCAGGGCAGCCTTGGCCTGTGAGGTCAGAGGAAGGCAGAGGCAGGAAGGAGGCCCCGCCCATATCAGTAAGGTGGTCTTTCTTTGGTCATTTAAGAAAAATTCAAAGGAATATCGTTACCTACTAACACCTGTGTGTTTGGAATAGAGTTTTCCTATGTGCCTATTTACATTTTGTACTTTTCTGCATGTTGGAAATGTTTCACTTTTAAAAAGATGATTTTAACACAAAGGTGACTGTTAAGGAGTGTGGGTTCCCTTCTCAGTGCTGCTGCCTGTAATCCAGCCCTGGTGGAACTAGCCCCCAGCACAGGAGCTCCCAGCAGACGAGTGGGGCCGAGTGTGGAGCAGTGGGCCCGTGGGAAGGATGACAGGCAGAGGAGGAGGAGGCAGCCCTATTGAGAGGTCCAGCAGGGGCCCCCTGGCCCCAGCATCCCAAATCCAGACCAAGTAGAAACCAGGCCTGGACCTGGAGCCAGAAAGAAGCAAAAACGGGACCAAGACCATTTGCCTGACCTTTCCTGCCCGCTTTATCTCCCAGGACTGAGACTCCACTCCTCTGCCATTTGCCCATATTTTTCAAAGGAATTTCTGTGATTAGATTATGGTGAGTGTCCTGGAGGAAATAAAGAGGCTGCTGTGGGGTGGACAGGGGAGAGCTCTATCAGGACCTGAGTCTGAGCGGAGAACTAAAAAAGAGAAAGGCCTAGTAACTTGGAAAATATATATATATTTTTTCAGGCAGAGAACAAAAGTTACAAAGGTCCTTGAGTCAGAACAGGGTTTGGTGAGCTCAAGGTTCACAACATAGCCCAGTGTTGCTGCAGCATCATCAGGACAGGAGGGGCTGGGGATAAAGAAGAAGAGGGCACAGGCTGAGTCCTGATCCTAATCACACACTGAGCCCTGACCCCACCCAGTCACAGACTGATCCCTGGTCACACACTGAGTCCTGACCCCAGTCATAGACTGAGCCTTGGTCACACACTGAGCCCTGACCCCAGTCACAGACTGAGCACTGGTCACATACTGAGCCCTGACCCCAGTCACAGACTGAGCCCTGATCCTCATAACATCCCAGATTCTGATCCCTGGTCATAGAGTGAGCCCTAATGTCTGGTTGCAGATTTATTCTTCATCACCGGTCATGGGCTGAGCCCTGAATCCTGGTCACACACTGAGCGTTTCTTGTACCTGGCTACAGAATGCTGCTTAGGCCAGGAAGGGGATCAGAAAGATGACTGTAGCTGGCTCTGCAATGAGAGATTCCACCCCTAGCCCCAAACACTGGGCAGGCGCACAGGCTGGCCTGTCCTGCACATGGCCTGGCTCCCCCTTAAGCAGGCCCATTAGTCACAGAGGAGGGTTGGGCCGCAGCACGAGGCAGCCGCGCCTGCGTGCATCTGCAAACCCACCAATTGGTCCACGATGCAATGCTAATTGCTCTCAGTGGTGCCTGGTGCTTTGTTAAAAATTTTTAATGTTGATTTTATTGAAAAACAGAAATAGCACAACATATGCTCTGAGCATCCTCCGCTCTAACCGGCACCCTGGATGGGCCCCTTTACAGCCCCTCCTGAGAGCCTGCAGGCGCTGATGAAGGCACGGCCCTCAGAGGCGTCTTATTTTCCTGCCATACTCCTGCTAGGCGTCCCTCAAAGGGCCAGGAGGCGCGGGGGCAGAGAAAGGTGGGGAGACGCAGGCCTGAGCTCTGTGTGGAGCCCGGGGCAAGGACTTCCAGGCAGGCCCACCTTCCTTCCTCCTTGGGGAGTGATGGCTCAGGCAGGAGTGATCTCTGGGAGCTTCGCCTGAGCCTTGAGCCTCTGGTGTGTCCGTCTGGGAGCGCAGGCACCAGGCGATGATGGTGACAGCCATATGGCTGCTGTCCATGCTGTCAATGGCATGATGATAAGGCCAGGGGAGCGGGGCTGGCGGCCACATGTGTGCTGTGATGTGTGAGGTGACCCATTGTCCACTCCGGGCAGATGCCTGCTGTGGACAGACCAGAGCCAGGCCTTCCAGGAAGGACCCAGAAAGCCAGCAGGACAGAGCACGGAGCCGCCTCTCCCTCCCTGGCTCTGGCCCTAGAGCCTGGACCTGCTGGTCCAGCCCTCCACCAGCGGACCCCGTCCATCCCTAGTCTCCCCACAACGAGTCGTTCTGTGTTTCCCACTCCGCATTCATAGTCCGACATGCCTGCTCCCTGTACCCACCTTCCCACCCAGACCCTCCAGCCGCAGTGAAGAGTGAGAACCACGGCCTGCCCAGCGCACTCCCCTGCCAATCAGCTGCCAGGGCCCTTGTCATGCTCCGGGATCTTGGCTCACCCACTTCCCCCTTGGCCCTGGGGCTGACCCACACTCCCATGTCAGCTGGTCATGCACCCCCACATGCACGGGTTGGCGTTGAGGGGTGACATGGCAAGGAGGATGGCCAGGCAAGGAGGGGTGGCCGCAGGTCCTCCTCTGTGGGGGTGCCTGTTCCCTCGTGCCTCCCTCAATTGTCCATCACACTCGCTGAAAGCGTCATCTAGATGCAGAGGGCCCAAAGGAACCTGGGTTCCCACCTCTCTCTTTGTCTCTGTTTCTCTCTCTCTCTGTCTCTATTTCCCTACATCTGCCTACCTACCTATCTATCTATCTACATATCATCTATTATCTATCTACCTATCTACTGTCTACCTACTTATCTACCTATCTATTATTACATCTATCATCTATCTATCTCATATTTATCTATCATCTATCATATCTATTTATCTATCATCTATCCATCTATCATCTATCATATCTATCCATCTATCATATCTATTATATCATATCTATCATCTATCATATTTATCTTATATTTATCTATTATCTATCATATCTATCTATTTATCTGTCATCTATCCATGTATCATATCCATCTATCTATCTATCATCAGGAAGGAGGGGTGCAGTGGAGAAGACCCTTCAGCCCAAGGTGTGGTGGCGTCCATGGGGTCAGGATGGCCTCTCTTGGGGGTGTTGCATGAGCCAAGGGCTGAGACGTGACAGATAGAGAGGACGGCAAAGGCAAGGCCGCCAGGACCAGCAAGCAGGGAGGCAGGGATGGAGGAAGGGAAGGGAGGACCCCACAGAGCACCTGAGGAGCCTGGAAAGTACGTGAGGGCATGGGTGATGGCGGGGTCAGGTGTAATGTGGGCTGTGGGAGGGTCACCTGGCCTTGTAGGGACAGTGGGGTTGTGGGGACAATAAGAGAGGCAGGTTTGACCTCCAGTGCCACCCCTGCTGAGTTGTGTGCAGGGGACACGTGGCTGACCCTACTCAGCCTCGGTGATCCGTGTGTGCCGTGCGCCCTCTTAGCTCTGGACACAGTGGACTCTGGGTGGGCTGACGTGTGACAGTGGCTGGGCCCCCGTGAGTCCTTGAGCCCTGCTCTGCCCAGCCACAGTCCTGTCACATGTTGGTTGACCAGGCTCTGGCCTCGTGACACCTGCTGGGCTTCCCCCAAGCAGGAGCCTTGAAGGAGCCGTGGAAAGTGGAAGGTGGAAAGTGGTGGCCAGCTGTGGCCCCTCCCTCAGCCCCTCCCCACTCCCCCACACACTCAGAGCAGCTCTTCCCCAGGCTCCATCCATCCCCGGGCTCTGGTCATCCACCCTGCAGCCTCCCCCACACTCCCAGGCCATAAGACCAGAAGGTTCAGTGTCTGCAGTAGCCAGGTGCCTTCCCGTTCCTCTCGCATCCCCCAAGCCCCGCTCTTCCCCTCTTCGCCTCTTGCCTGGACAGAGCTCCAGCCTGCTGAGTGAGCCCCTCTGGGACGAATCAGGCTGCCACTGTGGGCAGTTAACCCTGGCCTAGCCCAGGTACAGTCCTCCACCCAGCTCATGCTCAGAGACCCCAAGTCTGTCCCTGTTTAGAAGAAGGAAATTCAAGAAGAATAAAACCAAAACTCTCCAGTGCGCATTCAAAGCCCTTCACCAGCAGAGCCCATCCCTCCCCAGTCTCCCGACAATGAATCCTTCCATGTTTCCCGCTCCGCATTCAGAGTGTAATATGCCTGTTCCCTGCACCCCCTTCCCACCCAGACCCTCCAGCCACGGTGAAGGGTGAGAACCACAGCTGCCTCCTCACTCCCCTCCCCATCAGCTGCTCGGGGTGGGCTACAGAGGCCCTGGGCCAAGTCTCCTCATTCTGGCTCCCAGATAACCTTCAAGGACACCTCCCGGGTCCCACCAGGGCTATTGTATTGACCTCCCGCCTTCCTGCCGCCCAAGCCCCCAGGGCTGCCTGGAGACAGATGCAAGCTCACCTTTGACCTTGTGGCCCTTAGGCACCCACCCCGGAGGTTGAATGGAGTCTCACTGCCCTGTGCTCACTGAGCACAGTGTGTGAGGACCCGCACTCTAGCTCCCTCCCACCTGCCCCGCCTCGTCTCTCCAGGGCTCCCCTGCCTCCCCTGCCTTCCCACAGGAACCCCCTTCCCTTCCTTGGGTCATGGAATTTCTACCCACTCCTCAAGAGCCCTTTAAAATACTCCTCCTGAGAAGCCTCCCAGATCTGGCCATCCAGACAGTAGTGTGCCCCGCTGCAGCTGCTCTCCACTGTGGGCCACGGTCAGCTCGCTCCCACCTCCACTGGGGGGGCAGGGAGGCAGAATGACCTCCCTCTCTCTGCCAACCACAGAGCCCAGTGATAATCACAGGATTGACTGAATACCTGGGCATGATGCTGAGGGGCTGAGCCCACGTCTGCAGGGTGGGGAACCCAGCAGAGGGACGGTGGGGTAGGAACCAATAGTCCCCAGTGGCCACATGGGACCTCGCCCATGGGCAGGTCCCAGCCTTTCCAGGGCCAAAGACAGTCTCCCCCATACCCTGGTTTTACAGCATCCACAACGTGACCTTGAGAAAGCACAAGTGTGCCAACCCCACCCGCACCCCCACCACCCTCTCCTGTGAAACGGGAGCAAGACTGTCCAGCTCTAGCATCTCCACGCTGGTCCTGAGGCCAATCCTAATCACGATACTAAGCTGTGAGGCAAGCTCGAGCATCAGTGGCTACTGAGCCTTGCCCTGGTCAGGCCCCCAGACACACTCCTTCCACATGTGCTATTGTATTTCAGTACCTGGCACAGGAATGCCAAATAAATCCTAAAACCTCCTGATGACCTTCATTATGGACTCTGTGCCTCTGTGTCTGCAGTCCCGGCTTCTGGCAGGGCACCAGCCAGCCTTCTGCTGTGTGCACCCCTCCTCCCGCCTCCCATTCTGAAAGGTGCTAAGTCTGACAGGCCCTGACAGCTGAGCTGGGAAACCCAGACTGCAAGGGCTGTAAATTCACCAGGCTGCTCCCCTGCTGCTGCAGGGCCTGCCTGCTGCCTGCTCCCCTCCTCCAGAGCCCATTTCTCGGGGCCAGATGTAGCCATAAAGCATGAGCCCTCTGAGAGCCGCTGGCAGTGATTCCCTGTGCCACTGGATTCCCTGGCATCTCAGACCTGTCAGGGTGACCTGTACCAAGACCCACCGGGTAACCCTGGGGAAGGAGATTTCCTGCACACTGGACCAGCTGGGCATGCTCACACTGGGGCTGTGGAGAAGAGGGCAGAACTGCCTTTGAAATTCAGGATTCTGCAGCCTCAGCCTGCTGAAGCCACCCGCCCAGAGAAATTCTGCATACAGCCGAGTTCAGGGCCAATGAATGAGCCTGCACGGAGTCGCAGCCCAGGGAGAGATTGAAAGGCCCCATTTAATTGGAAACACCTGCTCTTCAATCTCGGCCGCACAGGCCTCAGAGAGGGAATTAGAAAGCCCAGTGCCCAGAGTGCATCTTAAGCAGCCGCTCCCCCAGCTCCAGCTACCCACACTCTACTCAAAACCTGTCACCTGGAGGAGGGAGGCGTGGAGAGGGTGGGGCTGAGGGGTCTGAGGCTCCTCTCCAGCCTCTGAAGGGCTCTTTTGTTCAAGAAGGGACAGCCTGCTCTGTGGAACAAGATGCAAGCAACATGCGGGGAATCCGTCCACCTGGGCAGCACATTTCACATCTGGAAGGAGTCCCTGCCTCTGGAACTGTTTGGGCAGAAAGATGGGGGCTCTGGCCCCAATCCCCAGTGCCCTCAGAGGTGAGCTCAAGCTCCACGGAGGCACTGATTTCTCCTTTGTCCTGTCCTGGATGGGAGATAGGATGATGACCAAAGGCTTGGATGCTTCTCCGATGCTGGAGTCAGCAAACCTAAGCCATCCCTCTCGTCAACGCCCCCACCCCAGGCCTGCAGGGTTAGGATGGGGCACTTGAACCCTCTCCCTCTCTGCTCACATTGCTCAGAGCACGCACCCTTTGCCCTTGCCAGTGTGCTGCTGAGAGGACTGGCCAGGCTTCTAGGACTGAGTGCTGCCAAGGACAGAGCCATTGCTTTGGTTATGAGCTGTAGGGTTGCTGTGTGCCCTACTGCACCACAACCCCATGTGACACCTGCCACTCATCATCGTCTCCCTCTCGGGCAGCATCAGGCCAGTAGCGGAGGCCAGTGTCATATGCTCCAGACTTCCCTCGGGCCAAGGCTCTTCACCCTGGAAAGGACAGTCCTGCAGGTTGAACTCCTGGCCCCATCAGAAGTTACAGTAAGCCAGCCAGCAGGCCTGTCATGGTAAAAAGCCAACTCCTTTGTCGGGTAAACAGCCTGGCCAGATGGTTTCCACCACCCCTCCCATGCTGAGGGTCTGAGGACCAGGTGCCTATACCCCTAGGACCACATAGTCCCTGAATAAGTGGCCTACCCCATCTGCACCTCACCCAGCCATTTGACCTCACGATAGAAGAGACAGGAGGGAAGGGGAGGGGACAAAGGCCAGGGCAGACTCAAGAGTTTTGTTCTCTGGTGGGTGAAGGCCCAAGGGCAGGGAGCCTCCCACCTTTCTAGATACAGGTGGGAAGCTGGCCAGGGCTCACCCAACTCTGGAAAATCATCTGATGAAGCCTCAGAGGCTGGGGGAATGCCCATTAGGGAGAAGAAGATGCCAGACCCAAGGGACATGGTGACCAGCAGGCCAGGTCCAAGCCAGCAGGGTTTGGGCTGTGGGTACATCATGGCAGCAAAGGCTCAGGGGGGCCCAGCAAGGTAGAGGTATTCACACACCAGGTGCCACCTAGACCCCACAGAGTCACAAGGCCAGGGCCAAGTTGGCAGAGGGAAGCTGTCTTAGTCTATTTAGTGTTTTGCTGTAACAAAATACCTAAGGCTGTGTAATTGATACAGAAAAGTTTATTTGGCCCATGATTCTGGAGGCTGTGAAGTCCAAGACCAGGCAACTCGTCCTTGAGGGCTTGGTGCTCTTCAACTTATGAGGGAAAGTGGAAGGAATGTGGTGTGCAAAGGCACCAAACACAAGAAGGAACTCGCCCCATCCTGAGAGTGAGAGCTTACGCCCCAGATGGCACCAGTCCATTCAGGAGGCATCCACCCCCATGACCCCATCACTTCCTGCTAGGCCTCTCCTCCCAACACTGCCATGGGCAACTAAACTTCGGCCTGGGTCTCGTGGGGGCAAACCACATCCAAACCACAGCAGAGACTGGGGTCTGTGGGCCTCACAGGGAGCAAGGCCAAAGTCCCATCAGCAGCAGTGAAGCCCAGGGCCACAGGGCAGGAAGGAGCTGTCTCACACCCTCCAACATTTACTAGGGCCAGGAATGATGCTGGAGCGTGATCCTTGATCTTGAGGAGTCCACAGGGCATGCTTCAAGTCCTTAAATCTCTCCTGGGTAAGGCCCCGGGCAGAGGCTGCAGCTGGGAGAGGAGGGACCAATGGGGCGGGAAGCCTGGCCAGCAGGCAAGCCAGGACAGCCCACTCATTGCTTCCTACCCTCATGAGACTCTTGGTGGAAAGGCTCCGGGCTGCAATGGTGCCTCAGGATACAGAGATGCCCCCCAGCCAGTGTGACCTTGCAGTGTGTTCCAGCCCAGGCTTCAGGGTCCACAGGTCCTTCGGCAAAACAGAACCATCTCCTGCTCTCTGCCTGCACCACACCTGGGACACGCTGACATTCTGAGCACTGTGAGGTATGTTGCTGGCATCTTGATCTCGATATCCTGGCACAGTTCCTGGCCCAGCACTGGTGTTGAATGAATGCATGAATGAATGAGTGCAAGAATGAATAAGTGAAAGCATGCATGAAAAGAGAGATGTTGGCACTGAACCCCAGCCTGGAGAAACATTGCTGAGCCATATCTGGAAGCCCCTAACTCTGTCCCTCCCTCAGTCCTCTCACACCCACACTTGACCCTCCTGGGACACACAGAGGCTCATCTCCCAAGTCCTGACCCAAGGCACTGCTGGCTGGAGAGGGAGAGTTTTTGCAGGGGCACTCTTCCCCAAGCTGTCCCTCTGCCGAAGGCTTCCCAGAGGTGTCAGTCTGCCAGTCTAAAGGATAATCATTATGGGGACATGGGATTTAACTCTGCAGGAGGGGTCTCAGGGGCAAGTGGCCTGGGAGGGAGATGGCAGGGACCCTCGTAGGAATGAGGGGAATGTGTTGTGCACTCATATGGCACAGAGGCTTTTTCAGTGGCTAATTTTTCTGGGGGCTGTGTCTCCTTGCGCTTTACACTTGGCTTTATTAACGCCTTCTCTCCTCCCCAGATTCTAATCGCCCTCCAGAAGCAGCTGCTATTAGCTCCTCTCCTGAGCCTCCGAATCCCCGATGCTCAGCAAAATTCCCCTCTGATGGAAGCAGCTGTGCTCAGACGCCGCCCGTCTGCCTCCAGAGCTCATCAAAGCCCCTCAAAGGGAAGATTAGCAGCAGCTCCCATCAGCGGGGGCATTGTCGCCATTCAGCGCCTAAGCCATGCTTGGCCACTCGGGCCTCATGGAAGACACAGAATTAGAGAATATTGGACTCTTAAAAGCACAGACTCTCAGAAGCATAGGCTTTCAGAAGCATGGAATCATCCAATCTTCTCCACAAATCAGCTTAGGGTGTTAGAATTTTAAGGATGCGTCCTTTTAGAAGCTTAGACTCTTAGAAATCACCTCAAATTTTATTCTGATTAAGTTTAGGGTGAAATAGGTAAATCTTATCTTTGACACTGTCTTAGAAGCCTGGCATCTTAGCTTATTAAACCTCAGAATTTGAAACACCAGTGAGCTGCAGAAACCGTATCATCTGGGGGGCATCAGAGGGAGAGGAGCCTGCAGCCCAAGCCTCTTGCTCAGTACAGAAACCTCTCCGGGAGCCAGTGTGTCTTGCAGGCTCCCCTGCCTCTCGCAGTGGAGCAGAGCTTACAGCTGGCATGCTGGTCTTGGTGGTCTCAAATGCTTCCCTCTCCCAGCTTCAGATCCCAAGTCCAGGCAGTCCCAGTGTGGGACAGGCACTCTCGCTCTGCTGGAGGTGATGCTTTCAGATCCCACCAGGGCTCACGCCCAGCCTTCTGAGCCCCCACAAACAGACTGCCCTCTAGGAGGTCCCGGGAGACCCTACTCTGGCTTTCAGATGTGTCTGAGCCTGGAATCCTTTGTTCCAAGGAAGCCCAGGACCACCCACGAATCAGAAGGGGCTGTGGGGATGGGATTCTGGGTCCCACTGGCCTCCACCATCCCACAGGCCTGACACCACCCACACCCGGCCCACTGTGGCCCTGGGGGCTCCATGGAGCACAGGGTGAGAACGTGACTCCATGTGCCGGTCTGGTCTCACAGCCCGGCCCTGCCCCACAAGCACCACACACCCCATAGTGGACCACGGGTTTGGGAAGGATGGCACCCTGGAGCCCAAGCCAGGGCCCTCATGAGCTAAGGGACCTCAGGCCACCCTGGCACCCACCCATCTGAGTCTCAGTGTCTTCATCTGTGAAATGGGCCCATCAGGCCTGTGAATCCTTCCCAGGACTGTGAGGCAGCAGCTCTGCTCCAGACAGAATGCCGAGGAGGGTGGCAGGGTGCAGTAGATGCAGAGAGGGTTTGAGGTACCTCTGGAGACCACTCAGGCAAGGTGCAGTCCATGCAGCCGGGGAGGAGGCAGAGGGGCAGTGTGGATGGCACCGGAGGCCAGGTGGGAGGACTGAGCAGAACCTGGGTTCCCCCTGTGCCCAGCTCATCAGGGGACAGGGAGGTCCCCCCCACAGCAGATGTGCTGGGCTCCGGGCGCCTGCCTTCTTCATTCCCACAGGAACACACACACCAGGCTGGTGATGCCTCAGGACCAGAATCACAGGCCTGGATGCCTTTCCGGGTGGCCGAGGGGAGCAGGGCAGAGTGAGTGGAGCCCACCCCTTCCGAGGCTGTCCAGGGAGCCAGCCTGCCTGCCCACCTGTGGGCTCTTCAGAAAGGGAACCCTCTCAGGGCACAGCATGAGTCAGAGGGGACCCTGCCCAGGCCATGCCACCCACAGCCACCAATGCTGTTAATAACTTGGCTAGGCAGGGACCTCTGGGCCCCGAAGGCCCCCAGGGGGACAGGTTCTGTGGGCTCCTCTGTGTGAGTCCCTCCTGCAGCCCTTTTCTTTCTAGGCTCACCCACTGAGATGTCCCCACCACAGCCCCAACCCATATCCCCAGCCCCCAGCAGAGGCACAAGCCTGGATAGAGCACTCGTCCTTGGGACTCCCCACTACATTTACAGAACCGGGACAGACTACAGGTGCAGCATTGGGAAGTCCTTTCCTGGGATCCCACCCAGTGCATCCCTGCCTCCACCCCCAAGGCCTCTGCTGTGGTGCTGGCCCCATTCTGGACATAGCCACAGCCTCTCTGTCGCCCCGCCTCAAGGCACACCCCCTCCCAGTACCCTGCCAGTCCCTGCTGTCCCTAACACACCCACCTGGCTATGCGCTTCCCAAGTTAAGCCCCTTATGGGCCCCCAGTGACTCACACATCCAATCTTCACTACTGCCCTTGGCATAGATGGCTCCCACCCTGTGGCCAGAATCTAATGGCCCACCTCCTGCACCCTCCTTGAGCCTCATGCCCCAGCCATGCCAGGTGGCTCTCTAGCTCCCACCACCCACCAGTGAGTTTCTTGGCCTCTGAGCGTTTGCACAAATATCCCCGCCACCACTCCCTGAGATGGCCTGACCCCTAGGCCTGTCCCGTCTGCCTGTCTTCTCGGCCTGTCCACCAAGCCTGTCCTCTCAGCCTGACAACCCAACCTGTCCATTCGGCCTGACCACCTGGCCTATCCCCTCAGCCTGTCCCCTTGGCCTGTCTTGTCAGCCTGTCCCCTCGGCCTGACCACCTGTCATGTCCTGTCAGCCTCTCCCTTCGGCATGTCCCCTTGCCTGCCCCTCGGCCTGTCCCCTCGGCCTGTCCACTCAGCCTGTCACCTGGCCTGTCCCCTTGCCTGTTCCCTTGGCCTGTCCACCTGGCCTGTCCCCTCAGCCTGTCCACTCGGCCTGCCCACCCAGCCTGTCCACCATGTCTGTCCCCTCAGCCTGGCCCCTCAGCCTGTCCACCAGGCCTGTCTCATTGGCCTGTACCCTCAGCCTGTCCTTTTGGCCTGTCCACCCCGCCTGTCCACCAGGTCTGTCCCCTCAGCCTATCCACTCAGCCTGTCCACTTGGCCTGTCCCCTTGGCTTGTCCCCTCAGCCTGTCCCCCCAGCAGCCTCCTCCTGGCAGCCCTGCATGAGTGTGGCTACCCCTGCCCTGGGACCCTCCAGTGCTTCCCAGCCCTCTGCACCCCCCCACCTAGACAGCGTGGAGTTGTGGGGCCTCATCCCACTCCACCACCATCTCTCATTGGCAGGCAGTCTTGCTGGCTGTTCCCACAGCACCCATAGGGGGCCTGAGATGCCAGCTGCATCACTCGCCCTCTACTGATCGGAACTTGACATTCAGAGAGGTCAGGTAACTTAGGCAAGGTTACACAGCTCCTGGGTCACAGACCCAGCTGTGCCTATTCTAACAGCCTCTGACAGTGGTGCCTAAAGCTGACCATGTGGCCGGTGACCGCAGTGGTCCCGCTGAGGAAGGTACCCTCTAGAAGTGGCTGGCGCAGCAAAACAGTTTCCACGTCTGTAAAGTGGGCTGACATTCATACGCACCCGACAGGCTTGATGTGCAGACTGAACGAGTAAGGATGAAGTGCATGCGAGGCAGCTTGCTGAAACCAGGCCTCAAGCTCAGCAGGGGCCCAGCCAGCGGGGCGGCAGCGGCAGGTGGAGCAGGGTGGCCTGGGGACAGTCAGACCCACTCAGGACTTCTCTGAACCTCTGCCTCCCTCTTCCACACCAGGGAAGGGAGAGCGCTCATTCCCACCCCCACACTCTCCCAGTTCCTGTATGCTGTGTGTGGGGGAGTGACTTTCCATCCACGGATGATATTCTAGGTTTCAATTGTCTTTGCCAAATTAACACGATTTTACATTTCAGAATCACCATAGGACACCTAGAATTACTGCTCTTCCTGTCATTGCTTACCCCGATCTTATTACAAGGTCTGCATGCTAGAGCGTGCAAGGCGCATGTAACATCTGCATTCGAGAGCCTGCAAGGCGCATGTAACGTCTACATGCTAGAGTGTGCAAGGCACGTGTAACATCTGCATGCTACAGCCTGCAAGGCACATGTTGCACATATTTTCATTTGTGTTCTTGATAACATGGCGAGGAAAGCCTGGCCTGAGCTCCATTTCTGAAAGGAGGGCACAGAGACACAAGGAGGGGGCTCAGGGCAGCTAACTGAAGTCAGAGCCAGATAGGAGCTGGGCAGTAGAGGTCTCGGCCTCTTGCATGCCCAGCCTCCATCCCCCTCTGGGGTGGCACCCAGCACTTCCTGGGGGAGCCTTCTCTTCCCGGCTCCGTCCCCGTGGTGGTGTATAATGTTGCCATGCCCCCAGGCCCCACCTGTGCATGAGCACGCAGCCCTGCCTGGCCCGTCAGCAGAGCCTCTCCTCTGGACTCAGTGATTGGTTTGGAGGTGATCATGGGACTCCATTTGGGGACTTTCCCTGGAAGTGTCAGGGGAGAGGAAACCTCTTCGCCTTGTGCTGGCTATATCCTTGGGTATAAGCCAGGTGTGGCCCAGCCTGCCAGAGAATGGCGGCCTCTCAAAGGGAAGATGAAAGAAGAGACAGAAGGCAGCGACGATAATGTTGGGGTGCCCGGGACTTCCCTCTTTTGCTTGAGCCAGTTGAGATGGGTTTCTGTCCCTTGAAACCAAAAGATCCTTGAAAAGCACTTCAAATGCCACACTGCCCTCTCCACAGGTCCCAGGATGAGGAGGTCAGGCCTGCAGGAGGAGGTCAAAGCCCCAGGAAGGGAAGGATTTGGATGTAGGAAGAGGAGGGCACAGCAGAGGGCACCTCTGCCCTGGCCATGCCTGCCCTGCACTTCCTGGCATTCAGCCCTTGCCCTCTGATCCCTGGAGAAGCCTCAGAGCGGGTCACACCCGAGACAACAGCCTGACACCCGACCTCACCGAGGCCGCTGGACCACACTGTCCAGCTGTGCAGGAGGGTAGCGTGCAGTCCCATCTTGGCTAATGACAAACATCTGTCCTCGCGCAGGAGGCATTTGCGTGTCATCTCAGGAACACAGGGCCTGTTTCCCTGCCAGGCCCGTCGACCATCACAAGCCCATTATGGGTGAGTGAAGTCGTGTGAGTCAGCCTCCCAGGGGCATGGGGCTGAAATGAGCTGCGCCATGCTGGGGAGGGGGTGGCTGGGCCAGCGGGGCTGAGTCAGCGTCGTTAGACCTTGACTGTGTGTCAAGCAACTTCTGTGGGCGTGGAGCACGGAGGGGAGAGGGGAAGAGGAGAAGAAGGGAAGGGAGGAAGCGGGGAGCAGCCCCTGCAGACAGGGAGAGGAGAGCTGAGCAGGGAAGGAAGGAGGCCGGGCCATGTGCTTCACCATGGAAACCTCGGCCTGCAACCTGGGTCAGGACCCTATGCTCTGCCAGAAAGCATGTCTCAGTACAGCCTGGCCCTGAGGTCTGTGGGGCTGGAACCCCACACCAGTCGCCTCCTTTCTGGGGATGCGGGTGGAGGAAGCAGACGGCTGGTGAGCATCAGGAAACAGTGTTGGAGGGGCTTTTTCTAGAATGTCCCATCAGCACGGAGTGTCTGACGGCCCCCACAAATGCATGGAGCAGAGGGTTAGTGGATTGGGGCAGGGAGCACATGGACCTCCAAGGAGCTGGGCTCTCGAGGAGGCAGGGATGATGCAAAGCTGAGATGTAAGACTTGGTCTTCATTTACCTACGTCAAGGTCAAGGATCCCAGGCAGGTGACCGAGAAACATCTCACGATCAGCCCACGTGGTGGGAGCAAGGGTCGGAGCCACGGGATATCAGGACTTGGTCATGGCGTAAGGACAGGACTGGCCCAGAAGCCTGACCTCGCTCTAGGGCTCCAGATCAGGGCTGGCCCCACTCCTCTTGGCCGGCGCTGCAGCTGGCCCAGCCTCTGGCTCCATGCCGTCACCTACTCGCCTGTGACCTTGCCCTGCTGGCTCCCATTGCAGCAGCGAGGGTGGCCTGAGTGCTGCAAGCCCCTCTCTGGCACTGCTGGATGCCTCCCTCCCTCCCTCTCTGTTCTCTGCCCATCTGACTCACGGTCACCGGTCACCGCTGCTGTGAGAGTCAGTCTCTAAGCTCAGAAGCCAATTAGGAGAAATCTGTCGCCAGCCCCAGCTCTGAGGAGGCTGCTTCCTCCCCTCCAGCCAGGATGATTCAAAGCAGCGAGTCCCCAGCAGCTGTGGCAGCACCCGCGCCCGCAGAGCTCACGGAGGAGAAGCCGTCCTGGAGGATGGGACCAGCTTCCCTGGGCTTGCAGGCCCTTCAGGCGGCCGCAGAATGAGCCCAGTGCTAAATGATGAGGGGCCGAGCAGGCCTAGGGCTCTGTGGCTTTCTTTCTAGTCCTTACCAGCTCTCGGGAGGGCCACTGGCTGTTGGCAAAGCCAGGACACTCACAGATCAGAGGGGGTAGCCGCAGGAAGCTCTTGGATGGTTCCAAGCCCTGGGCACTTGCAGGGGAGGAGGGCAGCCCTGTGGCTGCTGATCGGCGTCCGTCTCTCCCCTGCCCTCCCCCTTAGCTGAGCCCCTGCCCCCAGGCCAAAGCCACTCACGCAGAGGAGCTAAAAAATCGTGGTGTTCGATGATTCCAGCACATCAGCAGCCATTGTGGGAGCTGGGGGGACAACCGTGTTCCCTGCTGGGCAGGGTGACAGGAGGGACCAGGAGGGGCCATCTGAACCTAACACCGCCTGGTGCTGCTCTCGGGGGCTTCTGCTTAGAAAGCTTGGCTCAGCCTGCCGGGCCCAGCTCCAGGTCACCACCCCCTGGAAGCCCTCACATCCACCCAGCAGGCAGACTTCTTTCTCTGAGCTCCCATCCTGTCTGTCTGGACATTGGCATCCATCACTCCGCCTCCTGCTACAGACTCTTCCCCTGTGGGGTCCACCTCAGACGCAGCCCTGAGTGCGAGGGGCACGAGGATGAGCCCCGTTATTTACAGCTGAGGAAAGGGAGGCCGAGAGAGTGATTTTCCAAGGCCTTAGGGTCAATAGGGTGACAGGATGCAGGCCCAGGCCCCACACCCTGAAGCCTCCCCATAATACGTGCCCCCCACCTCGTAGTTATGCTGGTACCTCGTGGCTAGACCCGTTCCCCTTCCAGAGGGTCTGCCTTGATTTCCCCACCTGCAGCCCTGTTTCCAACCTTAGCAGACCACAGACCCTCTCTAGGTCCTGTCCATGCTCTTCCCCCAAATAGGGCCCCATATTTAGTAACTAAAAGATATTGAGCACCAGCTAAACGTAGGTACATTTCAATTCATCCAAACTTGAATTCCATATAAACAACATGTTTTTAGGACATGTATGTCTGGTGCAATAATTGGGACATACTTATGCTAAAAAAATTAGTGTTCACTATTTAGCTGAGATTAAAATTTAGCTGGGCCTCCTGTTTTCATGTGGAAACCCTACCCCGAAGGCCTCTTTCCTCACCATCTGTGGAATCCTGGAACGGATGGCTCAGTGACTCAGATCGAACCCAGGCAGGCTGGCCCCCAGCCATGTCCATCAGCAGCGCTGTCAGGTCCGGGGCTCTGCGCTGGTGCTCAGCATGCCAGGAGGGCAGGCACAGCCCTGGAGTCCTCCCAGCTCTCCTCTACCAATGTCCTGACACATCTGGGACCTGTGGCAGGGCCTGAATGCCTTAGACTGGGTCAACCGGGGCATACAGGATGGACGGTGCTGCAGCCGCGTTTACCTCAACACCAATCACAGCCACACCTGCCACCCGCAGCAACTGAGTCGGCAGCGGCAGCAGCAGCAGCAGCACCCGGCCCGGCCCACACCCTGCACCAGGCTCTGCTCACAGCACTTAACTCAGTCCTCGAAGGATGCTGGGAAGGAGCTGCTGCGTGCCCCATTTTACGCAGGAGGAAACGGAGGCCTGAGGAGGCCAAGTAACTTGTGTGAGGCTGACTGTTAGTAGCAGAGGCAGGAGGCAGACTTAGCCCCAGATTTATGCTGTTCACTGCCCTCCTCTCTCCTCATGTGCCAGCACGGGCAGGTCTCCACCCTCTGCCCTCTCCCCGTGGACACAGGCCTTCCCTCTCTGCCACACTCACCCCCAGGTTGTGCCACACTCACCCCTCTGGGTTTAGCCTCATCTTTTAAGCCCCCTTGCCCATCCCTTCTGTACCCCTGGGCCTGGGCTGCAGTCTCCTGCTTGGGTGGGCTTCATGCAAGAAGGCTCAGAGCCCTAGGAGTCCAGGCCACATGGATACTTAGAAAGCATTTTCACGATGTTGACAGCGGTGACGACGGTGCTTAGAATTTCTGGCTTAACCTACAGGAAGCCCCACGCTTACTGATGAAACTTTAGAAGCATTTCCATTAGTGAGGAGTAAAAGGAGAATGTTCGCAACTGCCCATATCATCTTCAATTTAATGCCCAAGTGTGAGTCGCACTTGAGTAGTTGACTGTGCACATGGAAGAAAAGAAAAATCCAGGTGTGATCCAAATGTGATAAAACACGTTTAACCAATTAAAGCACAGAAAACTTTTCTATGATCTCAGGGTAAAAAAAGGGTTTTAAAATTAAAGACATAAAGAGAAAAATGATCAGTTTGAATTATCAAAATTTGTAACTTCTGTATGAAAAAGGCCCATAAACGTAATTAAAAGATAAGTGACTTTGTGAGGCAGATTTTTGCAACATGCAGCAAATAATGGATTGATAGCCATAATATATAAAGAGTATCTACAAACCAATAAGGTGACAACCCAAAGAAAAAACATGCAAAGCATCTGAACAGGCAACTCCCCAAAGAGGAAATCTACATCATGAATAGGTAGGAGAACATGTTCACTAACATGTGATGCTTATGTCAATATTCCCTAGAATATCATTCCACATCCATCAGAATGGTAAGCATCTAGAAGATTGACAATTCCAAGCATAAAAAGTTGCACACACTGTTGATGTGAGCAATTTAGAACATGATCCTTTGGGAGACCATCTAGGGAAATCGAGTTGAGAACAGGTGAGTCTAGACCCTGCACATTCCCTCTCACGCATGTGCCCTATAGAAGTCAGGGATGCAAGGTGGCATGGCATCAGAGCCAAGGCCCCAAACCCCAGGACGGGCCTCCCAGGGTGTCTCCCAGCTGATCACCCTAGGCAGGCCATGTGCTTTCTCTGTGCCTCAGTTTCCTTAATTGGAAAATGGGCACTTCCCCCTCAAATGTCATTAGGTGAGTTCCGTGAGAGGATGTATATAAAATTACTAGAACAGCCGGTGACAAGCAATGAGCCTAATAGATGACGGCTATTTTCACCATGACTTTATTTGTAATAGAAAACACTGGAAACAAGCCAAATGCCCATCAGAATGGAAATGAATACATACATTTAAATATTTTCACATGATGGAATACACTACAGAACTTAAAAACATATAAAATAGACTTAGATTGTCACCATGGATGGATCTTAAAAATAAAATGTTGAGTAAAAAGAGAAATTGTAATACATTACTTATACCATAATCCCATTTATGTAAATTCTTAAACACACAGTACAATAGAACATATTGTTTATGGAGGTCCTATGCAGAAGAGGTCTAAAACGTGGACTAATTACTCCCTCATTCATGACGGTGGGCTGCCTCCCGGAAGGGATTTTTCACTTGGGGAGGCAGGAACATGAGGGTTTGTCATAAAACCCTTTCCGGCTTTCTGGAGCTTATTGTTGTCAGTATTTTTCTTGTTAAGCTAAGCCCCTCAGAGGCATCCCATCACACTTAGAAGCACCCCTGTTCCCATGGTCCATGAGCCCCCTGCACACCCACAGCCCCGGTCCCTGCTAGCTTGGCTGAGTCAGCTCCTTGGCTACCACTGTCCCCCTTGCTGGTTTCAGCCCCACTGGCCCATCCATGCCTCACACCCCACACCATCTGTCCCCTTCACCTGAGGTCCCTTCTCCTGCTGTTTCCCATTCCTGGAAGGCTCCTTCTTGAAACCTTCCCACTCTCCGGGTCTCAGCTCAATGGCATGCCTGGAGAGGCTGTGCCGACCACCCTGCCTGCACGGGCACCCACCCCACCCTTCACTCTGGGTTTTGTGCAGTTTCGTGAAGTACTCGTCACCCTCTGAATCATCTTGTTGAGAGACCTCACTTGTATCTTCTCTGTCAAAGTCTACCCCAGGGGACTGTGAGCCCCACCAGAGCTGGGGACCTTGTTTGGCTCACAGTGTAACCAGCACCTATTCTAGTGCCAGCCACAGAGTCAGAGATGGAGTGCTCAGAGAGGGTCCTGATGGATGGATAGATGGGAAGATGGACCTATGGATGGACAGATGGAGTGATAGATGGCTGGACAGATGAGTGGATGGATGAGTGGGTGGATGGATGGGTGAATGGATGGATGGGTGGGTGAGTGAACAGGTGGATGGATGGGTGGATGGATAGATGGGTGGATGGATGAATGGTTGGATGGGTGGATGGATGGGTGGGTGAACAGGTGGAAGGATGGATGGGTGGATGAATGGGTGGTTGAACAGGTGGATGGATGGGTGGATGAGTGGATAGATGAACAGGTGGGTGGGTGGATGGATGGATGGATGGATGGATAGATGGATGGATGGATGGATGGATGGATGGATGGGGTGGATAGGTGGATGGATGAGTGGGTGGGTGGATGGATGGATGGGTGGATAGGTGAACAGGTGGATGGATGGATAGATGGATGGATGGGTGGAAATACGGGTGGGTGAACAGGTGGTTGGATGAATGGATGGGTGGATAGGTGGATGGCTGGATGGGTGGGTGAACAGTTAGATGGATGGATGGATGAACAGGTGGATGGGTGGATAGGTGAACAGGTGGATGGATGGATGGATGGGTAGATGGAAAGTATGGAATACAGGAAAGGTGGTAATAATAACAGCATAGCTACAGCTGGCTTTTGTGGTGACAGTGACAGTCCAGGGGCCATTTGGTGACTGAAAATGGTGATAGCAGTGACGACAAAGGTGACAATGACAGCACAAAAGCTTGTCCAGCACTTCTTTCCAGTCCAATTCCCTGTGCTTACAACAACTGACGGTGCCCTCCCTCTGCCATGTGACAGGACAGGGCTGTTTCCTTGACAATTCATTCTCTGCAATGACAGCTGCCCCTGGCGCTTCCCATACAAGTGAGGGTTTCCTCCTGCGTCCTGCCGCAGCCACTGGAATCCAATGCACAGCTGTCCCTTTCCCCAGGCCTCCTGCTTCTGCCGGCTGCCCACGGCTCTTTGGGGTCTCCCAGACTCAATCCAGCCTTCTGGGCTGAGGACTGCCCTCTGGAGCAACAGCGGCTGCGGTGGGGCCAAGCGCCACCCCTTGCGGCCCCACATTGGCACTGGCAACACTGGATGGAACGCCATCGTTACCCGCTCCTCCCTGTGGGTTAAGGCATTACCACCTTCAAGTCACCTTTCATCAAGGCAGGTTCGCCAGATGGGCGATGCAGTAGGAAGGAAGGAAGGAACCGTTGTCTGCGTTGAGCCGAGACTGTGACGGAGCTGGGACCAACAGAGCATGGGCAGGTCTCATTTGCCCCCCACTGGCTCTATTGGGCAGCCACCGTCCACCTGCTCCACCCACTGCATAAGGGGTGGCATCTGTCGCAGGCCATAGACTGCTGGGCCCCACTCAGCCAGCAACTTCCTGCCTTTCCCCTGCCTGGCAGGAATCTCCCTCCTGGGAGAGCCCTTCCCAGAGCTCTCTGCACCATCTCTTTTGATGCTGCTATCGCCATGAGCAACTGCACAACCACATCCTCGCTCACCTGCTTTACCACTGTCCCCGCTGGACTTCCACCCTGCCAGGGCAGGAGCCATGCCGGCTTCCTCACCATGCCGTGCCAGGCTCAGCTCATGGCCGGTACACAGCAGCGCTCCCCTAATGTTTGCTCATGTGTGAATATGTGGATACAGGTCACAGAAATGGAGCTGGGGTTGGAACCCAAGCCCCTCAGACTGGAAACTCTGGGCCATCCCTGGGCACATTTTCAGCTGGGTGGCCTGCGTGGTTAGCATCAGGGTGAGCGGCCTGGGTCTGAGAGCAGGGGAGTGAGACCCTGCCGAGCCTCTCTCGGGTGCTCCTTGCTCATTCACCCAGCCTCTGTCCCGCCTCAGCCTGCAGGCTGCTTCCTGCTTTGTATCCAGCAGGATAAAGTGTGTAGATGTGCTTTGTGCTTTCATAACGTTGTCCGTGCATAGAGAATCCACTCTGCCTCCCACAGTCTAAGAATTGTCCTTTAACTAGTCACAGGCTGGAAGATCACGCTAACATCAGCTCAAAATCCCTGCGTCATCAGCCCTGCCTCAGTTTCCCATGCAAATGCTCACGCTATTAAAAGCCAGGGGCATCCGCCCCAAACCTCGGAGGACTGGGCCACGTGTGAGCAACCACGACTCCTGGAGCCTGGCAAGGGACATGCTGGGCTGCCCTGGGGATGTGGCTATTCTGACGGTGAGTCAAACCAAAGGACAACAACATGGTGCCCTGCAGTCCCAGCAAAACCAAGCAAGCCAGCATTCCCCAGGCTTCCTCCTGGGTTCCACGTGGGCGCCCTGGGAAAGGGGACTCTCCCAACAGGAGGCCACCCAGGCCCAGCCTCTGCACTTGCTTGCATGAAAAGAGGGCATAGGCAGTCCCAAAAGGAAACCCAGACACGAATTCTACAAAGGGACCCGGTGAGAACCTGCGTGGCTTTGGCCCCCACACACATCGGGGTGCAACCCCGTACTTCACCTGCCTCTCTGGGGGTGAGGCTGAGCCCCTGCACATTAGCATGGCCCCGTGACACCACCCCTGGGGCTTTGGTGGCACCATCCTCCTGGCTGTGGTGACAATGTGGGCTGGCTGCCTCCAGCAGTATGAGAATTGTCCTTTAACTGTTCTCCGGCTGGAAGATCACACCCAGTATCAGATCCAGATCCCTCAGCCACCCCGCCACGCCCCCCAACCAGGAGTGGTGTCTCCCACTCCTAAGGAACAGGGTCCCTGTGTGCAGTTCACACTTCCCTGTGGGGGTGTTGCTCTCATAATGGCTCCAGGACCCACGTTCCATGTGCCCTCCTCTTAGGACCATCCTGCACAGTCCACCCAGGGGATCCCAGTTTGGCCATCTCTCTGGCTCCCAGCCCTGCAGAGCCTTTCCCTTTACAGCCCTAACTCTCATCCCTTGCCCCTGAGTCTGGAAACAAGCCCTTTAGCAATGACTGCTGGTCTCCCTAGGCCTGGGGTGGCCATCCTTGTGGGCCACCTCTGAACGCGAGGGTCTATGTGTGTCTCAGTCCTCCGGTCCATGCCCTGGACACTGGACATTGCAGAGAGCACCCTCAACTACCATTCCTGGTGCATGTGGCTGACCCTCAGCATCAGATCCAGCTTCTGCCGGTACCACTGAGGGATCTCTTGGACACCCCTCTTCCCACCCCCCACCACCTCCTTTTGCTCAGAGACACTGACATTCTCCCAGTGGATCCTGACTGAGAGGCTCCACATTGCGCCTGAGCTAATGGCCCGATTAAGCTCAACTTAGCAGTAAACAAAGAGGCACTGAGATAACGGCAGAGACTGGAAGGGTCATTACCAGAGGGGGCCGGAGAGGCTGAAAACCAATTAATAGATAAGGATTTCCATCCTCCTACCTCCTACTCCCCGAGCTTCCATTTGTCACTGATGCAATCAGAGCAGCCGCCCTCTCAGGAAATGAAAACTCCCTCTGGTGAAGAGCTGGGATGGAAAAGAGCCCAGGAGCAAACAGAAGTCCAGGGAGCACTTGGCATCAGACACACAAGTGTGTCATCGACACAGTCACCTCCACAAGAACGTTATCATCGTTATATAGTAATCACCACCATGCCTACTGTTACCACCACCACCACCATACTACCACCACCATCCTATTACCACAATACCACCACCATCATCACACCACACCAACACCAACAACACCACACCAACACCAACACCACCAACACCAACACCAACAACACCACACCAACACCACCACACCAACAACACCACCAACACCAACACCACCAACACCACATCAGAACACCAACACTAACACCAACAACACCACACCACCACCACCACCACCAACCCCAACCCCAACAACACCAATGCCAACACCAGCAATGCCAGCCCCAACCACAGCACATGGACTAGAACACAACTAACCATGGCATGGCAACACACAACAACACTGATAACAGCATTGACACCAGCACTGGCAGCAACACACAACAACACTGAC
Organism: Homo sapiens; assembly: GCF_000001405.40. Classification (NCBI taxonomy): domain Eukaryota; kingdom Metazoa; phylum Chordata; class Mammalia; order Primates; family Hominidae; genus Homo; species Homo sapiens. The sequence goes on along the minus strand of NC_000008.11, from coordinate 141,779,344 downwards.
AACAACACACCAGCAACACCCACACAGGTGCTAATAGCACACTAACTACAACACACCAGCAACTCACACAGACACTAACAACAAGGCACCAACCACAACACACCAGCAGCAACACTCACACACACATTAACAGCAATGCACCAACCACAGCACACCAGCAACACTGACATCACCACTAATAACAGCAACATGGACACCAGCATGCCAACCACACTGACATCCACACTAACAGTGACACATCAACCACAGCACGTTAACACCAACCCAAGTACCACCAACAACATGGGCAACAGCCACCATGATAACACCACCAATATCAACATAGGCAGCAACGCTCATGGCAATGCTGACAGCAACAACAGCAGCAGCAATTCTGGGGCCAGCAACCCTCCCAGCATCATCACCAACAGCCCTGACAATGGCAACCCTGACAACAGTGACATCAACTCTGACAAGAGCACAGCACTGGCAGCAGCAATCCTGACGGCTGCTCTAACAACCCACACCAGCCCTGACAAGGACACTCATGACAACCGCACCCACCCACCAACCACTATTATTTATTTAACAGGTGTTCCTTCATGGCAAGCACTATGCTGTGTGTTGTAAGCATACGTCTAAGTTCATTTTCTGTTGCAATAACAGAATCCCTGAGACTGGGTAATTTTTTTAAAAATGAACTTTTTTTGGCTCGGGTTCTGGATGCCGGGAAGTCCAAGGGCAGGGCAGCAGCTTCTAGACAGGCTTTCACACTGTCTTCAAACACAGCAGGAAAGTGGGAGGGGAAGCAAGTGCGCGTGACAGAGACCACAAGAGTCAGCCCAGCTTGCTCGCAGAACAACCTGCTCTCGTGAGAACTCACCCCGAGATAAAGGCTCTAATCCACTCACAAGGCCTCTGCCCTCATGCCCAGGTCAACTCATAAAGGCCCACCTCTCTATACTGTTATTTTGGCAATTAAGCTTCCAGCACATGGAGGTTTGGGGACATGTTTGGACTGTGGTCGGGCTTAGCCACTTTGCCCTCAGGACAGTCCTGGATGGTGGGTCCATTATTGTCCCCGCTTTACAACAAGGAGCCTGGGGCACGATCAAGTGAGATGACCAAGGTCACAGGAGCCCAGTCCCCCGAGCCCATGCCAGGCCTGCTCTCCACCTGGGGAATGCACCCCTCCTAGGCCTCTGCTCCTTACATGTGGGAGGAGAGGGGATGAAGGCTCTACCTGAGGGGTCACTGCAGTGCAGTGGGCAGGGGCATCTCGGCCATGCATGGAGGAGGGTTGGCACCCACAGTGCAGGAGGCAGGGAGCATCTCACATCGACCAGGCTGGGTGCAGGCCCAGCGACAGGCACTGCCTTGGTGCCGCATCCAGCCTCCTCCTCCTGGTTCCACTTCTCCACCATCGTCACCACCACCACAGCCTCCACCTTCTCAGGCAGCCAAATGAACCAGTTTCAATGTGGGTTTCACATCTCTCAATGAAAATCCGTTCTTCCTTCAGTGAAAGTGCCTAAAATGCCACCACTAAGTAAAATCTGAATCATAAGTCAGCATTATAAAATATTAGATCAGATTTTATATTCATCCAGGGCAAGTTTCATTCTTCCCAGGTCTCCTGCAGAAATGGACATTCCATGGTCAGCTCTGGCCTCTCCAGACATCAGCTCACGGACCCTGGGGCCTCCCAATCCCCCAAGGGCTCAGCCACCTGCTGAGAGCCAGAGGGGTGCTGCCAGGGGAGAAGACACACACAAGCACTTCTAACTTCAGTTCTTCCCATCACCGTGCTTTTCACCACGTCACTGTCACATGGCACTGAAGAAACGCCCCAGAAAAGGGACCCCAAAGACCCAGGCAATATCCATCACTCATTATTTGTACAACTTCAGAAACACAATGTCTTCCTTTTGGCCTCATTTTCTTATTCATTTACTCATTCATCAAATACTGTGTGGAGCTCTGTGCACTTTTCTGGGCAAAGAGCTGCCAGGAAACAAGACAGACGTGGTTCCCGCCTCATGGAGCACATCTGTCTGCAGGGTTTAGGCGGCTTTTGCTGCAGACAATGAATCTCATGCCTCACTGGTTCCTAATGGCCGGCATTTGCTTCTAAGCACAGGAGTCTGCGGGTCTCACCTGGGCCCAGCCAGGCACGCCCAGGCCTCCGGGGCCTGGTTCTGGGCTCAGGCTGATGAGGCAGTAGCCAGCAGGGCTTGCTGGCCTTGCAGTGGAGGGCAGAGCAGCAGAGGGGTGAGAGGAAATGAACAGTGTCCCCAAAGTGGCCCTGACCCACTTCCACCACGTCCTATTGGCCGAGCCATGTTTCACATCCAAGCCCAGCACCCGTGGGCAGGGCCGTGCCCTCCACTCGCAGTGGGGGCTCTGTCAACTCACTCGGTAGAGGGCATAGATGTAAAATTTCAGCCCAGGGAGGGGGCAGAGAGCCCTCTTCCCATCTACTCCAGTGGAAGCAAAACAAAAGTGTGTAGAAAGGCCAGGTTGTGAGAGACGCTAAGATAGGGAAGCAGGAGCTGAGGAGGAGTGAGGGGTCCATGTAGGTCCAAGGGGCCCGAGGGGTCCGAATACCCCGCCCCAGCTCCCTTCCAGGGACTCACTGTTCCCCAAACCTGTGCCACGCAGCATCGTCTACTGCCTCTGAGCTGCAGACGTCACTGGGAGGGCCCCTTTAAATTTTCATCCACTCAGACCAAGAGGACGGGAAACACACACCACAGTGATCAGGGCCCGCTCCGTGCCTGGCTCGGGGCCAACGGCACTTTCGGTGTCGTTTCGTTACAGCCGCACAACCTCGGTGCCACCCCTTTCCACTCAGCTGATTGGAAAGCTGAGTTGAGGAGAGGACGACAGCTGCTCACAGACATCGAGAGGAGCAGAGCGGTCCCCGGCCTTCAGACACACAAGCCAGGCTGTGCCCTCGTGGGGCCAGGGCAGTCAAGGCTGTGATTCTGGGGTTCACCCCCCAGATGAGAGAGCCGCCACTCCCCCAGAGGGAAGCTGAGGCTCGGTGGGGAAGGGACCAGCTCTGATCCAACAGGGTCACCAGGATCCCAGCCCGGGTCCAGGAAGGGCAGACAGGACTGGGTCTGCAGAATTCAGAACCCCCCCTTCCCATTAATTCACGCTCCTCCGAGGATCCCTACCAGGCCAACTTCCAGCCATGCTGGCCGTGCTGAACTCTCCCACCTGAGCTGGAAGAAGGCTCAAGCGGTTGCCACGACCCTTCGTCTTTGAGAGGGGTCTAAACAAACACACAGCCGCCTGCCTTTCTTCAAAATGAAATTGAGTTTTATATGTCAGCATTTGGCCAGGAAGGAAAAAATAAATGCCACTGAAGGCCAAGCTGTCTTGCCCACGTTGTGATCATTTACCAGAGCTTAAATGCAGCAGTTAGCACGGAGTGAAATAAGAGAGCCCCGGGAGGAGATAAGACCCAGCATCTCACAATGGCTTCCAAGAGCAACTGGATGTCACAGTTGCCAAGGAGTTTGGGACACTCTGGACAGGAGAATTGTTGTTTTCCTTGGCAGAAAAATGAGCCTTCCACACACAGCTAAATACCACTAGCTTTGCTTCACCGCTGTGTGGCTGCTTTGCAGCAAATCCCCCTGGCAGGCTGGTTCCCTCTCTCTGAGCCATTTCCCTCCACCCCTGGCCTCTCAGCAAGGGCCTCAGGCTGCACGGAACACTCCTTCCCCAGGGAAGTGTGGGCCACCAAGCCAGCCTGCCTGCCCTGCATGCGGGGCCGGGATCTGGCTGCCTCTGTTCCTTCCTGATCTTCATCCTCTGCTTCCCGATGGGGTCTCCTCTTGGGCACATGCAGGCATTTGCCTGGGTCCTCACCCTGAAGTCCTCCCCTGGTCGCCTGGGGACAATTGTCTTGCCTGCCGCTAAAGATGACACAGAAGAAATCCACTGGACAGAAAGATGGTGTTTGTGTGTGGATTTTGGCTTTGAAGTCCAGTCATCATCTGACTGGCCCCCCGTGCAGAGGCCCAAGGAACTTCTCCATCTGGATTATGCTAAAAAGTGTCCAAGGTCCAAATCGTGCTTGGGGCCACCAGAGTACCCTTACCAATCCCAACCTCACCTTGGTCCTCATCCCTCCGTGGGGTGCAGACAACCAAATCCCGCTTCCTTCCACGTATTCCTGGCTCCACTGGCTGCAGCTGCTGCAAACTCCCATAGGCTCTCATAGGCCTCCAGCCAGGTCCCAGCTCACACTCCTGCCCCTTCCCCATCTGTTCACACGGAGCCAAATTCTGCCTTCAAATGTAACTCTAGCTTCACCCCTCCCCTCCCCAGGCTGACTTCTCTGCATGGGCTGCTGGGCCCTGCACAGTCCCATCCCTGTGCCAATGGCAGTCACGCCTGCCAACAGCCACATGATGCCTTCAGCTCCCCAGAGGATCCACGCCCAGTGCTCCCTGGCCATGCAGCCTTGCCCACAGTGCCACCCAGGCTGGCTGGAGAGGAGGACGGAGGTTGGAGCTTGACTTCACATCTGCCATGGCCATCCTGCTGGGGCTGCAGCCAGGCCTCCCCTCCCAACACTCAAGGTGTGCAGCCTGAACCCAGCCTCCCTCTCCAAGGAAAACTCACCTCACTTGTTCCTGCATTCTTTCTATCAATATCTTGAGTGCAGCACCAGGCAGACTCTAGGGGCACCCCATGAGTGCCCCCTCCCGGGATTCACTCCCATGCAATCCCCCCACTTTAGTGTGTCCTGGACTTGCTTTAACCAATCGACTAGGGCCCAGGAGATGGGACATCACTTCTGTAGTTTTGTCACAAAACATTGCCACGTCAGTCTTGCTAGCAGCCGTTCTTGCTGGCTTGGCTGAAGCAAGTGGACACTTTGGGGACACCCATACGGCAAGGAACTGGGAGTGCCTCTGACCAACAGCTGCCTAAAACTGAGGCCTTCAGTCCCACAGCCCCAGGGAACGGAACCCTCAACAGTCAGGTGGGCATGGGAGCAGAGCCTTCCCCAGTCAGGCCTCAGATGAGACCACAGCAGCCCTAGCCAGCACCTTGACCACACCTGTGAGGCCATGACCAGAGGACCCAGCAAGGGTATCCCGGGCTCCTGACCCCAGGGACCACGTGCTGGTTGAAGCCACGGCGTTTGAGGTCATTTGTTTCACAGCAGATGCTACTCATCCAAGTGCCTGCTATGGGCTGTGCACTGAGGAATGGAGGGAGGCTGTTTTTGCTTTGAATTTCTCAGTCTGATGGGGATGCAGACAAGCAGGCAGACAGCTATGAATCTGTGGAGCACCCCATGGAGGAGGCGAGCAGAGGTGGCCAGGGCAGGTGCGACACAGAAGATGCAGCCTGCCAGGTCAGATATGGCTTCCCAGTTAGGGCAAGGAGGGCAGCTTTCAGAAGGGTCCCACCTCTGGTCTATGGAGAAGCCATCCCTGCAGAGGGTCAAAGAGATTCTCATGCTATGCGGCAGCGGCAGAGAATCAATGCGTGCCCAAGGCACCTGGTGAGAAATTAGAGTCAGATCTCAGGGTCAGAGAGAGGCAGTGGGGAAGTGGCCACAGGTGAGAGGCCCCCACTGCCTGCAGGGCTTTGTGGATGCCTGCGCAGGCTGGGCCTGAAGGAGGAGCTCTACCGTGGTTGCAGGGGGGCAGGCACCTCAATGCTCCCATCTGCCAATCCAAACTCAGAGCATCTCCCAGGGCCTTCTGGCTCTGAAGCCCTGGGGTTCAGTGGATGAGCTATGATCATGTGAGTTGAGCTGATGGGGAAGTCATTTTTCTCTCTCCCTGGAGAAATTAAAGGTATGAAGCTCATAGCTATAACGGCCTCAGTTCCAACCAATTGGCCCAACAGAAAAGTATCAGGAAAAAAGGTCTTCAGAGGAATGCCGGGTTAGGAGAAGCTTCATCACATGGTGACTGTGATCTCAGGCTTGCCCTTCTCCCTCTGCACCTGTGGCCCCAGGACGAGGGGCACGGGCCCTGAGCGCCTTAAGTATACAGGGACCTTCTCCTGTACCCAGCACCATGGCCCAGGCTGGGACCCTCCCCACCTTCTGACCCTTTCCCTCCACTTCCCTTTGGTTGAAAGCAGATGAAAATGCTGCCTCCTGGATGTGGGAAAGTAGCAATGCAACATTTGTAAAAGTGCTTCGTAGCTATTCTATTTCCAGAGGCCATTGTCAAAGTAATTATACATAGTTTAGTAGGCCTCATTGTTTAGAGCAGTTTTAGGTTTTAGGAAATTTCAAAGGTAATTCACAGATGGATGAGCAGACACAAGGCAGCGGAGCCCTCAGCCGGCCGTGGGGAAACAGCAGTGCCATCGTGACTACAGCCACCCAAAGGTGCAGGCCTCCCAGGGGGCGATGCTGGGCTGTAGATGGGACAAAGGTTTGCTGCAAGTCTACTTCCAGAGGTGGATCCAAGACCCTTTTTCCGATTTGAGAACCTGGGTGACTGCCCCTTCTGCACCTCCACAGAAGAATGGAAGCTTATTTTGCGGAGACGGCAAGGAAGACAGTGTCTGTCTCAGGCAGGCACCGCGGGGATCACAGCAGGGACAGGGACTGTCCTAGGAGTAGGGCTTGAGTCGGAATCTGTGTGCAGCCTCTGGAAAGCCAGTCCCAGACAAGTGTGGAGAGTCTTTCCCGGGGAATCTGACCAGCTTGGAGAGAGACGCACAGACACGGACCCACTGTCTCCCAGGGACATGGTTCCCCTGGGTCACCCTATGTGCAGCCCACAACAAGGCCACTTCACACCACACAGGCCTTATTCAGGCTCTGAGTGTCCTCTAAATGCAACACCCAGCCTGGAGACACCCAACAGACAACAGTGTCCATGGTGGAAACAGAGCACCATGACCAAAGACACGGCAACCTGGAAGACATGGAGGCGAAGCCGGTAAACGGACGGTGGCCAGCATCCTTAGAGGTGCAAGTAAGACATGAACAGGATGCAGGAAAACACAGTAGGGGGCTGAGAGCCCAGAGAGAGAAGAGCATGGAGCAGAAACGAAAGCCACGGGCGGTGAGGGATCAGGTGGGGAAGTGCCACAGAAAGCAGAGAAAAACTAAGAAGAAAATAACAGGCCAGCCTAGGAGGGCCAGCATTTTAACCATAGAAATTCTAGAAAGAGGGAACCAAGAGAGCAGAGGGGAAGCGATGTCTGAGAAATAGCTCTATAGCTACTCCCCAGAAGAAAGGGCATCAATATGTTCTGTGTCATCCCCTAAATTCTTGCATCAAAGCCCGAACCCCCATGACCTCAGAATGTGGCTGTTTGAAAACAAGGCCTTGAGAGAGGTGACTGGGATAAAGTGAGTTCACGTGGGTGGGGCCCCAGTGCAGCATGCCTAGTGTCCTCATAAGAAGACGCGATGGGGACACAGACACCAGCAGAGGGACGACCATGCAAGGACATGGGAGAAGACGCCATCTACAAGCCAAGGAGAGGGGACTCAGGAGGAAGCGGCCCTGCCAACGCCTGGGTCTGGGACTTCCAGACTCCAGAGCTGTGAGATTATTCATTCATTTCTGTTGTTGAGGCCCCAGTCTGTGGCACTTTGCCATGGCGGCCCTAGCCAGCTAAAGCAGGCATGCAACTTCCGAGTCACTGGGCCAGAGATCACAGCTCCCAGGAAGAAAACCAGCCCACAGCAAGGAACGGCGGCGCTACGATGTCTCAGAATGCAGAGAACAAAGAGAGCATCTGAACAGTTTCCAGAGAGGACAAAAACCAAACCAGTGAGCCAACGCATTTCACGGAAAGTATCAAGAATCAGGATGGTGTTGGTCTCAAGGGCAGGGCCGGGTGCCGGGAGACACGAACGCATGGCCCAGATGTTCTCAGGGAAAGAGGTCCCCGCTAGAGCCCCACATCCGGCCAAGCTATCCACCTAGCAGGGGGCACAATAAATATGCTTGTTCCACAGAGGCTCAGAGGGGCCTCCACACACCTTTTCCAGAAGAATTTGCTCCACCGAGATGAAGGAGTCAGGCAAAAAAGAGCAAGACAGACAGCTGGGAATTCCTGAACAAGCCTCTCAAGAAGAAGAGAGCCGGGTAATGGCCTTGAGACAGACCAGGCCCGGGGAGAGCGATTTCTTCAAAGAGATCAAATTAGTAGGATGCCTGATATGTTTAAATGTCCTGATGTGTTTGCACAACTGGGGGAGAGTTTGAGGTGGAATTAGTGTTAAGGGTACAGAAAACTAAGCAAATGAAAAAATAAGACCATTATTAACTCCAGGAGGGAAACTGGACTCAGGAGAAGAAAAAGAAGTCCTGTATGATGGGCTCAGCGTGGCAGTGCGTTTGCAGTATCGATCTTGCTGAAATGGCATTGTGACTGCGGGGAGGGTGGGGGCAGGCAGCAGGCAGGCTCGTGGAAGTGCTAAAAACACAAACATTGCATCCCAATCCTGCACGGCGGGAGTCAGTAGACAAAGCCCGAGACCGAGAAATCGACAAGCCGTGTGTGTGTGTGTGCGTGCCATCTGGAGGTACAGAGGCAAAATATCAGAATCACCAGGGAAAAGGGTGAAGATGATTGCCTCTGGGGAGCTGGAAGGGTAGGGAGGGCAGGCTGGACGGAGGGTCCCATGGCAAGCCCAAGAGAACTTGCAAGTTGGAGACCTTGGCAGCGAATCCATGTATGTGCATAACTGCATTCGCCTCCCAGGGCAACCATGATGAAATGCCACAAGCTGGGTGGCTGAAGCCATCACACGTTCACTCTCTCACGGCTCTGGGGTCCAGAAATCTGAAATCAAGGTGCTGCCAGGGGCGCGCTCCCACCCATGGATCTGGCGGAGCGTCCGTCCATATCTCTTCTGGGTTCTGGTGGCTCCAGAAGCTTCTTGGCTTTGGCTGTGCCACTCCAAGCTCTGCCCTGTCTTCACGGGGCCTTCTCCACTCCTCCGGGTGTCTCTTATAAGGACTTAGGGCCCTTAGGATAATCCAGGAGAAACCCATCTCAAGATCCTTAATTTCATCTGCAAAACCCTTTCTCCAAACAAGATCACATCTGCTGGTTCTGGGGTTAGGATGTGGTAGGATGTGGACATATAGGAGGGGAGGGAGCACCACTTAATCCCCTAAAATAACTTCAAGAAAAAATAAAGGTATGTGGCTCAGCTTCCTCACACAGTGTCCCCACCAGGTAGCCCTTCCTCCTGCTTGAATACCACTGGAGATGGGAGGCTTACTGCGTCTCATTACTGAGCAGCTTTCTCAGATGTGTCATCACACTGAGCTAAACCTGCCTCCCTGGGACCTTGGTCTGTCGGCTCTGGGGCTAGTTCCTGAAATGACACAGAGTCTGGGCAGGGAGGAACACTTGGGGCCTGTGGTGTGGACGACCAGAAACCAGACAGAGTCCTGGCCTTGGGCCTGCTCCAAGCGTGGTCTGAGATTCATGGGGTAAGGATTTGGGCAGGAGTCCTGGGGTGATGATGACAGCTGAGCCCCCAGAAGCCAGCACTTCCCATAGGCGGGGAGACAGACAGAGCTGCCTGCAGTCCGGTCCTGTGTGTGCAGAATTCTAGGAGTTTCCTCTGGCTAGCTTGCCACTCTGTCCTCCTTTAAATCCCAAATCCATTCCTGGAAAGAAACATTGAGGTCACCTGGCCATTCCTGTTCAGGGCCTTTGCAATAGCTGTTCCTTCCAGAGGCAACACAAGCCCAGACCACACCTTGCTGGTTCCTTCAGCCCCAGGGAGATGCACATGCTCGGGGAGGCTTTGATGGGCTCCATGCGAAGTTGCTTCACACACACACACACACACACACACACACACACACACAAAAAAAAACCCTTCCTCATCACACATGCACACGCATACCCACACACACATAGTCCCAAAGCCCACACCCTTGCACACCCTCACACTCACAGCAGCTCACAAGGATGCCATGGTGGGGGGGAGGCCTGTGTGGGGAGGACAGGGCTGTTTACAGGACTTAGGGTGGTTTCTGAGGGAACAGCAGAAACCAGGGAGAGCAATTTCTGTGGGAAGCTTCGCCTGCGCTGTGCTTCCACTCAGAGCCGGGTGACACTCCGAGTTGCAGGCCCACGCATGTGCCTGCCAACCTCGCCTCTGCCTGCTCTAGGCTAGCACATACCTGGCACGTGGCCAAGGATCTGTATGTGTTCCCGGAATCAGCCCCTGGACTTCCAGACGTTGAAGGCTGGGCCCTGGGAGGGGTTGATGCGTCCACAGTCACACAGCAGAGAAGGTGCGGACTCGACCCTGGATTTTGGAGTCTCGTGCCCTCTCCAGTGCCCATGCTGCACTCTGCCCAGACAGGTGTTGCCAGGCCCCAGCTCTAGGGGCACAATCAGCCAGCTGCCTTCTCACCAAGGGGCTGCGGGTCCCACCTGCTGCTCGCCCCACAGATGCTCCCAGGCTGGCCTGGCACCTGCTCGTGCAATGGGATTTACCATCCTACTCCTCCACTGCCCAAAGTGTGGGGCTTTCATTCACCTCCACACACACGTGACTTGCCAGAATGCCCGAGGGACGGCAGGTCGGCCACCAGGAGATGTCCCCTCCCTCCACGTGCTTTCCACAGGGTCAGCCCCATTTCAGCATGCCAAGGATCGTGAGCCATTCATGTCAGGATATTTCCACTTTAATTTCAAACCATCATGCACATCACAAGCTGCTGTCCTCAAAGTTCGTCCATGCAGAGAATGTCAGACAGGCCTGTGAGAGGGGGCAAGATGCCTGGTGATACAGTCACTCTCAGCTGGCCCTGGTGCCCTCCTGCTCACCGCAGTGGAGAGGGAGGAGCTGAGGCTGGGGGCACTGCAGGGGAAGGATCCTTCTGCTGCCCGTGTGTCCCAGAGGGCTAGGGTTTCCTGTCTACTAGTCCTTGTCTGTTCAATAGGCATCGTCCAACGTCTGCAGATACAGTGATGGCAGCTGGTGACAAGGTCAGATTGACGCTGGAAGACAGCCCTGGGTGCCACCGCTGCTGCTGGAGACAAGACTGGGGAGGGACACCAGGCCGAGGCAAGGCCACTGGGTCACAAAAGTAGAGAGATGGTTGGGAGAGGGGGGTGGTTTATGCCACGTATGCTAAAAATAATTGCTGATGTTTACAAGGGAAGGAGCAAAACAGGCTGATCGGCCTTTGCCTCTTGGCTCTGACGGCGGGATTTGATGGCTTGAGGGAAATACAGGATGGGGAGAGTGAGCTCTGCAGTGCCGAGACCCTGGCATTATTTGCTTCTCTGTCTCAGCAGCTGTTCCTTCTGGGGCAGGGTCTAAAAACATTCTAAATCCATGCGGTGTCCAAAGATAAGGCTGGCTCCCTGACCCTCCCAAACCAAACAGAAAAACAACTGGAGACAAAAGAATGCTATGATTTGAGTGACCCCTTCCAAACCATATTGGAGCGTGAGTCCTGATGTGGTAGTGTTGGGAGGTGGGGCCTCCAGAGGGGATTGGATCGAGAGGGCTCTGCTCCCATCAATGGATTAATCCACTTGTGGATTAATGGATTAATGGGTTACCACTGGAGTGGGACCAGTGGCTTTACAGGAAGAGGAGGAGAGACCTGAGCCAGCGGCCTCAGCCCCTTCGCCAGGGAATGCCCAGCGTGGAAGAGGACGAGAGACCTGAGCCAGCAGCCTCAGCCCCTTCTCCGGGGGATGCCTGGCGTCACCTCAGGGCGCTGCAGGGTCCCCACAGCAGGAAGGCCCTTGCAAGATGCAGCCCCTCAACCCTGGACTTCTCAGGCTCCATGATCATAAGAAATAAGTTGCTTTTCCTTTCAGTTTCAGGTATTCTAAGCAACAGAAACTCAGGCTGTCATGCCTGTGCACGCTGCCTGGTCCCCACACGTCTCCTGGCCACGAAGCACTGACCTTCTCCCCCTGCACATGTCCCCGGACCAGTGCCCCAGGGGCCTACAAGGCTGGGGATTTCTGGGCCCCTGCAGACCCAGCATCGGGCTCTGGGTGTGTCGGGTCTCAGGCGATCCTGGCGTGGCAGCCGGTGGGTGTGGGCTCTCCTGAGAACCTCATCCTAGACCACCTGCCTGACCCAGGCTAGGGGCATAAGTGCCATCCCCTCAGAAACCACCCCAAATCCTGTAAACAGCCCTGTCCTTCCCACACAAGCCTGCCCTCCACCACGGCATCCTTGTGAGCTTTCAGCGGGGAGGGGAGGGGAGGGGGAGAGGAAGGACGTCCTTCCTTTTCAGTGCTGTTTTTCTCCCTGCTCCATGGGCCACCCCCTCCGGCCTCCTAGGGCACTGATGCCAAGTCACTGCCCAGGCTGCCAGGGTGGCACTGATATCCTGGGGTGTCTGCTCACTCTATGCTATATGCCAGACCTGGGCTCCGGCTCCTGGTCTGGTCCTGGGGTGGGCCCACCCCAGCAGGTGCTGTCCGCACTGGCACAGCTCTCTCCCTTGGGCCACTCAGCCTCAAGGGTGGAGCGCCCATGGCGGGCACAGTGCTCCTGTGTGTCCCTCGGACCCTCTGGCCGCTGCACTCTGGCCTCCGCGCCAGCACCTTCCCTTGCCTGCAGAGCCCATCGGGTATATCTCCCTGTAGACGTTTGAACACACAGGTAGTTCAATTGCTTTCCCATGGGACCCCTAGACATTTGAACACACTTACACACTCACACACTCATACACTCACACACTCAAGTGCTTTGCCATGGGACCCTTTTCATTCTGGACAAAAGAGGAGCACAGCTACACTCGTGCGGTCACAGACATTCCCGGTGGTGATGGTGGGTCATTGGCCCAGGACAAATGGAGCTCACGGACCACCTCTGTGTAACTGCATGGGAGGCCCCCCCACAGAGCCATGCCCCAGGGTAACACCACAGCCAGGCCACAGGTACCTGCCCATCTCTACGACTGTCCCCAAGGGTCTCTTTTTATGTCTGTGTCTTGTGTGGGGCTGATTTTTTAGGAAGCATGTCTGGGAACACTGGCGCCAAGCACTACTGCAGGAGTCCAGGGATGAAGCCAAACCAGGATCAACGTTGAGCTGATCTGAAGGCGGGAGCTCTGCCTCCATCCTGGGCTGGCTCTGGAGTCAGCACCCAGGCCAGGGCCCAGCACCTGCTCCCACCAGGCACTGCTGAGCGCATGGAACATTCCGTCAGTATTGGGCTCTCCTGCTCACAGCCAGCACAGGTGTCAGAAGCACACAAGCAGGGACGAAGCTGCTGGCTGCCAGGAGCAAAGGTGGCTCAGAGTCGGTGTTCACCAGTGGGGGACCCTGCCCTTTCACCTCCGTGCCTGGGCCCCCAGCAGTGCAGGTAGCAGGTGGGGGCTGAGTCAGGGTCCTCAAGTGAATAAATCAGGTTCCTGCCCCCAGGTCTCCCTCTCCCCTGCCCCTCTCCCATCCACACGTCCAGTGTCAGAGCTGACACCAGCATGTCACCTGAATGACTGTTGTGATTTCAGGCCCACAGAAACCCTCGAAGGCGCTGGCATCATCACCCTGACTGCACTGAGGCTCACCAGGTTAAGTTGCCCAAGCCGCCAGCTGGGGTCTGAGCACAGACAGTGTGACCTGGAGCCCCAACCCTTTGCCTGAGATCACAGACAGCCCTCCTCCGGAGGGGCCAAGCTAGCTGAGGACACAGGGTGGCCATGACCAGCATGTGGGGGCTGTGGCTGGGACTCCACTCCCCAGCAGGGTTTCCCTCCATCTAGCATGTCTGATTAGCAAGCAAAAGAAGACACTCAGTTACATTTGAATTTCAGGTAAACAAGGAATCATTTGAGTATAATTGTGTCCCGTGTAATCTTTGGGACCCTACTTAGACTAGAAACTTGTGAGTTGCATATCTGAAATACACATGCTATCGGGCATCCTGGGCTCTACTGGCCACCTCGCCTCCATCCTGCAGGCTCCCGGATGCTGCTTTCTGGAGCCTAAGGGGCTCGAAGGCTTGGGGTACAGAAGCTACCACTAGAGTCTAATGACCCCAGTACTTGGCGGTTGGGGGAGGGGACTCTCCACAGAAAAGGATTTGGGGAGAAGGCACAGAGAAGAGGGCATGCCTGGGAAGACTGAGCCCTGCTCTCGGGCTCAGCCCGTGGCAGGAGCCTGTGGCCATAATCAGCAAGTCTGTAGTGGGGCACCTGCCGAACAGAGGCACGTTCTCCACCATCCATGTCTTAGACCCTTGGGGAGCACGTGACTCTCTGCCTTCCAGGAGGCACCAGATGGCCACAGTGGGGCCCGGGATGCTCAGGCGCGAGGGGTAGCAGTGTCTTCTCCCCCACTCTGGGTTTGCAGAGCCCAGCTCAGGGGAGGAAGCGGAGGGTTCCTTTCTGGTGCAGATAAGCATTGCTGCCTTGGGGCCAACTCTGAAGATTTCACAGCCTTCACTGCAAAGGGGAGTGGGCCCCGACATACTTCATCTTCCTGTGCAAATTGACTTTCTTTTTCCTTTCTTATTTTGTTTTCCCTTTGAATATTAGCAATTGAAGAGGTTGGTTTTAAATCAGGAAAATGAGACTTCAGGATTTAAATAGCCTGACAAAGAGGCTGTGGCCACCTGAAGGAGTCCCGAGCTCCACGTGTCCTCCACAGACATCATGGGGGTGCAGCGGACAGAGGCCACCCCTGCAGGTGGTGTGTGCAGGACAGTGCCCTGAGGGGTGGTGTCTGTACTCTGCAACCTGGCTCCCCTTGTTCACTGGGTGGGGCTGGGGTCTCAGGCTGGGGGAGAAGAGTGAGGCTGAGAGGGAGTGGGGTCTGCGGATGTGACCAGGACCAAACCAAAACGCTCCCAGGAAAGTGGGGAAACCAGAGTGATAAGAAGGTGTAATGAAGGGAAAGATGATGGGGAGAAGTTCCCGCAGAGGCAGAGGACAGATAGACAGACGTCACAGGGGCTGGGCACCTCTGACAGAGTGGGGTAGATAAAGCAGTGGTCCGGGGGACATCACAATGGCCGGGAACAGGAGGAAAAGGGGAGGTGGGAGGAGAAGGCTGGAAAAGTCATAGGGAAAGGGAGGCCAGGGGGCTGTGTGTGATGCCCACCTCCTCCCAGCCCTCCCTTCACCAGGCAGAGCCTTGTACCAACCCCTCCCAGTGTGGGCGGGACCAAGATTTGCACCTAGCAAATACACGTGCAAGAGACTGGGTCATAAAAGGCACTGTGGCTTCCTCCTCTGTCTGTCAGTCTCCTCTCCCTCTCTGGTCACTTGCTCTAAGGAAAACCAGTTGCCATATTGTGCGGAGCTCACTCAGCTCCACAGAGAGGCCTGCGTGGTGGGCAATCGAGGCCTCCTGCCTATAGCTGTGGGAGCAGCAGATCCTTGGCCCCACTCAAGCCTTCAGATGACACGGCCCCAACTGACTCCCTGACTGCAAGGACCAAGCCAGAACCGCCTAGCTGAGCCGCTCCCTGTTCCTGACCCACAGAATTGATACATATGCAGGTTTGTTGCTTTCAGCTCCCAAAATTTGGGGTGATTTGTTACACAGTGATACCAGTGCTGTGGGGGTAAAGGAGGGACCAGAGAGGAAATGGAGACACCACAGGGTCCACACTGCCAAGCAGATGGACCCCGCATTTTGGACCAACAGGTGAAATCACCTTGGAGTTAGGAGGGATTTGGGAAAAGCCTTCTACAAACTCAACAGCAATCCTGGCTGCCACAGAGAGACAGAGATGGAGAGATGGGCAGTGGAAGGGATGGAGGGATGGGTGGTGGGAGGGACAGAGGCCCTGGTGATGCCAGGCTCAGGCCTGTGATTCTGGGAGGGCTTCAAAGCACAGAGTGTTCGAGGATAACAGGCCCCTGGCCTGGCACTCACTTCATGGACAAGGAGAATGAGGCTCTGAGAGGCCAAACGTGTCCAGGCTATGGCAATGGCCAAAGAGCGTGAGGGTTGGGTCGGAGAGACCCTGTGCTGTGCCTGTCCCCAATCCTTAGCCCACCTCGGCTCTGGGGCGGGAGGAGCCATGAACCTGGCCACCGCCCCCTCCTTCCCCAGTGGTAGGACGAACCGTGCCGGGAAAGGCGGCTTGCGGGACAAATGCTGACCTCTTAACCTCCTGACCTCCCCACCTGGCTCCTGCCTGCTCGGATCTGTAGGGTGCCTCCCAATGGATCCGAAGTTCACACACCCACCCTCCATGTCAGCACAGCTGCTACCTGCAGGCCAGCCTGGGGTGCCTTCCCCCTCCCCAGCACCAGCCACTTGCCCTCTGAGTCCCAGCTCCAAACGATCTCTCCTGAAGCCTGCTCTCACTGCCCCCCATGCAGCCCTCGGTGTGAGCCTCGCCCCTCAGAAGGTAGTCTCTTATCCCTGCTGGACAGGGAGCTGCGGGGGGTTGGGGGCCATGGATTACAACCTTGATGGCCTCACTAGTTTTTGATCCTAATTCATCCATGAGCGAACCGGTCCTGACCCAGGAGGGTGGGGAGAGAGGAGACAAGGGACCCCAGGATCATGAAGCTCCACGGCCTCATCAGAAGAGATCCATGCAGCTGCATTGGGAGTGGCCCCAGCTCCCTGACAGTGTTGGTCATCACTATGATAAGGCTCCACGGGTTTACCCAGTACTTTCCCTCCCCTCACCATTTAGTCCCCACCCCAGGCCCACGCCTAGGTCCACATTGCAGAGATGAGGAGAGGGAGGCACCAAGAGGTTAGGCCACTAGTCCAAACCACAAAGCAGCTGGAGCCGGGGCACCAGAGACCCGCAAGCACCCACACGGG
Organism: Homo sapiens; assembly: GCF_000001405.40. NCBI lineage: Eukaryota > Metazoa > Chordata > Mammalia > Primates > Hominidae > Homo > Homo sapiens. The sequence goes on along the minus strand of NC_000008.11, from coordinate 141,762,616 downwards.
CCGCGTGGTCATTGCGTTCAGCCTGTTTCCCAGGAGACTGACATCACCAACAGGAGGGACTGTATCTGTCGTGCTTGGCATGGAGCCCTGTGCCCAGAACAGGCCTGAGGCTGGCCCCACCTTGAATAAGTGAGTGTTGGAAGAACAGATAGGCCCATGGTTGGACGGACAGATAGACGAATGGACGGGTGGACAGACAGGTGGACGGACTTCCCAGTCCAACTCCTCAGCCACCCGGCTGCCCTGTCCCCTGTCTGTCCCCAGCTCTCAGATTCCCAAGGCAAACTTGCCCCTCCCCTCTCACCCTCCCCAGCCCCACAGTGACCAGGGGCCTGCAGCCTCTGCCTGGCCCCAGCCCAGCCTCAGAAGGGGCTGGACTCACCGCCCAGAAGCCCATGCCTGGCTGCTGTCTTCCGCCTGCCATTTGGCTCCGGAAGGCCGTGGCCCCTCCCCAATCTGCCTGCATGAAATTCTCCTTATCTGCAGCGGCACAAATCTGAAAGCAGATTTGCTGGGGGTATGTGCGGCTGGCCTGGGATTAAATCCCTGCCTTTACCACATCGGGGAAGGTGATGCCCTTGAGTTGATGTCACAATTTTCTCTTAATTAAAGAGAAAGCTCAGCCAGGAAGCGGGAGGGAATGAAGAATTAAAGGCGTTTGCCTGTAGAAGCCCGGCAGTTTGAGGCTTTCCATTTAGAATTTAAAAGCCTCCCCGCGTGTCTGCTGCACAGAGATAGGAGTGGTGAAGGAAATGGCAATTTCGCACCTTCCCGCCACCCCCGCGTGTGTGTGCTGGGTTGTCGGGGGGCAGCTGTGGGAAACCAGCGAGGATGCTCCTGAAACGCCCGCAGGGGCCTCGAAGGCTGGGACCTCTCCAAAAACAGCACTTGGCAAATGCATGACTAATCTTCACTGTCTTCCGCTGTTGGCCTTTTCCCTCCCCTAGGTGGGAACCCAGCGGCCATGGTGCTGCTAGAAACCTGGGGAGGGCAGTCCTGGGCGTCGTGGACCATGGGGCCCTTCCCACCCTGGCCTAGGTGCTGCTGAGGGACCAGGCTTTGTTTGTAGAGCCCCTGGAGGTTCTGGAGGGCGCTCTCCTGGCATGGGAATTTTCTCTTCAAGGGCTACAGCAGGGCTTCCTTTCCAGTCTCCTACAGTCCTGCAAGGTCACTGCTATCATTCCTGTTTTGAAGCCAGGGAGACCAGATCAGGGCCGAGCACTTGCTCTCCTCACCAGTGTGGGGCTGAGGGGGCTCCAACTAGGTCTTCAAATCCCAAGGCCAGACCTGCAAACAGCAGTTGTCCCTTGGACCCACAGATGATTGATTGGAAAACGCCACAGCTCCGTGGAAGGGAAGCCGGGAGCTGCCCAGGAGGAAGGGGCGTGGATGGGACCGAGACTCGTCACAGAGGCTGTGACCACCTGCCCTCCAGCAGCCCAAGAGGGAAGGAAGCTCAGGGAGAGGAAGCCTGCAGGCAGAACCCAGCCCAGGCCACCTGCTGTGTTTGGGGACAGAGGTGGGCAGTCCGGGTGATGACCGGAGCGTGGGGATGAGCTTGGGGGATGAGCAGGTCCGAGGCTCCCCTCTCTCTGAAAGTTTTAATGTTTCCCAGCCAGCAACAGCCCTCTCAGGACGGTGGCCCCACGTATCCCGCAGTTTCTGGGAAGTTTATATTTCATCTCGTTGGAGTCACTGTCTCTGATGAGTATTGACTGGGGCTCTATGGTCACCCTGGATTCAGGCCTGAGCCAAGCACTAAGGCACAATCGGCACACAGACCCTGGCAGCTGAGCACCCCTCGAAGCTCAGCTTCATCACGCCCCGTGCGCTCTGCCCGGTGCGCTCTGCGGCAGCCCAGGGGCCGGGGCCGCGAGGGTCTGCAGCGAGGACAGAGGACAGAGGACAACTCGGGCACCGTCTGACCACTCCAAGCTGACCACCGCCGGGTGGGGACTGCTCCTGCTTTGGATCACTGTGATGCTCTCACACCCCGAGGGGGTCTCGGCGCCGCGTTCTCTGTTCCGTGGACTAGCTGGGCTGCCCATCATCCCCGCCGGGGGCGACCCTCTGCCCTATCTGGCAGAGACCTGGTCCCTGGGAGCGTCTGTGGCACTGAGGAGTATATCCAAACACCTTCCATGGCCTGCGAAGCCCAGAATTACTCAGGGGCCACCCCCAACTCTGGCCTTCTCTCCTGTCCACCCTGTGGCAGCCTCAGCCTCATACCAACACCACCCCTGCCCCTTCCTCACCTCTCCCAAGGAGCGCGGCTCTGTACCAGCAGCCTTCCCTGCCCGCTGCCACCATGCTTAGTCCTCCTGGCTTGGTCCTCCCAGGCAGCACTGGCCCTCACCCAAAACTCAATAAAGAGAGCCTTTTGCCACCTATGTTGTTTGGACCCCGCCTTAAATGTAAGTTCCATGAAGCAGGAGTGAGTGCACAGCTGGGCTCCTCTGCCGTGACATCCCCAGGGGACAGTGAATACGAGGAACAAGTCTGGCCACAGGACACTCAGAACTCTTTGATGAATGCGTGAATGAATGAATGAGCGACTGAATGAATGAATGAATGAATGAGTGAAACTCCCCTGACCTACCCTTCCCAAATCTGGGCCAATTTCTCATTAAGAATTTCCTGAACTTGGAAAGGAATGTTTTAGATGATGGATGAGGATGAGGAAGAAGAGAGTCCTCTAGAGTTTCCCAGGAGGAGGAGGCTGGAACCAAAAGGCGGAGGTGGGAGAGGTGGAGAAGGGCCCTGCGGTGGGGTGGAATGTGATGGGATGAGCCTCAGGAGCTGCTGGAGGCCCACGTGTGGGAAGCGGCTGGCAGTGGAGGTGCCTTGCGGCCGGGCCGTGGTGGAGGGCATGCCTCGGAGCGGGTGGCAGTGGCGGGGAAGCTGCAGAGGAAAAGAGGGAAGGAAAAGAACATGAGCAAGTCTCTCTCAACACCAGGGTCAGGCTGATGGCTTATCCCACATCCACTCTCTGACTGCACACCGTCCAGGGGACCCGGTGTTATCCCCCCTCAGCGGAGGAGGAAGCAGAGCCCCGTTTGCCCTGTAAGTGGCAGAGCCCAGGCCCGATGGACGTCAAGCCTTCCTCTTTCTCTAAATAATGGGGTGGCCTTGGGATGGGGCTGGGGTCTGGTCTGGAGCCTGCAAGCCCCAGCTCTCTCAGCCCTGCCCCCGCTCACCCCTGCCCCGGCCCTCACATAGAAGCCGTCAACACTCTTAGCCGAGCCAGGCGTCCCCAGAGCCTGGTCATCCTGATGCCGCCTATGCGCTGGTCATGATGGTGGCCTGGGTAACCAAGGTAACATTGACCTGTGCCCCAGGAATTTCCCAGAGGGCCAGCATGGAGCAGGGCCCGACAGAAGTGCTGCTCAGAGCCTTGGCGTGCTGTCCAAATGCCAAACGCTTATTAATCTCCCAGCGCAAGGCTCCCTGAAGTGATTGCCCCCGCCTCCTCCATCTCCTTTGTCTAGGGCATAATTGTCCAGACCCTACCTCTCCAATTCCTTAATTAATTGCTTTGAGGAAGGCAGCATGGCTGTTAACTCCTTCCCGTCTGCACCTCATCTCCAAGGAAAGTGACAGGTGCTGGAAGGGGACTTTGCACGTAACCTAGACTGGGGTCAGGACCCCAGGCTCTGGACCCCTCCACTGCCCCTCGCTGCAACCCTCAGTTCCCCGTTTCTGAAATGCAGATAAAGCCCCTGCCCTGGCTGTAGTTAATTCATCTGCTCTGTTTAATTCAACTCCAAATCTCTTGACAAGGATTAGAACCATTCAAGCGTATCTATCACACTAGTCAGCTTGCGGGAAGGCCTGTTACAGAGATGAATAAATTGGAGGAGGAGGTGCAGGGGAGGGAGAGCTGAGGAGGGGAGAGGCCTTCCACAGGTGCAGGCATGACAGGTGCATCCCCGGCCGGAGCATGGGGGCTCTCCACACAGGGCAGGAACCCAGGGGACCTGAAGGAAAGGGAAGATGGCAGGAGCCGTCAGCAGCCACGGCTTACTGATGACAGCCACAGCCACCACATGTGCAGCGCCCACTCAGTGTGCGCCAGGCACTGCCCTGAGCTTGGGGGTCTAGCCCAGCAGCCTCCTGCACGTACCGCATGTGATGTGGGAGCCAGAGACGGGACTGGGAACTGGGGCCTTGTGCCCAGAGGCAGCTGCAGCTTTTAAAAGGCCTCTAGGGTCAGAGGTCATGATGAGGATGGAGTGCTCAAGAGTCCAATGATCTTTCTCTCTTTCTCTCCCCGGCACGTGCATCCCTTTGAATGAATGTTTATTGAAGGAGACATGTGCCTCTTGTCATGAGGAGCTCGCCTTGCAGCTGGAAGCTCCTGGAGTTTCTAAAATGCCTGCCACCTCCTTTGAGCCTCCTAGTAACCAGAGGGCTAGGCAAGGTGGTCAGGACGAACCCCCTTATACAGATGGTAATGCCAAGGCCAGAGGACAAGCCCAGCTCTGCCGGTGCTCACTGGCAGATAGAAAAAGGGTAATGAGATGGGGCTCTGGGCTGCCAGATGGTTCTGGAAACAGGAGGAGGTCAGGAAAGCAAGGAAAGGCTGGCAGTGAAGGGCTGTGAGGTGAGCCAGGCAGATGAGAGCCAGGCCTGGGTTCCAGCCTTGCTAGAGGCCATGCCAGGACCTTCACCTTCCTCAGGCCCAGTAGCCGAGGTGTGAGAGGTGCCCACAGAGCTTTCCCCTCGGGGCTGGGAACAGTGAGGTGAGTGAGACAGGTGTCTGCCTACAAAGGAGGTGCCAGAAAACTCAGTGATCCAGACGAATACTATTCCAATGCATTTTTGGAAACAAAATTATTTTTTTAAACTCCAAGGTGAACAAAATATCAAATTGTTATAAGGATAGGATCCCGCAGGGCCGAGACTCTGGTGAGGTAAACGCAGAACCCTCAGCGACCAATAGGAGTGATAATTTCATGCAGTGTTTCCAATGCATCAGGACCTGAATATCAACTTTTTTTTGGATTTTTTCATGAATTTTAATGGACAACTAAAAAGTGTATGTGTTTATGGTATACAGCATGATGCTTTGAAATATGAGTGCACCATGGAATGGCTAGCTGGGGCCCAGGAACACATGCATTCCCTGGAGGGCTACTATGTTTTGTGAGAACACTTAAAATCTTCTCCCTCAGAGATATTCGAGAGTATAACACATTTCAATAACCACATTTCCAGCGAAGACAGGACTCCACCCTGTGCTTACACAACTCACCTCAGCTGCCTTATGCTACCCCCAGCCTTGACGGAGGCTATCTTGATCTTAAATTTTGTTATTTTGCTTCTTCTGAATGTGTTTGCGTTAATTTGGATTTTTTAAGTGTGGTGTTAAAATAGCATTTGTCTTGGTTATCGAGTGTTTGGATCTCAACCCAGCCCAGCCCTGCCCGATTCCTGCCCCAAGCCCTCCCCTCCCCATGGTGCTGCTGAGAAGCTGGGAGTGCAGAGCCTGAACCGGGACTCCTCCCAAGGCATCCCTGACCCATGGGTGCCCTCAGCCCTGCCACTCCTAGGAGCCCCACCCTTTCTCCTCATCTCCCAGCCACCAAGCTAGGCCGGGGGTAAGCCCCTGACCCGAGGTGAGACAGGGGAGTTTCCTCCCAAAGAGGGGGACTTGGGCTGTTGAAACCCAGAGCCAAGCAACCTGGCTCTGGAGCTCTCACAGCTGTCATTTAGGCAGAACCAAGATGGCCTTGGGCAGACAAGGACATGAGCCTTCCTATGTCTGGTGTCCTCAGCATCCTCTGGCATCGCCCCACCATGCTCCTTCACTCCAACAGGCTGGAGCAGGTGCTGTTGTTTGCAACCAGATGGGCCAGGACAAAGAACCTCCCAGCCCGGGTGGTTTTTCAGGCCCTGGGATGAGGCCTTGGCAGGGGCTGGCTCGGGCAGCCAGGTGGAAGTCTTCCCTGTCCCTGAAGGGACTTGGGGTTTTAAAGCTTCCAAAATGGGGAGAATGACACCAGGTGGGGTCTTGGAAGAAGGTGCAGAAATGGAAATGTGTTTTCAGCCCCTATTCACATGACCTTGAACAGGACACTGCACATCAGTCTCCCTAGCTGGGAAATGGGCAGAAAAGTCATGAGAACAAAGTGACCTACTCCATGGGCGTGGAGGTTGCACACTGAGGAGCCAGCTGTCCTGGATTTGAATTCTGGCTTTCAATTTGCTGGACTGTGGACCCAGCAAGAAGCTAAGCAACCTCCCTTTCTGTCATCTATAAAATGGGATAATGATAGCATGTATATCTTAGGATTGCTGTAAAGATTAAATTAATTAACGTATGCTAGGTGATAAGCAATGTGCCTGGCACCAACAAAGAGTACTCCAAGGGCACTTAAGGTGTGATAGAATCACCACCACCATCACCACCAGCATCATCATCACGATCACCATCACCATCATCATCATTACTATTATCATCATCACCATCACCATTATCATCACCGCCACCATCATCACCACCATCACAGTCATCACCATCACCATCATCATCATCACCACCATCACCACCATTACCTTCATCATTACCATCATCACCATCACGATCACCATCACTATCATGATCATCACCATCATCATCATCATTTCACAGCTCCGCCATGCATGTGAGGTGAGGTCATGGGCATGCATCTATGGGAAGACCAGAGGATGCCATAAGGATGTTATTTTCCCAGTTTATCATTTCCAAGTCTTCCTTGAGTGGCCAGGAATGGAGAGGTGGCCTCGAATAATGTTCATTTATCCTGCACTTTCTCATAGATCCCAGTGTCTGGAAAGCAATCAGTCTCACATCTC